>NC_000023.11:18501124-18804154 GCF_000001405.40 Homo sapiens
GCCACTGTAGCCGGCCCCACTCACATTCTGATTCCCAGTTTTTTTGTTTGTTTGTTTTTGTTTTTGAGACGGAGTTTTCACTCTTGTCATCCAGGCTTAAGTACAATGGCAATATCTCAGCTCACTGCAACTTCTGCCTCCCGGGTTCAAGTGATTTTCGTGTCTCAGTCTCCCGAGTAGCTGGGATTACAGGTGCCTGCCACCGCACCTGGCTAATTTTTGTATTTTTAGTAGAGACGGGGTTGTACCATGTTGGCCAGGCTGGTCTCGAGCTCCTGACCTCAGGTTATTCACCCTCCTCAGCCTCCCAAAGTGCTGGGATTACAGGCATGAGCCATCTCACCTGGCCTAATTCCCAGTTTTTATTACTCAGTTTTGACTGCCACAAAGAATAGTGAGACCAAATGTTTTTTTTAAAAAATTTTTATTTTTTTTTATTTTTTTGAGACAGTCTCGCTCTGTCGCCCAGGCTGGAGTGCAGTAGTAAGATCTCGGTTTACTGCAACCTCTGCCTTCCGGGTTCAAGCAATTCTCCTGTCTCAGCCTCTCGAGTAGCTGGCACTACAGGCGCGCACCACCATACCCAGCTAATTTTTGTATTTTTAGTAGAGATCGGGTTTCATCATATTGGTCATGCTGGTCTCGAACTCCTGACCTCAGGTCATCTACCTGCCTTGGCCTCCCAAAGTGCTGGGATTACAGGCGTGAGCCACCACGCCCGGCCACAAATGTTCTTTACAAATACTTTTATACAGAACTTTTTGGGTCTTCTTAGTGAGAATGATTAATTTTTATCTCAAGTTTCCTTTGAAATGAACCATACCATTATTGGCAGAGAGTAGAATATTTAAATATTTCCTGAGTGTTCTTTCAAACCAGCCGTAGAAAATGAAAGAGTGATTCGTTTTCAGAAATGCTCTGAGCATCTTTTACCAGGAATGTGACTGACATAGATCCTCATATAGCTGGCTCCTTGTCATTGCCATCTCAGCTCAAATGTTACCTTTTTAGAGAAGCCCTCCCTGTCTATCATTCTTTTTCCCTCTTTCATAACAAAATACAAGATAATAGTCTCGTATTTTTTCTCCACCAGCAAAATGTAAAGTTCCATGAGGGTAAGGACCTTGCCTGTCTTGTTTACCACTATGTTGTGTGTCTTATCCTGAAAACATGGGAGGCAGTCAGTAATTATTTGCTTAATGAATTAATAAATATTTCATCTCAAATTGTGACATCTTTTTCTCTAAATATCAGAATAATCCTTAAAAAATTTTTGATTCCAGTGAACTAAAGTTTTCTAAGCTAAGTATAGCGAAAGGAGGTCAGTGTAGCTGGAGTGAAGCTAGTCAAGGGAGAGTCTAGTAGGAGATGATATCAGGAGGGGAGGTCAAGGCCTGTGGCTCATGTGGATTTTGCTTTTCACTCTTAATGATATGGGAGGCCATTAGAGGGTTTTGAATGAGAAGTTTATGAGAAGTGACATGGTCTGAGTTATCTTCAAGAGTTACTCTGACTTCTTTAAGGTCTGTAGGAATCTGTAGGGATACTGAAGTATGGTCTATTCTGGGCTCTCACATCTGTTCTATTGGTTATTTATCCGTGCCAGAACCACCCTGTCTTAATTTCCCTCACTCTATTATAATCCTCAACCTATTCAGTAGGGCATCCTGCCAGATCCTACCCTCAAAGCCTAGTGCTCTTGTAACTTTTCTTATCTTTCTTACTCTTTTCTTTTTCTTATTCTTTGCTGCTCATACTTGTAGTAGGAGGGTGTTGCTTCTACTTGGAACTCTGCCCTTCCATATATATTTTAAAATCAGCTTGTCTTAATTCTTTAGAAAACCTTGTTGGGATTGTGATTGGAATTGCATTGACTATATAGATCAATATGGAAAGAATTGATACCTTTATAGTTTTGAATCTTCCTAGCTGTAAAATTTGGATAACTTATTTACGTGTTTTTTAATGTCTTGAGTAAAGTTACATATATATTTGAAAAGTCGTTTTGAATATCTTTTGTTAAATCTTAGGTGCTTTTTAAAATTATTGTAAATGTGGTTTGTTTTTGTTTTTCTTTGAGACAAGGTCTGGCTCTATTGTCCAGGCTAGAGTGCAATGGCACAATCTTGGCTTACTGCAGCCTCCGCTTCCCGGGCTCAAACCATCCTCCCATCTCAGCCTCTGGAGTAGCTGGGACTACAGGCATGCTCTGCCACATGCAGCTAATTTTTATATATTTTGTTGAGGCTGGATTTTGCCATGTTGCCCAGTCTGGTCTCGAACTCGTGAGCTCAAGCAGTCTGCTTGCCTCAGCCTCCCAAAGTGCTGTGATTATAGGCGTGAGCCATTGTGCCCCGCCCATAAATGTGATTTTTAAAAATTGCATTTTCTATTTCTTACAAATGCTCTTTACAGATGCTGCTGATATTTGTGTATTAAGCTTATGTTCAGCTACCTTGCCAAACACTAATAATTCCAATAATTTATGAATTCTTTTGAATTTTCTATGAGGTAATATATGCAAATTCTGTTTTCGTTTCCCTCTTTTCAATCATACATTTTATTCATTTATTGTTTCTTATTTTACTAAGCCAGCTATAACCCACAAGGATGTTTTTGTTTTGTTTTTGTTTTTGAGACAGGGTCTTGCGGTGTTGCCCAGGCTGGAGTGCAGTGGTGCGATCACGGCTCACCGCAGCTTCGCCCTCCTGGGCTCAAGCAATCCTCCCTCCTCACCATCTGAGAGTAGCTGGGACTACAGGCGTGCACAACCACACCCGGCTAGTTTTTGTAGTTTTTCTAGAGAAAGGGTTTCACCACATTTCCTAGGCTGGTCTTGAATTCCTGAGCATGAGTGATCCGTCCACCTCAGCCTCCCAGCAGCCTCCCAAAGTGCTGGGATTATGGACACGAGCCACTGTGCCTGGCTAGGATGTTTAATACTAATGTTAATAAGTATTAATAGTAGAACTCCTTGTCATGTTTTTGTTTGTTTGGTGGAGACAGGGTCTCACACTGTTGCCCAGGCTAGTGTCCGGTGGCGCAATCACAGCTCACTGCAGCTTTGACCTCCTGGGCTCAAGTGATCCTCCCGTCTCAGCCTCCCACAACCATGCCCACCAGGCTAGGTTTTTTTTGTTTTTGTTTGTTTTTTTTGTTTTTGTAGAGACTGGGTCTCCCTGTGTTGCTCAGGCTGGTCTCTAATTCCTGGGCTCAAGCGATCCTTCTGCCTTGGCTTCCTAAAGTGCTGGGATTATATGCGTGAACCATGGTGCCTGGGCACATGTTCTTAAGTTTTAAAGGGACTATGTCTACTGCTTCACATTTAAGAATGATGTTTGTTGTAGGTTTTTGTCAGATGCCCTTATCAGGATATGCACATTTTAAAATCACCTAATTATGTATATATTGCTTTTTAGAAAATTTGCACCAATTTACATTTCTACCATCAGTGTATGGAAGGGCACTCCTTGACAATACTTACCCACATCACATGGGGTATTCTTGTTAAAAGTTTCAGATTTTGGCCGGGCGCGGTGGCTCACGCCTGTAATCCCAGCACTTTGGGAGGCCGAGACGGGCGGATCACGAGGTCAGGAGAGCGAGACCATCCTGGCTAACACGGTGAAACCCCGTCTCTACTAAAAAAAATACAAAAATTAGCCGGGCATGGTGGCGCGTGCCTGTAGTCCCAGCTACACGGGAGGCTGAGGCAGGAGAATGGTGTGAACCCGGGAGGCGGAGCTTGCAGTGAGTCGAGATCGCGCCACTGCACTCCAGCCTGGGCGACAGAGCGAAACTCCGTCTCAAAAAAAAAAAAAAAAAGAAAGTTTCAGATTTTATAGGCAGTAAGGAACTTCTTGTTTAGATTTGTTTCTTCCTTTTAAAACAATATTTTGTGTTGTTACCACTGTTATTCTTAGAGATGGGATAAGCTTTTTGAAACAAAGCTTATTTTGAAAATATTTCAGATTTAGAGAAAAACTGCAAAAATAGTGCAAAGAATTTCCTACTTCCTATACCCTTGACCTAGATTTTCCAAGTGTGTTAATATTTTATCATATTTGCTTTATCATTCTTTCTGTCTTTTTTCTCTTCCCTCATACACACATATAATTTTTCTCAGTGGTTTAAGTTGTAAACATGATGCCCCTTTAAAAACTTTAGTGCTGTTTCTTAAAAATGAGAGCATTGTTTTATATAACCGAAGTACTAATATGAAAATTAGAAAACTACTGACAACAGTACTATAATCTGTGAACATTTGAATTGTATCAATTGTTCTTCATAGCGAAAAAAGAACAAAAGCTTTTTCTTGTCCAGGATGTAATCCAGGATCATGCAATGTATTTCATTGTCATATCTCTTAATCTTCTTTAATCTGGAATAGTCGCTTCTTGTTACTCAGTTGTTTCTTGTCTTTCATGACCTTGACATTTTAAAAGAATATGGGCCAATTATTTAGTAAAATGTCCCTCAGCTTGGGCTTGTCTCTTGCTTCTTGTGATTAGATTCAGGTTTTGCATTTCTGGCAGGAATGCCACAGAAGTGGTGATGTGATACATCCTATCAGGGGGCATATAATGTTGGTTTGTCCCCTTATTGATGACGTTAACTTGATCATTTAATTAAGGTGGTGTCTGGCAGGATTCTTCAGTGTAAAATTACTATTTTTCTTCTTGTAATTAATAGGTATCTTGTGGATACTTTGAGATTAGATAATATCCTGTTTTCCATCAAATTTTCAACCACTAGTTTTAGCATGTATTGATCATACTTGCTTGAAATAATTATTACCAGAGTGATTGCCAAATGGCGATCTTCTAATTTTATCACTACATTTATTATTTGGAATTATACTTCGCAAAAGAGCTTTCTCTTCTCCCCCATTTATTTATTTATGTCAGTAAGGACTTTTAAAAAAATTATATGGGTTATAATCTGTTACTGTGCTTATTTACTTTGTTGCTCAAATATTCCCGATTAGGCCAGTGGGAGTCACATCAGTCTGACTCCTGTGTCCTTTTGAGGTACCCCTATCATTCTTTGAGCATTTCCTTACTTTCTGGCACCACAAAAATATGCCCTAGGCTCCTATGGTCCTTCTCCTGCCCCACCCTTGGAATCAGCCATTTCTTCAAGGAACCCTAGTTCCTTTTATCAGAGCACCAGCTGTGTTCATAGCTATAGGGGTATCATTGCTTCTAGGCCTTCTCAGCAGACAGAGCTAGGAAATATATGTATGTGAGTGCACATTTACACAAACACCTTTATATCTGTCTATACTCCTATATATTAAAAACTGAGCTTATATTGTTAACTCCAACTCCAAGCCTTCTCCCTTTTTATATTTGTTACTCCCTTTTATGAGAATAAGAAACCAAGGTCAGTATATTCACAGAATATTTACCTATTTGCCCAATCTTAGAACACACACAAACAAGTTTCATGTCATTGTATAAAAGCAGGTAGCTAAGTAGAATATAGTATTTGTTTATAATTCTTTTTATTTTTAGCTTTAGGAGAGTAGATAGTGAAAATGCTGTTTTTAAAAGTTAGCTGTGGTTAATTCATTTGTCCTTGTCCCCAAAAGTGTGGTTATATTATTCATTTCAAATACAGAGAGGTTCATTTGTTTGTATTCATTCCATTTTGGGTTCTTCGCTCCTATTACTGTTGGTTTCTTCTTCATTTTAAGTGTATAAAACATTAAAATGGATTGAAAAATAACTCTACAAAAAGGTAAGATTGGTTACTAGAGTACTGCAAATATAAAACTTACAGCTTTTAATTGTGTTTGTTTTTTTCAGGGAGTCATTTAATACTTCATGATTAGAACAAATATGTGAAAGTTCCCACCAACCAGTGAGAATTTCTTCCTTCAGACGGTTTTGGATCTTACTGCACAGCTTTCTGAGAAGTTCTTTTGGTGCCATGTTTTGTGGCTTGCATCAAAAGAGGAGTTTGTCTTCATGAAGATTCCTAACATTGGTAATGTGATGAATAAATTTGAGATCCTTGGGGTTGTAGGTGAAGGTAAGTTGGAATTTTTGCGTTCCTTGAGTTTTGAGCAATGAACAGTTAGTTATTCCTACCACCAAAAAGTTACTAATTAGATCCTGTTAATTTAACCTATATCAATTCACATGTGTGTCTAAGAGTAAAATATTAAAAATAAAATTACTCTTAAACAATTTGGGTCTCACTCTCCAATAAAAAATTAATAACTTTTTAAAACCCTTTAAAGTTTAATAAATCAAAGATTTTTTTCCCTTTTCTTTTAAAAAGAGCCCCAGTGTTACAACAGTCTTTGCCTTCATTCTTTTTTTTTTTTTTTTTTTAGCAATCATGAGTTCCTTAGTCTGCATTTTTTTTCTTGGTTCCATTTTATTTTTATATCAGCTAGGCTTATTTTGAATAACTTAAATTTCATTCATTCATTCATTCATTCATTCATTCATTCATTCAAGACAGAGTCTCACTGTTACCCAGACTGGAGTGCAGTGGCATGATCTCGGCTCACTGCAGCCTCTGCCTCCTGGGTTCAAGCGATTCTCCTGCCTCAGCCTCCTGAGATTACAGGCGTGAGCCACTGTGCCCAGCTAATTTTTGTATTTTCAGTAGAGACTGGGTTTCACCATGTTGGTGAAATTTTACTTAATACCTGGTAAATAAACAAATAAGTAAATTCTGTTTCTTTGAAAATGGGAGACTATGTTTTGTAAATTCTGAGGCATACAATTTTATCTCTGAAATCAGGGTGTATCTTATAATCAGTATCATGTCACAGTTTAATTGGCAGCATTCTCCCTTTCCTAATAGTACATAAAATAATGCTCATGACCAATGATATACCATTGATTTGATGAAATATGATGTCATTTTGTATAAACTGACTCCTAAAAAAAAATCATTTCTTCTGATTTTTCCTGCTTAGTGATTTTTGCTCTAGACTTAAAGATAACTTTGGAAATTTTGATAAATGATTCTGTTAACAGAAGATAAGTGATTATAATTATGGTTTCTTAGCATTTATATCTTTAAAGCATATGTTACAAAAATTTCATATTTCAGAATTTTCAAATAAACTCTGAATTCCTAAAGGACTAAAAAAGTTCACCTATGTGAACAGCAAAGCTGTTATTAAGTTTTAAAGTTGGCAAATCCTTTCAAATACATAGAAACAATTAAAATAAAGAGTTTAATCATTGGATGCTTGTTTCAAGGTCTGAAATTCAAACCATACAAAACAAATAGGTCTTTGTTCCTTCACTAGTCAACTCCTCTTCCATTTCTTCATCGATGTTATGTAAAAATTTCATTTTCAGTGTCTTGCTTACCATCTGTTCTGGAATAGCCTATTTTATTTTTCAAAAGTATTAGAATTAGAGACCAATGCAATAAAGCTGCTGACTGGAGAAGGCTAGCACATACGGTGTAACAAGGTTAGAATGCTCCAGATTCTGGGCCTAAGTTTTTCTGGATCATAACTAGTTTTTCTCATTATAGCCATAGGTGATCATCTTCTTTGGGATTGGCTCAAAATTACCAGACTGTTATATATATATATATATATCAGAATATGTTACTTTGTTATCAGAACTACCATTGCTGTATGTTTCTTTCTTTGGAAAGCACCTCACATGTATTTTTGGCTAGGATATACATATAAAGTATATAACAATCTGTCACCAGGAACGGTGACTCATGCCTATAATCCCAGCACTTTGGGAGGCTGAGGTGGTGGATCACAAGGTCAAGAGATCCAGACCATCTTGGCCAACATGGTGAAACCCTGTCTCTACTAAAAATACAAAAATTAGCTGGGTGTGGTGGCGGGCGCCTGTAGTCCCAGCTACTCAGGAGGCTGAGGCAGGAGAATCGCTTGAACCTAGGAGGTGGAGGTTGCAGTGAGTGAGCTTGTGCCACTGCACTCCAGCCTGATGAGAGAGCGAGACTGTCTCAAAACACACACACACACACACACACACACACACACACACAGGTTGCAGTGAGTGAGCTTGTGCCACTGCACTCCAGCCTGATGAGAGAGCGAGACTGTCTCAAAACACGCACACACACACACACACACACACACACACACACACACACACACACACACCCCTGTCAAGCAAACTCTGCATTCTTGTAGTTTAGACAGTGTATTTTTTACCCCATAGAATAACTGGCATAGGCAGTTAGAATTGGACAATTGCCTGGCAATTGTGGAGTTAAGTTAGATGGTTATAATGGCTGGTTCTATGCTAACTGTGATAATAGGATTCATCCATCTCTACCAAAGTGAGGGAGACTTGTTCAGGTCCCATAGACTGTGTTGGAGACACATTTCCCAATTTTGTATCCGTGAAGCCCCCTTCTCATAGATGAATGCAGGCTTGCCAGTCTGCTAATGTTAATGTTCTTGATGTTTCTGCAAAGCTCAGCTATCATTCATTACATTTTGATTCTCTTAATTAGATTTTTCACATTATAATTTTAACCTCAGTTTCCTGAGTACTTTGCTGTCAACTCTGTCCTACTTCTAAGGAAGAAGTCTATTGCCTAGATAATAGGATAAGTAACCCCAAAGGTAGTTACTTGTTGAAATACACCAAAGACAGTGGGAGTGCTTGTCGCCTTTGTGCATGAACTGAGTCTTTATTTATGGCAAAAGGTAGCAAATCCTACTAGCTATTAATTGGAATACTGAGGCCTGGACTACTTTGCCAGTCAGGAGAGACATTCAGCTGGGTGTGGTGGTGCATGCCTATAATCCCAGCACTTTGGGAGGCTGAGGTGGGAGGATTGCTTGAGGCCAGGAGTTTGAGACCAGCCTGGGCAACATAGTGAGACCATGTCTCTACAAAAAAAACTTAAAAAACAAAACAAAACAGAAAAAAAAAAAAAAAGAGGGGCATTTCAGTATCCTAGAGGAAGATTTTAATGTCTTCTAGAACAGATAATGTATTTGGTGGGCTCTGTGCTTGAGCTTACTACTGGGATGTCATTAGCTCTTAAGGTTTTTTTGTTTGTTTGTTTGTTTGTTTTCGAGATGGAGTCTTGCTCTGTTGCCCAGGCTGGAGTGCAGTGGCGCGATCTGGACTACTGCAACCTCTGCCTCCTGGGTTCAAACGATTCTCCTGCCTCAGCCTCCTGAGTAGCTGGGATTACAGGCACCTGCAACTATACCCAACTAATTTTTGTATTTTTAGTAGAGATGGGTTTTTGCCATGTTGGCCAGGCTGGTCCTGAACTCCTGACCTCAGGTGATCTGCCAGCCTCGGCCTCCCAAAGTGCTGGGATTATAGGCGTGAGCCACTGTGCCTGGCCTAGCTCTTAAGTTTTAAGTTCCACAGAATCTTCTGAGTTAATTTTCCTTTATTCTCAAAGTTCTTGAGACCAAATCTTGTCTCCATAAATGTGTAACCCTACATTTAAACGTATCGCCAGTGAAATTTTCTTTAAAAAGAAACATTTAAAAATACTTGTTGGAAGAAATGACTTGTCTATACTCTTGATTTATAATAAATGTATAATAAAGTATGTTCCATTTGTATGTGGCTCATTATTGCATTATCACTATAGAATCTTGTCACTTTAGTAGTCATTATTATAACACTGAGAAGCAATGTCAGTATAGCAGAGCTTTGTAGTTTGTATGCGTGCCCTTGATTGTTTACTTCTTTTTATTATAGGAGCCTATGGAGTTGTACTTAAATGCAGACACAAGGCAAGTACATTATTTTTAAAAAGAAATATCTGTATATGTTTAACTGTTTTGAAACTAATGTAGTGGTCTTTGCGTGTGGGCATGTACAGGTTGAGCATTCCTTATCTGAAATGCTTGAGACCAGAAATGTTTTGGATTTTTTTGGATTTTGGAATATTTCCATATATGTAATGAGATACCTTGGGGATGGGACCCAAGGCTAGACACAAAATTCATTTATGTTTCATATATACTTAATACATATAGCTTGAAGGTAATTTTATGCAATATTTTAAGTTTTTGCCTAAAACAAAGTTTAAATACTTATATGTGGAATTTTCCACTTGTGGCATCATATCAGTACTCAAAGTTTTGGATTTTGGAGCATTTTGGATTTTTGAATTAGGGATGCTCAACCTGTAATTAAAACTCTGGTTATGAGGATGTTGTTTAATGAAGTGGAATTAATATGTGAATGCTGCCAGAAAGAGACTACTTTTAGATAAGCTTGATCATGGTTGGGTAGTCCTTAGTTCTTAGCAATCACGTGCTATTTTTTTTTTTCAACTGACCTATGCCGTGCACCTCATAATGACATTTAGATCAACAGTGGACAGCATGTATGATGGTGGTCCCGTAAGATTATGATATGGTATTTTTTGTTTAGATAAAAAACATTTTCAGATACACAAATACTTATCATTGACTATGGTACTCAGTAAGGTAACATGCTATACAGGTTTGTAGCCTTGAAACAATAGGCTATACCATGTAGCCTAGATGTGTAGTAGGCTATACCATCTAGGTTTGTGTAAGTACACTCTATGATGTTTGCACAGTGATAAAAATCACCTAATGACATATTTTTCAGAATGTATTCTTGTCATTAAGTGATGCATGACTGTATAAGTGAAAAGCTGCCTAATGGGAAAAGAGAAAAGGTGGTGGGACAGGAATAAGAAGGCAGGGCAGTGACAGATTTAATTTATGTTCAAGTACTTATGAGCAAAGAGTTTTTTTAAAAATTATTTTTCATGTAGACCCATTAACTTAGATTGCTTGATGCATTTGAATCCAGATTTTGAAGGGTAATAAGGTAGGTGTTTGGATATGAGCTAGAACTTGGGATAATAGTGTAGATTATGATTACTGGCTATAGTTGATTACCCTTGAACAGCTGTGAAATGAACCTTACTAGAAATTATTTTACTATGGTAATAATCACAAATTATTCAGAGAAGTTATTTGAAGTTTCCATAGCTGTTATTCAGTTGTAAGCATGTTTTACTGGGAGAGTAACTTTCAGATGGCAAGTGTTGAAACTGTAACAAACATTAGTTTAAATATTTTTCTATTATGGCATACCTAGTCTGAGTATTTGGCTTCATTTGCATATAATTTGTTAAGACCAAGGTTTTAAGTTTTTTCGTGATGTTTCAGAATGATATAATTTATGTCTGTGGTGATTTTAGCAATTTAACCCAAAACATTTAAACTCTTGAATCTGTCGTCTATTGAAAATAATGTATGTGTGTGTATGTATGTAAATATGCACACACATAAATAAAGATGATACTCTTATATTTGCTTTTTCTTTCCTATTGTACAAAATACTACCTGCCTTTTGAATTTAAGCCTTCGTGACACTTAATATATTTTTGTGTTTAGATCACAGATCTCTTACTTCCATGCAATGGCTTTTGTATTCTTCTTGAAATTGGGTGATTGAACTATTTTATGTTAATAATAGTTATCTGAAGATCTCTTTGCCATTAAATTTTCAAAAATGGTTCGAATACTATTGGTTCTTGATTAAGGATGATTAAGAATTTAAAATAATAAATATAATAAAAATAAATTTAGCACCTTGAACACCTTGTTAAGAAATATTACTGTAGTTTGAAATTAAACAAATGAAAAGCTCCCTAATAAAATGCTAAATGCTATACTTTTAATGACTTGCCTTTAGTTATAAGTTTCTGAAGCTTAAAAAAAATTCCTGGGTGGATATTACTTGGGAGAAATAGGTTATTAGTTTCTAAGTTAAATTTGACTTTTTCCCGAACATAAAACCTCCTTTTATACAATGGCTCTGTTTATGCAACATTGCAAATGGAAACTTCAGTTCTTACTTCTAATCTTGGGTTTTAAAACTCAAAGATTTATGAGATATGTACATATCTTACATATGTACATACACATATGCATACATGTATTATACGTATACATATATCTGATATATATTACACATCATGTACAGAGTCCAAATGTTTTCTCCTAGTCATTGTCATACTTCAACCTGTGACCTTTTCCTCTATACTTTCATGTAACTTTAAGCTCTCCTTCTGCCTTTTATATAAAAATAGTTTATTATTTAAATATGTTGTTTTTATCTTTCTATTTACTCATTTGTTAAAATGGTTGTTTCATATACCTGGTTCTCAAAACACACACTGTTAGTGCCAGCAGGATGGGCCCAGTGTGAAAGTGGATGAGAATGGACATCTCTACTCTTAGGAAACCAACTCTAAATGTGAACTCTGATTTTTAGTTACTGTGTGTAGGGAACTTTGAATTACAAGGATAAATAAACCATACTTTTCTTGCCTTTATATGGCTTATGGTCTGTCTGAAGAGATAGAAGAATAGATAACTTAAAAAAAAAACAAGTCTGTGAGGTTGCTGCAAATGAGATACATCTAAAACATTTCTCTCTTTGCTGTCCTTCACTACATGAGGTCACACACCAGCTCTTTAAGTATTGTAGCTTTCTCCTTGCATGTGTCTAAAAAGATATCACTGGATGGAAAATTTAAAGCATAAATTAGTGCCTATCTCAGAGTATTATAAAACTCTTTTTTAGAATCTGCAGCTGTTTAGTCATTAGGCTTGTTATAGATAGTATATCCTTTTCTCAGCTAAAATCAGACCTTCAAATCTATACCCCATTATCCAAAAATAGAGAATTTGATGCTTCTGGCAAGATTGATGCTTTAGGGTCAAACAAATGGATTATTATGAAACTCATATTATAATTAAAAATGTATGTAATCTTCCCGATTGTACTTATGTAAAGTAATCAGGCCAATATCTTTTGCATACCTTTAAAAATTTAGTGAAATGTTTATAAAAATGTATAAGTCAGGTCTGTGTGATTGTTTATGCATAAATTGGGTATCTTTTTGAAAAGGTTGACTGGGGGTGTATATATAATTAATTCTTAGCATGTTGTATATTTGAACAAGTATAGAAGAAAGTCACTTTTTTAATCTGTGTACTGTTGCAGTAATTGAGAGATCATGCTGATAAATAGGTGTATTTTGCTTTTGTGCATAGAATATGATGTTGGGCTGATCCAGACCAAAGATCATACTTCCTAATTTACTGAAATTAATGCTGCTCAATTTCAAAGGAAAAATATAGCTTTTACTTTTTTTTTGACAGCTGAACAAAATTAAGCTGTATATATTTATTGTATATATAATAATAAGTTGTTATATATACACATTGACATGCATATGAAAACTCTTAGCAGTGACTAAGCTTCTTTTTAGGACTCATTATGACTACTCACATTTGAAAGATGTTCTAGGCTGGGCACAGTGGCTCACGCCTGTAATCCCAGCACCTTAGGAGGCCAAGGTGGGCAGATCACCTGAGGTGAGGAGTTCAAGATCAGCCTGGCCAACGTGGTGAAACCTGGTCTCTACTAAAAATACAAAAATTAGCCGGGCGTGGGGGCGCATGCTTTTAGTCCCAGCTACTCGGGAGGCTGAGGCAAGAGAGTCACTTGAACCTGGGAGGCGGAGGTTGCAGTGAACCGATATCGCACCACTGCACTCCAGCCTGGGTGACAAGAGTGAAACTCCATCTCAAAAAAAAAAAAAAAAAGATATTCTGGTTTGGACCTTTACCCTGCAGATATGCATAGTTAATTATCTTTTTATTTGTATGTGTTTGTTTTTTTTGTTTTTTGGTTTTTTTTGTGACGAAGTCTCACTCTCACCCAGGCTGGAACGCAGTGATGTGATCTTGGCTCACTGCAGCCTCCACCTCATGGGTTCAAGCGATTCTTGTGCCTCAGCCTCCCGAGTATCTGGGACTATAGGCGCGCACCAACATGCCCGGCTAATTTTTGTATTTTCAGTAGAGACGGGGCTTCATTACGTTGGCCAGGCTGGTCTTGGACTCCTGACCTCAAGTGATCTGCCTGCCTCGGCCTCCCGAAGTGCTGGGATTTACAGGCGTGAGCCACCGCGCCCAGCCTCGTGTGTCTGTTTTAAAGTGCCTGTGAAATAGGCATGTTTTGTAGCATGCTCTTCTTAGCAAAAACACGAAAAGGTCATGCTTACAACAAGGCAAGGATAATTGAATGGGGTTGAAATAAAGACATTCAATTAGAACTTGAGGAAAGTGGGCTTGTACAGCTTGATAGAGAGAGGCTGGAGGGTGATGCTCATTGAGCCCAGGACAGGAAAGTGGTGATTCATGTAATTTGTTTCCTGTGACTATGGTTGACTTATGAGAAGTTTTTGTTTGTTTTGAAGCAGTAGGTGACATATGCTTTTGAGATAGCTAGTTATACAAAGCTGTGAACATCCAACATTGGGGTACAGCCTATAAGTGTTCAATAAATAATAATCTTACGTTAGAGAACTGAAAATGAAGGATGCAGTAGAGAGCTGTTGCAGAGTAGCAGGGACCTGGTATGTGTGGAGGGATGAAAGATGATCCCAGGGACTTGAATGTGGTAAACTAGAAAAGCTTTGGTATTATTTATCAGGCTGGGAAACTTAATAAAAGATATATGAGTTTGGGGGGAGAAATAATGAGTTTGGCTTTAATAAAGAATAAAAATGGCAGCAGAACATAAAACCTAGTATTAACAAATACTACCTATTGAGCATCTACCACATGCTAGACACTCTACTAGATGTCTCAACCACTACAACAAGATAACTCTATTCTTAGCCTCATTTTACACATGAGGAGACTGAGTCTTAGAGGGTCTGTGTAATAGGGCCAAAATCATGTGGCTGATAAATTGTGGAACTAGGCTTTGATCTGACTCCAGAAATAGCTAACTTGAGCATGAGATAGGAGCCTTCTCTTCTCTTCTCTTTTCCTTCCTTCCTTCCTCCCTTCCTTCCTTTCTTCTTTCCTTCTTTCTCTCTCTCTCTCTCTCACTGTGTTGCCCAGGTTGGAGTGCAGTGGCACAATCTCTGCTCACTGCAACCTCCGCTTCCCGGGTTCAAACAATTCTTATACCTCAGCCTTCCGAGTATCTGGGATTACAGGCATGAGCCACCACCATGCGTGGCTAATTTTTGTATTTTTAATAGAGATGGGGTTTCACCATGTTGGCCATGCTGGTCTTGAACTCCTGACCTCAAGTGATCAGCCTCCCAAAGTGCTGGGATGACAGGCGTGAGCCATTGCGCCTGGCCTACGTTTTTTTTTTTTTTTTTATTGCTAAACAATTTTAAGAAGATACTTGAGGAAAAAGATCTGTCTCCTCTTAGAGAAGCACTCATAGAGAACCATTGTGTGTGGTTTCTGCTCTTGTCCTGGGTTTTGTTGCTGATCCAATTAATTGTAGAACAGTGCCTGGAACGCTGAAATAGTCTCACCCAAATTCTAATTCTTTGTATTTTAATATTTTGTATTTGAGATTTTGCTAGACTGTTGATACCGGAAAAACTACAAATGCTGCTGTTGTCTTTTTTTTTTTCTAATAAGATAGGATCTCGCTATGTTGACCAGGCTGGTCTCGAACTCCTGGCCTCAAGCAATCCTCCCATCTTGGCCTCCCAAAGTACTGGGATTACAGGCGCCTGGCCACTTGTGTTGTCTTTTTATCTATTAAAGAAATAATGGGTCATGTGTCATTTTCCATGCTGATCTGACTTTTTGTTTTTTTGAGATGAAGTTTTGCTCTTGTCACCCAGGCTGGAGTCCAATGGCGCTATCTCGGCTCACTGCAACCTCCGCCTCCTGGGTTCAAGTGATCTCCTGCCTCAGCCTCCCAAGTAGCTGGGATTACAGGCATGTGCCACCACACTGACTAATTTTTTGTATTTTTAGTAGAGACAGGGTCTCACCATGTTGGTCAGGCTGGTCTTGAACCCCTGACCTCATGTGATCCACAACGCCTGGGCCTCCCAAAGTGCTGCAATTACAGGCGTGAGCACCTGGCCTGACCTAACTTTTTTAGGGAGCTAGAAGAGTTTTGGGCCTTTGCAAGCCTCCTGTTTGCCTTTATCCTCATCATCCGAATCTACATTTAGTTTATTGTTTGTGAGTTTTTTAGTAAACAGAGTAAGGGAATGGTCATGTTACAATTAGTATTACCTCTTTCTACTCTGAAAACTTTTCCTCATTCCTCCTTTTTACAGTGATTCAGTTCCTAAATCATCGTTTCCCCGCTCACTTCTAGAGGATGAATTGGCTGGAATGCTTTTCCAGTGTACCACTTTCAAATCCTTGGGATTATCTTTCATCCCTCTTCAGGGACTGAGTTCCTGCTACTCTGCAACAGCTCTCTACTACATCTTTCATCTTCAGTTCTCTAATTTAAGTTAACATTCTTATTTATTGAATACTTATAGTTAACTTTAAAGTCCTTTTATGGTAATCATAAAAATATAATTAGTTCAAAGAAGAGAACATCTCTTCTGTACTATAAGGTGAATAATTTCATTAGGCTCTGATAAATGTGCTTAAGTGATTTATACTAGCTCCTTAATGCCACTTTTCTTCAAAACTTCAGAAACAAAAATGAGTGTGAATCATTTTTCCCCCCACAGGCCTGCAATATATAGGCACTGATGAACAAATACCTATATAGTGGAAACTCTTGAGTAATTTAAGCATAGCTCTTTATCAGTTGTTGAAACTTCTTCAAAGTAGTGCATGGATCCCAGCACTTTGGGAGGCCAAGGCAGGCAGATCACCTGAGGTCCAAGAGTTCAAGACCAGCCTGGCCAACATGGTGAAACCCCATCTCTACTAAAAATACAAAAAAATTTGCTGGGCATGGTGGCGGACACCTGTAATCCCAGCTACTCAGGAGGCCGAGGCAGAATTGCTTGAACCCGGGAGGCGGAGGTTGCAGTGAGCGGAGATTGGGCCACTGCACTCCAGCCTGCGCGACAGAGCAAGACTCCGTCTCAGAAAACAACAGAGTAGTACGTCGTGATCTATTTCTACATAAAAAGTAATCCAACACTGATTTACTGTGTAATTAGAAGCTGTAGTTCATATTTTACAATTTAAAGGTGTATTTCATATATTAAAGCATTTTAATTTAAAAAAAATCAACTTTTTTTTTTGTTTTTAAAGTTACTTCCTATACTTAAAACACTGTGTTCTAGGCATGACATCATAAAGTAAAATTCAACCAGACATCTAAGGAAAATCTGTTGAATGCCTATCAAATATCAGGCACTTAGCTAGGCACTGACTACAAAAAAAAATAAGATGTAATTTTTACTTTTAAGGAATTTAACATGGATAAATTAACAAATATAAAGTCATGTTTTCTTTTCTTTTCTTATTTTTTTTTTTTTTTTTTTTTTTTTTTTTTTTTTTGTGACAGAGTCTCGCTCTGTCGCCAGGCTGGAGTGCAGTGGGACAATCTCAGCTCACTGCAACCTCTGCCTCCCGGGTTCAAGTGATTCTCCTGCCTCAGCCTCCCGAGTAGCTGGGACTACAGGTGCCCGCTACCATGCCTGGCTAATTTTTTTTATTTTTAGTAGAGATGGCGTTTTACCATGTTGGCCAGGATGATCTCGATCTCTTGACCTCATGATCCACCCTCGGCCTCCCAGAGTGCTGGGATTATAGGCGTGAGCCATCGCCCCAGCCCTAAAGTCATGTTTTCTGTTGTCAGGAAGTTTAACATATAGTTTGGGAGGTGAATTTGAGATAAGATGGTAGTTGACATGATAGTGTGAAACCTTTCCCTTTTTTTTTTTTCCAATAAATTTCTCCATTGAAGCCTGCCTTAGGAAAAATTCATGTCAATAATAAAGCGGGAGGGGAAAAGCATTTCCCAGAACCCCACATGAGAACTACCATAAAGCTGGGAATAGAATTAAGGAGTAACATTATTAGCTGATAATGGACTGAATGAGAATGGTATAGTGAGAACCTCTGTTTTACCTCTGTGTGTCAGAGGGCCCAGAATCCTTGGTGTAGTAATGATGGATTGTAGAACCTTCCCCAAATGGCACAGTTGAAACTTGATCCAGGAAGCCCAAGTCATTGCCGTTAAGACTCTACCATATTAGGATGGGCAGGAGAACCTCTCCTAGCTGTATAGATCCGGAGTTGGCAAACTACTGCCTGTGGGCTCTATTTTATAAATAAAGTTTTGTTGGAATGCAGCCACAGTCATTTAAGTATTTTTTGTGCATGCTTTTGCAATACAATGACGGTTGAGTAGTTGTGATAGAGACTGACCCACAAAGCCTGAAATATTTATTATCTGACTTTGTATAGAAAGAGTTTGCTGACTTCTGATATTGAGCAAGCCCTAACTAGGAGAATATTGTGGGAACAGCGTAGTGGCCTTAGTGAACCACAGTCTTAATTTCTATTTGACTCTTTGCCCTTGGTGCTCTAAGAGCCTGAGGAATAAGGTTAATAAGGTGGGGGACTTCAGTGAAAATTACTTTTCCGTTGATCTGGACTTGAGTAAATCCTTTGAATGGCTGGGCAGGAAGTTTTGTATTGGTTACCTCTTTCACGTGTCAACTGTCACAGCAGAGATGTGGAATTTGCTGGGTACTGGGCATACAGAGACGCATATAGTCTATTTACCTTCTGTCACATCACTGGCCTGCATAGTACCCTTTCCACCCAAAGACGAATACGAAGAAGAAAACAGTCCTCATTGAGATTGTGAAAAAATTCTTCAGCTCAAGAGAAGGACATTCTCATAAATATGAAGAGATTTATGAGTGTAAAATACTTTGGAGAAAAATATGTGAGATTCAAAGGAACGTAAATAAGAAATTAAGACGAAACAGTTAACTTTTGTTTCAAGTGCCTCTTCCAGGCGTTGTGCTAGCTGCTTTATTTTCGTGTCTCTTTCAATCCTCACATTAACCATAAAAGTTAGAAGGAATTATCCTCCTCTTATGTGGGGGAAACTGGTGCTCGAATAGGTTAATTTCCTGAAAGCCATACAAGTCAGTAGATGGTTGAGCCGGGAATTAGTCACATTTTAGGCTCCCCTTCTTTCTTAAAAAAATTGAGGTAAAAGTCACATAACATGAAATTAACCATTTTAAAGTATACAAGTATGTGACATTGAGTACATTCATAATGTTGTGCAACCACCACCTCTTTGAAGTTCCAAAACATTTTCATCACCTCAAAAGAAAACCCTGTACTCACTATTTACCCCCCATTTTCCCTTGCCCCTGGCAACCACCAATCTGCTTTCTGTATTTACCTATTTTGGATATTTCATATAAATGGAATCATACAAATCATACAACATGTGACCGTTTGTGTTTGGCTTCTTTGACCTATGTTTTCAAAGTTTATCCACGTTGTAGCATGTAACAGTACTTCATTCCATTTTATGCCTGCATGATACTGTTTCGTGTTGTATGAATATACCTCATCGTGTTTATCTTTTCATCAGTCATGGACATTTGAGTTGTTTCTACCTTTTGTCTATTGTGACTATTACTGCTATGAACATTCATGTACAAGTGTTGTTTGAATTTCTATTTTCAATTCTCTGGGGTATATACCCCAAAGTAGAGTGGAAATGCCATGTTTAATTTTTTGAAAAATTGCTTAAACTGTTTTCCACAGCAGCTGCCCTCCTTTACATTCCCACCAGCAATGTATGAGAGTTCCAATTTCTCAACATCCTCACCAACTCTTGTTTCCTCCTCCTTCTCCTCCTCCTCATTGAGACAAAGTCTCACTCTGTCGCCCAGGCTGGAGTGCAGTGTCTCCCTGCAACCTCCGCCTCCCAGGTTCGAGTGATTCTTGTGCCTCAGCCTCCCGAGTAACTGGGATTACAGTTGTGCAAGCCACCATGCCTGACTAATTTTTGTATTTTTATTAGAGATGGGGTTTTGCCATGTTGGCCAGGCTGGTCTCAAACTCCTGGCCTCCAGCGATCCACCTACCTTGGCCTCCCAAAGTGTTGGGACTATAGGTGTGAGCCACCACGCCTGGCCACCTTATTATTACTTTTTAATTGTTGCCACCCTAGTGGATGTAGTGTGGTATCTTATTGTGGTTTTGATTTCCATTTCCCCAATGATGAGTGATTTTGAGCATCTTTTCATGCGCTTTTGGTCATTTGTATATCTTCTTTGGAGAAATGTCTATTCCAATCCATTGAGCATTTTAAAATTGGGTTGTCTTTTTGGTTGAATTGTAAGAGTTATTCATATAATCTGAATATAGATTCCTTATCAGATATATGGCTTGCAAATATTTTCTCTAATTTTGTAGGTTGCCTTTTCACTTTCTTAATAGTGTGCTAGATGATGTACAAGGTTTTTAATTTTGATGAAGTCCAGTTTATTTTTTCCTTTATTGCTCATATTTTTAAAACCATTGCCGAATCCAATGTCATGAAGATTTATGGCTGTCTTTTTTTTAATGGTACAGTAGTATAGTTTTAGCTCTTATGTTAGGTTGTTGATCCATTTTGAATTGTTGTTTGTACAGTTAAAAATTGTTTTAATGAAATTTTATTTTTATATATTTAAGGCGTACAAGTACAGTTTTGTTACATGGGTTTATTTGCGTAGTGGATGAAGTCTGAGGTTTTTGTGTAACCATACCCAAATAATGTACATTGTACCCATTAAGTAATTTCTCATAACGTTTGTACTGTTTTTGTATATGTTGTGAGATAGAGGTCTAACTTCATTCTTTTGCTTGTGGATATTCAGTTGTCCCAGCACCTGGATTTGTTGAAGAGATCATTCTTTCCCCATTTACTGGTGCTAGCACCCTTGTTGAAAATCAGTTGGCCATAGACATGTGGGTTTGTTTGTGGACTCTCACTTTTATTCCTCTGGGCTATGTGCCTGTCTTTATGTCAGCACTTCACTGGTTCGATTACTATAAATTTGTGGTAAATATTGAAATTCGGAAGTGTGAGTCTTCCAACTTTGTTATTCTTTTTCAATACTATTTTGTCTATCAAGGGCTCCTTGCAATTCTGTATGAATTTGAAATTTTTTTTTTCATTTCTGGGAAAAAAAGCTGTTGAAATTTTGATAGAGATTGCAGTGACTCTGTAGATTGCTTTGGGTAGTACTGTCATCCTAACTATAAATTCTTCCAATCCATGGGACCTTTCCATATATTTAAGTGTTTAACTTCTTTTAGCAATGTTTTGTAGTTTTCAGTGTGCTAGTCTTTTACCTCATTGGTTAGATTTATTCTTAGATGTTTTATTCATTCGGATGCCTTTTTTGTTTTTGAGGCAGAGTCTTGCTCTGTTGCCCAGGCTGGAGCTTTTTTTTTTTTTTTTTTTTTTTTTTTGAGACAGACTTTCGGTGTGTTGCCCGGGCTGGAGTGAAGTGTTGTGATCTTGGCTCACTGCAACCTCTGCCTCCTGGGTTCAAGCAATTCTCATGCCTCAGCCTCCTGAGTAGCTGGTATTACAGATGTGCACCACCACGCCCAGCTAATTTTTATATTTTTAGTAGAGACAGGGTTTTGCCATGTTGGCCAGGCTGGTCTCAAACTCTTGGCCTCACGTAATCCACCCACCTTGGCCTCCCAAAGTGCTAGGATTGCAAGCGTAAGCCACCGCACCTCGCTGCTATTTTAAATGAAATAGCTCTGTTAATTTCTTTTTTAAGAAATTTTTTAAAGATTTTTTTAAGCTATTTTAAATGAAATTGCTGTTAATTTCTTTTTAAGAAATTTTTTTAAGATTGTTTGTTGCCAGTGTATAGAAATATTATCGATTTTTTTTTTTTTTTTTTTGGAGACAGAGGCTCTGTCACCCAGGCTGGCTGTAGTGCAGTAGTGTGATCTCGGCTCACTGCAACCTCTGCCTCCCAGGTTCAAGCCATTCTCCTGGCTCAGTCCCCCATGCAGCTGGGATTACAGGTGCATGCCACCACACCCAGCTAATTTTTGTATTTTTAGTAGAGACAGAGTTTCACCATGTTGGCCAGGCTGGTTTTGAACTCCAGACCTCAAGTGATCTGCCTGCCTTGGCCTCCCAAAGTGCTGGGATTACAGGCGTGAGCCACCACACCCGGCCCCAGTTTATTTTTTTTTATTGTGGTAAAATATATGTAATATAAAATTTGCCGTTTTAACTATTTCTAAGGCCGCAGTTTGACATTAATTGTATTCACGGTGTTACGTAACCATCACTACTATGTATTTGCACATTTTTTTCATTACCCCAAACAGGAACTCTCTGCCAATTAAGCAATAACTCTCTAATTCCCCTATCCCCAGTAGTTGTAACTTCCAACCTACTTTCTGTCTCTGTGATTTTTGCCTATTCTAGATATTTTATATAAGTGGAATATTACAGTATTTGTCCTTTTGTGTCCGATTTCTTTCACTTAGCATGATGTTTTTAAGGTTCATTCATGTAGAGTATATCAGAACTTCATTCCTTTATATGACTGAACAATATTGGAACAACATATAACAATATTATATGGTTGAACCTTGAAAACATCATGTTCATTGTATATGTATACAACGAACAAAATGTGTTGTATACATGTAATTAGACATCATCTATTACCATTGAGTATTCGTGCTGTTACCTGTGGGTTTTATAAATGTTCTTTATCAGGTTGAGGAACTTGCCCTCTATTTATAGTCTTCTCATCTGCCATGGATATGATATGTGGGGGGAGAATGTACACCACATTTTGTTTATCCATTTGTTTCTTCGTGGACACTTGAGTTATTTATACCTTTGGTTATTATGAATAATGCTGCTATGAACATTCACATACAAGTATCTGAGTCCTTGTTTTCAATTCTTTTGAATATATACCTAGGAGTAGCATTGTTGGGTCATATGGTAATTACATGTTTAATATTTTGGGGCCCACTGGTTTTTGTGTTTTGATCTTGTATTATGCAACTTTGCTGAATTCGTTTATTAGTTCTAATATTTTTGTGTGTGGATTCTTTAGAATTTTCTCTGTATAAGGTACCATCTGTGAATAGGGGTAGTTCTACTTATCCATTTACAATTTGGACACCTTTTATTTCTTCTACTTGTCAAATTGCTCTGGCTAGAACTTCCAGTGCTTTGTTGAATAGAAGTGGTGAAAGTGGGCATCTTTGTCTTGTTCCTGATCTTGAGAGGAGGGGTTTTAGTCTATTACCATTGAGTATTCATGATGTTAGCTATGGGTTTTAAAAATGTCCTTTAACAGGTTGAGGAAGTTGTCCTCTATTTCTAGTCTTCTCATCTGCCATGGATATGATATGTGGGTAAAGGTAGGTGGGCAGTTTAAAATGCACAGTGTTATCACAAAGCAGCTACCTCTTTCACCAAGCCTTCCTCTGGTAGTTGTGAGTTTTTGAATACCTGCAGAGTTGTGGAAAAGTTGATTCTGATACTTTTTGCAAGCTCATTAGTTGTTTTTGTGGAGGGACAGAGTCCTAGATTTCCCAGTTCTGCCATTTTCAGTGCTAACACTCTCCAGATATGTGTTTTGCACATATTTCCTTCCAGTCTGTGGCATGTCTTTTCATTCTTACAATGGTATGTTTACCAGAGCAGAAGTTTTTAATTTTAATGAAATCCTACTTAGCAATTTTGTCTTTCATGGACAGTCCTTTTGGTGTTACATCTGAAACCTCATTGCCAAACTGAAGGTCACCTAGATTTTCTAGGTTATCTTCTGGAAGTTTTATACATTTGCATTTTACGTTTAGGTGTATGATCCATTTTGATTTAGTTTTTGTGAGACTTGTAAGGTCTGTGTCTAGATCCTTTCTTTTGCATTTGGACATCTAGCACCGTTTGTTGAAAAGATTGCTTTCCCCATTGGATTGCCTGTGCTCCTTTGTCAAAGATCTGCTGATTGTAATTGTGTCGAGTCTATTTTTTGTTTGTTTGTTTGTTTTAGAGATGGGGTCTTGCTTTGTCATCCAGGCTGCAATACAGTGATGCAGTCATGGCTCACTACAGCTTCAAACTCCTGGGCTCAAGTAATCCTCCCATCTCAGTCTCCTAAGTGGTTGGGACTATAGGCTCATGCCACCATGCCCTGCTAATTTTTAAATTAACTAATTAATTATTTTTGAGATGGAGTCTCGCTCTGTCACCCAGGCTGGAGTGCAGTGGCGCAATCTTGGCTCACTGCAACCTCCACATCCTGGGTTCAAGCACGTCCTAGTCTCAGCCTCCTGAGTTGCAAGGACTACAGGTACATGCCACCACGCCTGGCTAATTTTTATATTTTTAGTAGAGATGGGGTTTCAGCATATTGATCATGCTGGTCTTGAATTCCTGACCCCAGGTGATCTACCCACTTCAGCCTCCCAAAGTGCTGGGACTACAGGCGTGAGCCACCGCGCCCAGCCTAATTTTTAAATTTTTTATAGGGACAGGGTCTTGCTATGTTGACCAGGCTGGCTCTTGAGTCTGTTTTTGTGCTTTATTCTGTTCCATTGATGTCTGTGTCTATTTTTCACCAATACCATATTGTCTTGATTACTGTAGTTTTGTGTTATCTTAAAGGGGAGTAGTAGTATCAGTCCTTTCACTTTGTCATTCTTCAGTATTGGGTTGGCTGTTTTGGGCCTTTCAATACACCCTTTGACTTTAGTTTGTCAATATTCACAGAATAGCTTCTGGGGATTTGGATTGGGATTGCATTGAATCTGCAGATCAAGTTGAGAAGAACTGACATCTTAACAATATTGAGTCTTTTTTTTTTTTTTTTTTTTTAATTGGAGTCTCACTCTGTTGCCCAGGCTGGAGTGCAATGGTGCGATCTCGGCCCACTGCAACCTCCGCCTCCTGGGCTCAAGCGCTTCTCCTGCCTCAGCCTCCCGAGTAGTTGGGATTGCAGGCTCCCACCACCACGCCTGGCTAATTTTTGTATTTTTAGTAGAGCTGGGGTTTCGCCATGTTGGTCAGGCTGGTCTCAAACTCCTGACCTCAGATGATCCACCCGCCTGGGCCTCCCAAAGTACTGGGATTATAGGCGTGAGCCACCGCACCCGGCCAA
Source organism: Homo sapiens (assembly GCF_000001405.40). Lineage (NCBI taxonomy): Eukaryota > Metazoa > Chordata > Mammalia > Primates > Hominidae > Homo > Homo sapiens. Next base: position 18,526,049 of record NC_000023.11, read on the forward strand.
CAATATTGAGTCTTATAATCTGTGAACACAAAATCTCTCTCCATTTATTTAGATCATCTTTGATTTTCAACAGCAATGAATAATTTTTCACATACAGATCCTGCAAATATTTTGTTAGGTTTATACCTTAGCACTATTTTTGGGGTGCTAATATAAATTGTATTGTGTTTTCAATTTCAAATTCTAGTTGTTCTTTGCTGGTATACAGGAAAGTAATTGACTTCTGTCTGTTAACTTTGCATCCTGTGACCTTGCTGTAATTGTTTAGTAGTTCCAGGTTTTTCTTTTTCTTTTTTTTGTTTTTGTAGATTCTTTGGGATTTTCTACATAGACAGTCATGTCATCTGTGAACAAAACAGTTTTATTTCTTTCTTCCCAATTTGTATATCTTTTCTTTCCTTTTCTTATCTTATTGTATTTCTTATGACTTCCAGTACAGTGTTGAATATGACTTATGAGGTGGGGCATCCTTCTGATCTTAAGGGGAAGGCGTGCAGTTTCTTACTGTTAAGTACCAATAATGTTAGGTTTTCTGTAGATGTTCTTCATCTGAGGAAGTTCCTCTCTATGCCTAGATTGCTGGGAGGTTTGTTTTTTTTCTTAAATCGGTGACGGAGATTGAGTTTCAAAAAACGCTTTTCTGTATCCAGTGATAAGACCATGTGATTTTTCTACTTAGCATGGTGGTGGTGGTATATTACATGGCTTGATTTTGGAATGCTGAAGCAGCCTTTCTTTCTTTTTTTTTTTTTGAGAGGGAGTTTCACTCTTGTTGCCCAGGCTGGAGTGCAATGGTGCGATCTCAGCTCACCGCAACCTCCGCCTCCTGGGTTCAGGCGATTCTCCTGCCTCAGCCTCCCGAGTAGCTGGGATTACAGGCACCTGCCACCATGCCTGGCTAATTTTGTATTTTTAGTAAAGATGGGGTTTCTCCAAGTTGGTCAGGCTGGTCTCGAACTCCCGACCTCAGGTGATCCGCCCGCCTCAGCCTCCCAAAGTGCTGGGATTACAGGCGTGAGCCACCGCGCCTGGCCTTGAAGCAGCCTTTCATACCTGGTGTATAGTTGTTTTCATATATTGGCGGATTTGATTCCCTTAATATTTGTTGTGGATTTTTGCATCTGTATTCATGAGAGGTATTGGTCTGTAGTTTGCCTTTTGAAAAATATATTTAGCTTATTTTGGTATTAGGATGATACTGACCTCATAGAATGAGTTAGGAAGTATTCCCTCTGCTCCTGTTGTCTGGAAGAGATTGTAGATAATTGGTATAATTTCTTAAATGTTTGCTAGAATTCACCAGTGAAACCATGTGAGAATGGAGCTTTCTTTTTTGGAATATTAATAATTATTGATCAATTTTCATATACACAGGCCTATTCAGATTATTATTTTATGTGTAAATTTTGGTAATTTGTATGTTTCAAGGAATTGGTCCATTTTATCTAAGTTGTCAAATTTTTAGGCATAGATTTATTTATAATAATCTGTTATTTTCCTTTTAATGTCCATGTGATTTGGTAGTGATGACTCTTCATTCAAATCTGATGTGAATAATTTGTGTTTTTTTTTCTCTTGGTTAATTTGGCTAGAGGTTTATCAGCTTTATTGATTTCAGAGAAGCAGCTTTTGTTTTTACTGTTGATTGTTTTCAGTTCATTGATTTCTACTGTAATTAAAAATTTTTTTTCTTCTCCGTGTTTTAGGCTTAAGTTGCCCTTCTTTCTTTTCTTTCCTAAGGTAAAGCGTAGATTATTGATTTTACGTCTGTTTTCTAATAACGCACTTGATGCTATAAACTTTTCTCTAAGTGCTGCTTTCATAGTATTGCACAAGTTTTGACTTGTATTTTTATTTAGTCCAAAATATTTTAAAATTTCTCTTCAGACTTCTTTGACTCATGTGTTATTTAGTAGTTTGTTGTTTATTCTCTAAACATTTTGAGATTTTCCAGCTATGTTTTTGTTACTGATTTCTATTTTTATTCCGTTGTGGTATGATAGCATACTTAGTATGATAGCTACAAATTTATTAAGGTATATGTTATGGCCCAGTTGTGGTCTATCTTGGTAATTGTTCCATGTAAGCTTGAGAAGAATGTGTATTCTGCTGTTACTAAAGTATTATATAAATGTCAAGTAGATCCAGTTGCTTGATGGTATTGTTCAATTCATAGATACCCATACTCATTTTTTTTTTTTTTTTTTTTTTGCCTGCTGTATCTATCGGTTACTGAAAGGGGCTGTTAAAGTATCCAACTATAGTAGTGGATTTGTCTATTTCTGTTTGCAGTTATATCAGTATTTTCCTCATGTATTTTGATGCTCTCTAGTTTGGTACATTCATATTAAGGATTGTTATGTCTTCTTGGAGAATTTTGCATTTTGTAATGCTATTCTTTATCCCAATGATTTTCCTTGTTCTGAAATCTGCTTTGTCTAAAATTTATATAACTACTTCAACTTCCTCTTGATTAGTGTTATCGTGGTATAACTTTCTCCATCCCTTTACTTTTATCCTATCCCTTCCCTCCCTGCCTCTCTCTCTCTCTCTCTCTCTTTCTCTTGCTTTGCTTTGCTTTCTATTTATTTATTAATTATTTTTAGATACAGTCTTGCTCTGTTGCCCAGCCTGGAATACAGTGGCACAATCATGGTTCACTGCAGCCTCCGCCTCCTAGGCTCAAGTGATCCTTCTACCTCAGCCTTCTGTGTAGCTGGGACTACAGGTGTGCACTGCCATGCCTGGCTAACTTTTTGTATTTTTTGTAGAGACAGGGTTTTGCCATGTTGCCCAGGCTGGTCTCAAACTCCTGGGCCTCAAGTGATCCTCCCACCTCAGCCTCGCAAAGTGCTGGGATTACAGGCATGAGCCACCACACCTGGCCCATTCCTTTATATTCATTTTTTTAAATCTACTCTGATAATTTCTTTTAACTGGTGTATTGAGGCCATTCACAGTTAAAATGATATTAATATGGTTGTATTAATATGAACCATGTTTATAACTGATTTTCTATTTGTTGTACTTACTTTTTTTTTTTAATCCCCTCTTTTTCTGCCTTCTGGTTTTAACTGACCGTTTTACAGGATTCCATTTTCTCTCCTGTTTTAGTGTCTATTATACTTGTTTTTACTTTTTTTTTTTTTCGGTCATTGCCCTAGAGTTTGCAGTGTACATTTACAACTTATCTAAGTACACTTTCAGATAACTCTATACTGCTTCTTGAGGAGTGTAGGTAACTTTTACTAGAATTTTTGAACTCCTCCCTCCAGTCCCTTATAACGTTACTATTATTCATATTGCTTATCCATATGCTATACTCAGTCAATAATAGTTACTATTATTATTTTGAACAGTTATCAATTAAGAATAGGAAAAATAGATTTTATCTTATTTATTCCTTCTCCAATGCTCTTTTCTTTCTGTAGATCCCAGTTTCTTACCTATATAATTTTGCTTTCTCTCTGAATAACTTTTTAAAGCATTTTTAAAGGGCAGGTCTACTGGTGACAAATTCACTCAGCATTTATCTGAGAAACTCTCCTTCAGTTTTGAAGGATCATTTCACTGAGTAACTTTGAGGTAGAGTTTTTTTTTTCTTTCAACATTTTATAAATATTTCACTCTACTTTCTTACTTGCATGGTTTCTGACAGGACATCAGAGGTAATTCTTATCCTTGTTCTCTATAGGTAAGGTGTTTTTTTTCCTCTGATTTCTTTCACAATTTTCTCCTTGTGTTTAGTTTTGTGTAGTTTGAATATGATGTACTTAGGTGTAGATCTTTTGGTATTTATTCTGCTTGGTGTTCTCTGAGTTTCCTGGATATGCAGTTTGGCACCCTTAATTTTGAAAGATTCTTTGCCATTATTCTTTCAAATATTTCTTCTCCCTTGTCTCACTTTTCTCTTCGTATTCCAATTACATATGTTACACCTTTTGTAATTTTCCCATAATTCTTGGATGTTCTGTTTTGCTTTTTAAAAATCTTTATTTTGCCGGGCACGGTGGCTCACGCCTGTAATCCCAGCACTTTGGGAGGCTGAGGCAGGCGGATCACAAGGTCAAAAGATCGAGACCATCCTGGCGAACGTGGTGAAACCCCGTCTCTACTAAAAATACAAAAAAAAAATTAGCCGGGCATGGTGGTGCACGCCTGTAATCCCAGCTACTCAGGAGGCTGAGGCAGGAAGAATTGCTTGAACCTGGGAGGCGACAGAGGTTGCAGTGAGCCAAGATCACACCACTGCACTCCAGCCTTGGCGACAGAGTGAGGCTCCGTCTCAAAAAAAAAAAAAAAAAGAAAAAAAATTTCTTTTTTCCTCTTTCCATTTTAGTTTTGGAAGTTTCTACTGACATATCTTACAGCCTAGTGATTTTTTGCTCAGCCGTGTCCAGTTTACTGTCGAGTCCATTAAAAGCATTCTTCATTTTTGTTACAGTGATTTTGATTTCTAGCATTTTCTTTTAATTCTTCCTTAGAGTTATGTATGCTTACATTACCCATCTGTTCTTGCGTGCTGTCTACTTTTCCTATTAGAGCCCTTAACATATTAATCACAGTTATTTTAAATTCCCTATCTGATAATCCCCAAGTCTGTGCCATATCTGAGTCTGGTTCTGATGCTTACTTTGTCTCTTTAGACTATGCTTTTTCTTGCTTTTTGGCCTGCCTTGTAATTTTTTTAAAGCTGGATATGATATATTAGGCAATAGGAACTGAATAAATAGGCCTTTAGTGTAAGGTTATATGTTAATCTGTCTAGAAGCTAGGTCATGTTTAATGATGTAGGTATAGATGCCAGAGGCTTCAGTTTCCTCTAGTGTCTTTGTTATTTTATTTTTCCTAGTCTGTTGTCTGTGGGTTCTCCTAAGAACTCCTTTATAAATAGTGAGTCTGTGTCTTGCAACTCTTTCAGTTGTAATTCTCTGTTAATGTACTGGAGCTCTGTTGACATGATGGGAAGAGTATGGCGAAGGGAAGAAAGTGTTCTATAATCTCATTCTTCTGTAAGACCTGAGTCTTTGGCTACAACCTTCAGAAGTGTTTCCAGCCACCCCTTCCCCTCCTTTTCTTCTGTTAGATGAAACAAGAAGGCTAGAGGGACTGTCTTTGGCTGATTTCCTTTCTCCCTGGACACCAAGGCTCTGGTAAATTTTCTCTTGGACTGTTGACCTTTGTTATGAAAAACATTCTGGCCTTATTTCAAAATGGTTACTTTCTTCCTCTCCCTACCTAAAAGAAGAGGAGATTTTTATTAGATCTTACCCCTGGGTGTATTTCAAATTAATTTTCCTTGTGTCTTACACAAAAGGGGAGGAGTTTTTTCTTGGGTCTTCATAGTCAGAACCTGGTGAGATTTCCTGGAGGTAAAACTGCAAGAACTTAGAGGGCCTCCTAAGATTTAGTCCCCAGGAGTTCTCATTCACAAGCTAGTCTCAGTTAGCCTTTGTCAAAATTATCATTTAAGTTTTCTTACTAGTGTATGATTCCAGTGCCTTCTGCTCCAGGTACTGCTGATCTTGGATGTGATTCTTTGTATTTGCCTGTTTCTCTAGATTTCAGGCGATTGGTTCACCCTCTGACCTCAATTCCGTAAATCCAAGAAATTTGCTGATTTTCAATTTGTTAGGGTTTTTTCTTTTTTTCTTTTTTCTTTTTTTTTTGAGATGGAGTCTCGCTCTGTCGCCCAGGCCGGACTGCGGACTGCAGTGGCGCAATCTCGGCTCACTGCAAGCTCTGCTTCCCGGGTTCACGCCATTCTCCTGCCTCAGCCTCCCGAGTAGCTGGGACTACAGGCGCCTGCCACCGCGCCCGGCTAATTTTTTGTATTTTTAGTAGAGACGGGGTTTCACCTTGTTAGCCAGGATGGTCTCGATCTCCTGACCTCGTGATCCACCCGCCTCGGCCTCCCAAAGTGCTGGGATTACAGGCGTGAGCCACCGCGCCCGGCCAGGGTTTTTTCTTAATGTAAGGACAGGAGTGATGGTATCCAAGCACTGTATGGGTTGATGCTGAAACTGGAAGTCCTGTTTACATTTTAAAATTGGAAATATCTTGTCCAGTTTATAAATAATATTCAGCAAGAGGTTTTTTAACTTTCCTGTGAACCATTTTCTTAGCTGAAATGACTCATTCCCAGTTATTTTCATCCCTTTGAATTTCAAATCTCTGTATTTTCATATGCTTAGTAAGAACTTTTTCAGAACAAAATATTTGGAAAACTTAAGAACTTTATGTAGTTCTTGCAAATGGCTACTAACTTTACCCTAAAGAAACTAGAATTATTACACATTTTGATTTCCTTTTCTCCCCTACAGCATTGTTTTTTTTTTTTAACCTTCTGTAAACCATGCTCAAGTAGTTCTAGGGATTATTTTCTTCACTTATTTCACCCCACTTATTTTTGAAGAAGAACTCAGTTTTCTAAGGCACTTTGAAATCTCTAGAGACTAAGCACGGCTTAAATTTGAAAAACTAATGAGAATAAATGTGGAACTCTTATGCTGCCAATGGTTTATTTTCAATTAACCTTGAAGAATGTAGTAATTATAAACTACAGATCGTGGTGACTTTAGCTTAATAGGATTAGTTTGAGAATCTGTGTGATAGAGGACAATTTGGCTAAAATGTGTTATTTAAGCAACCGAGAAAGTAGTGTGTGTGTACTTTAAAGCCTTATAATTTGATTACTGGCTACAAATTTGCATTTTGGTAGGCTTTAGTTCTTATCCTTGGATAACAGTTGTAACTAACCTCAGTCATTTGAGACATTATAAATTTCGTTAACCTTGCTTCTTTTTTAGGGTTCATTTTAAGTTTTATTTTTCTCACTGAACGTACTGTGAGAAACAGCCATTAAACCAAGAAACAAATTAGCAGTATATTTAAAGATCGCTTATTAGTTAGCAGATTAATGTGTTTAATAAATATTTTCCTCTTTTCTCATTTGATTAAAATGAATATTTGTCTTTGAGAATTAAATATATTTTTAAAAGAATTAAAATGTTAAATAGAATGTAATTTTTTTTGTTTTTCTCTATAAATGTAATTTTAATATACTAAATAAAATGTGTTTTAAAATGATTTGCCGTACTGAAAGGATTTGGTTGAAAATAATTAATTTTTGCTGTGTAATAATCAATTAGCTGTGGCCCATTTTACAATAAGATCTATTTGTGTAGCATGCTGTGAATTAGAGACAGAAACCTTTTACTATGCTTTTGCTTAGAGACCTTTATTATAAAGAAGTAAGGGCCGTAGAGTGGAAATGGATAAAGACTAGCAGGTCTTCAGGAGTGGCATGCTTATGAGTTAAGCACCATGCCAGGTTCCACCACCCTTAGCAGATTAGTGGGTGGTATCAGTGTTGCTCCTCCCAAAATGTTTTTTTAAGAACTCTTCATGTATTATGACAGTACCCTAGAAGAAACCCACAAGAATGAACACAATGTATAGTAATATAGTCTTAACAAAATAGCTTCCATGTGCTAACAATTCAACTGAAGATAGATGGTCTATGTTCAGTAAATACATATTTAAGTTGGGACCCCTATTGTCAGGGACTTGACCTCCAATTCCCAGATAATGAGGGAGCAGCAGCTCATTTTTTGTCCTGATCTTACTACTTCATGCTATCTGGGCTGGCAGATACCCTTGGAAAATGCCATTTCATTCACTAAAGCTTCAGTACCACAGTGCCAGGATTGATTGCCTGTTCCTCTCTCCAGAGATTCTCAGGACCAGCCCCATCATTCTTGACATCCCTTACTTTTTGTCACCACCAAAACTCACTGGCCATCTGTTAGCACAGAATACCCATCCTTGTGCTGCTCTGTAGGTTCCTCAGTCTGATCCAGTTTCCTCCAACCCTCCCACTGGCCCCTAGAACTCTTGAATAATTTCTCCCATGGCCTCCGTCTTGCCCCAGCATCACAGTGTAATCTCACTTTCTGTCCCTGGTTCTCTGCTGCTGCCAAATGGATGCCTGAGGGTAGCCCCTGCTCTGGCATCAGTCTCAGGCTGTGCTGTTTCTTCCTTTGCCTACTACCTGGTAACCTCACTGCCTGCCTTTTAGTTCCTTGAATACAGTGAGGTCTTCACTCTTAAAAATCTTTGCACAGGCTGCTTCCTTCATCTGCAGCAATTTTCTCAGTGTTTTGACCTGGCCGACCCTATCCAGTCTGATCTGGGTGTCTTCGCGTTGTCCTCTGCTGGGGCCTCCTATTTGTTTTCTTCTTGGCACTTAATTAAATTTGAAGTTGTATATTCACTTGCTCACTGAGCCTTTTTTCTGGATTCTATGATATATATTTTTCCTCATATTTCTGAAATTGTGATGTATCTTAAACTGGATTTCTTGATTCCTTTCTGAATGGTAGGTAAAATAATGGTTTATCTTACAATTGTCTTACATTTAATAAAATATTGCACTTTTAATTATTGTTTCCCCCGGTTGATTGTGAGTTCCACACGTATAGGAATTTCATTTTACTCACCAATGAACCAGTGCCTAGCACAGTACCTGGCACCTAGGAGGCTCTAAATAAATAGTAGTTGAATGAATATCATTATCTATTTGGGAGATTTTGGCCCTAATTTTCTCAAGATGAATTAGTCAGTGTGTAAGTATGAATTGTTAATTCAGTTTCTGTTGTTGAATCATTGTTTTCGAGATTCCTTTATTCTGGAATTGAAAGAGACCTTTAGATTTGTCTATTTTGTTCCTCCATCTATGTAACTTGCCCTATTATAGGTATATGTACATCCTTGTTTAGAAGTACTTACTCACCTTGCATGAAAATGAATTCACATAAACTTCTACCTGGTGTGAGCAATTTTCTTTCATTAGGGAGAAGGAGCGAGGAAGGTACCAAACAGCAGCAGACTTTTGAACTTGAGACAGTTTTGGCTGCTTGAACTTAACTTTTTTCATTTTACTTAGTCCCCCAATGAGTGCAATCATTTGGCATGCCTACTTCACTTTTTTTAAGTGAACTAACAGCGAACAGGCAACGTTGGTGACTGGAGTGCCTCAGGCACCTCCTAGAGAAGGTTCAAGCTTAGTCCCCAGCTGGAGGTAAGGTGTGGTTCTCAGTCCTTTTCATTTCCCCAATCCTGCTCCTGAGTACTGCAGTTGAGTCAGCCTGGGATAATGAGCAGTTTGCCTTTCATTGAACACTCAACAGCCTGGTTGTGAAAATGTCTGCTATGACCAGTCTTTGCCAATCTCCCATGTATGCTTCTGGGTTCTGCAGATAATACTTGTGTCTCTTCCCCCACTCTTGTACCTGACACACATGTTCTACGTGATGTGAAAAGAAGAGAAGTTGAACAGGCAATTGGGAGAACTCGAAGTTGCCCAAATTGATGATGTCAGTGTGGAGATGCACTTGCAGGGAATTGAAATAAAGAAGTTCAAGTGTGGCCTTGAGAAACATGGAAGGGTGAGAATCCCAGGGAGCTTGCTGCGAACGTGTACCATTGGTGTCATCTTCAGGCCTCTGTTTGAGGTGGCCTTCCTGATGATCCCGTGGTCTGTCTATGGATTCAGCCTAAGTGTGGTTTACACTTGCAAACGAGATCTTTCCCCACATTAAGTGGACTGCTTACTCTCTCGCCCCCGGAGAAAAGCACCTTCATCATCTTCATGCTGGTGGTGTCCTTGGTGTCTCTTGCCTTGAACATCATTGCGTTATTCAGTGTCTCATTTAAGAGCATTTAAGGATCATGTGAAGGATCAGGAGAGTGATACACCTGGCCTGCAGAGTCCCTCCAATGGCTCCATATCAACTCTTCCTCTCTCCACCATGTCCCCTCCTGGGGACAAGCTAGTTCCTGGAGAAAGAAACAATTCCTCTTGCTGTAGGCACAACAAGGAAGTGAGCAAAAACCCTTCTAGTTACAGTGCATAGCAAGATTGAATGGAGCAGGCAGGAAGTACCCCCTCTGACTCCCAGTCTTTTGATTTCCCTGCTGATAAACAGAGTTCTTAAACAAAAGCAAAAACCTAGCTACTGGGCACTAGCCATGGTAGGCCAGCAGCCATCCTGCAGAGCCAGTAGTCATGCCAGCAGCAGCCTGATGACCTAGAGATCAAGATGCATACTTGGAAGCATTATGATTCTGCTTGATTGTTTAAGAGAAGGAAGTCGCAGTAGAAAGCGCACCTTTGCCCCAGTGGAGGTGGTACTCAAAAACCTCAGTCGTGAGACTTAGCAGACACAAAGACATTAGACTACCAGGGTTCCTGTACAATGAGAAATGCTAATTTGCTTAATATTTGATAGTAAACTGCTGTCATTTTTAGCTTTATTGCATGCAATGTAGACCTAGTTCATCATATTACAAGTTCTAGAGAGTATTATTTATTCAATACAGGTTTTTTTTTTTTTTTTTTTTTTTTTTTTTTTTGAGACGGAGTCCCACTCTGTTGCCCAGGCTGGAGTGCAGTGGCGTGATTTCCGCTTACTGCAACTTCTGCCTCCCGGTTCAAGTGATTCTCCTGCCTCAGCCTCCTGAGTGGCTGGGATTATAGACGTGCGCCACCACCCCTGGCTAATTTTTGTATTTTTGGTAGAGACGGGGTTTCACCATGCTGGCCAGGCTGGTCTCGAACTTTTGACCTCAGGTGATCTGCCTGCCTCAGCCTCCCAAAGTGCTGGGATTACAGGCGTGAGCCACCGTGCCTGGCCTCAATAAAGTTTTAAGAAAGCAACCTGTGTGTCTCCCTCCTGAGAGCTTCTGGCTGCACCGATCTTTCCTAGACTTTTAAACTCTTCATTGGCACATCTTCATTTAAGCAAAATAGGCTAGAATCAGAATTTTAGAAATGAAATTGCAGTGACTACATTACAGAAAGTTTTAGTATTAACATTTTTAATTATATGTAGCAGGATCACACATATACCCATTACTTTCAAATGTGCCAAAAATGTAGCTTTTTTTTTTTTTTTTAACTGTTGTACTTTTCATCAGAAGCTTCTTCCCACCACAGGGCGCTGGAGGGAAGGAGAAGACACAGACAACTTAAACATTAAACCTGCCCATCCAGCATCTTGCTGTGACAGTTTAAACAGTCTCATTTGGAAAACTCAGTCTCTTGGCTAAATTTCCTTCTCATAAACCCTTTTATGAGCATGAGGAATAATCACAGTTATTTACTAATGAAATGTGTGTGCCTATTGGATACTACAAAACTCCTGAAACTTTTGAATCAGATTGGACGCTGCTGTCCTCACTTCCTGTTTCACATTCATTTTCACATATATCTTGCTTTTTTTCCCTTGAACTTTTAATCTTGAGATAATTATAGTTCACATGTAGGTATAAGAAATAATAGATTCCTTATATCCTTTGACCAGTTTTTCCCATTAGTAACATCTTGCATAATTACAGTATAGTATCGTAACTAGAAAATGGACATTGATGTATTTCCATTGACCTTATTCAGATTTCACCAATTTTATCTGCACTCCTGTGTGTGTATGTTTAGTTATGTGTAATGGCATCACTTGTGTAGATTCACATGTCCACCACAGTCAAGCTACAGAACGGTTTTATCACAGGGATCCCTTGTGCTGCCTTTTTATAGCCACAGCCACACTCTTGCCTTCCCCTCTTTCTAACCCCTGGCAACCACTAATGTGTACTTCATCTCTATAATTTTGTCATTTCAAGAATGCTATTTTAGTGGAATGATACAATATTTAACCCTTTGAGACTGGCTTTATTCACTCAGCACAACTCCCTTGAGATTCACCCAAGTTTTTTGTGTGAACCAATAGTTTGCTCTTTTTTATTGCTCTTTTTTAGTATGCTGTAGTATAGAGGTGCCAGAGTTTGTTTACCTTTTGAAGGATCTTTAGATCATTTCCAGTTTTCATTTCCCTGTGTTAGGTGCTCAAGAGTGCAGTTGCTGGGTTGTATGGTATGTGAATGTAATGCTTTGTAAGAAACTGGTGTATACTTTTCCAGACTGGCTGTACAATTTTACCTTCCCATCAGCAATGTGTGAGGAATCTAGTTTCTTCACATGCTTACCGGCATTTTGTATTATCACTATTATTATTTTTATGTTAGCCATTCTAATAGTTGTGTAGGTGATCCCATTGTAGTTTAAATTTGTATTTCTCTAATGGCTAAAAATGTTGAACACCGTTCCTGTGCTTATTTGGCATCTGTCTATTTTCTTCAGTGAAGTACCCGTGCCATTTTTCCAATTTTGAATTGGATTGTTTTATTATTGTTGAGTTTAAGTTCTTTATATATTCTGGATTTAAATCTTTTGTTCTATATGTTTGAAAATATTTTCTCCCAGATTATAGCTTGCTTTTTCATTCTCTTAACAATGTCTTTCATGGACCAAAAATTTTAATTTTGTTAAGGTCATTTATCAATTTTTTTTTTCCTATGGACTGTGCTTTTGGTGTCAAATCTGAGAAATCTGCCTGGCCCTAGATCCTAAAGATTTTCTCCTTTGGTTGTTTCTAAAAGTTTTATAAGCTTACATTTTACATTTAAGTCCATGATCTATTTTGTCAATTTTTGTACAAGGTGTGAGATAAAGGCCAAAGTTCTTTTTTCTTCTCCCTTATGGATGTCTAGTTGCTCCAGCACCATTCATTGAAAAGTCTATTCTCCCTCCATTGAGTTCCTTTTGCAGTGAAAAATCAGTTGGGCAGATTTGTGCATCTCTAATTCTGGATTCTCTGTCCCTCTTCTAGTTTCTAGATGAGACTGTATAAGATTGCTGTTAATTCTTCCTTAAGTGTTAAAATTCTCCAGCAAACCTATTTGAGCTTGCAGATTTCTTTTATTGGAAACTTGATAATTATAATTACATATTCAATTTCTTTAATAATTACATGACTCTTAAAGTTGTTTATTTCATCTTGGTTAACTTTTGGTAGTTTGATTTTCAAGGAAATTGGTCCATTTCTTCTAAGTTGTCAAATGTAAGAGTGTAAAGTTTGTAGTGTTCCTTTATTTATTTTTAATGACTGCAGGATCTGTAGAGATCTTCCTTGTTTTGTTCCTGATACTGATGATTTTTGTCTTCTTTCTTTTTATCTTTACCAGTCTTGCTAGAAGTTTATCAATATTAATTGTTCTTTTTGTGGAATCAGCCTTTTGCCTCATTGATTTTCTGTTTTCAATTTCATTTATTTCTGCTTTTATCATGATTATTTCCTTCTTGCTTTGGGTTTATTTTCTTTTTCTAGTCTTGAGAGAAGAATTTATCTTACTGATTTGTAACCTTCTCTCTTTTTAAAAAATGTATACATTGAATACTATAAATTTCCCTCTCAATACTGCTTAAGCTGCATCCCACATATTTTGATACATGTTGTATTTTCATTTTCATCAAGTTCTATGAAATTAGAATTTCCTTTGAGACTACTTCTTTGACCCATGGATTATTTAGAAATGTTAGGTTTCATTTCTAACTATTTGGAGATTTTCCTGTTTTCTTTCTCTTACTGATATTTAATCGGATTCCATTGTGGTCAGAGAAAATACTCTGTATGATTTCAGCTCTTTAAAATTTGTTAAGGTTTGTTTTGTGGCCCAAGATGTGTTCTGTCTTGGTGAATATTTTATGGGCTCTTGAAAGAAACATGTATTCTGCTGCTGTTGGGTATAGTATTTTATATATGACAATGAGACCCTGTTGGGTTTCATTTTCTTATTTTTTTGTCTTCAGGAAGTTTTAGGATTCCATCTTATTTATACAGTTCATTAGTATATCAGTTTGTATTGTGTTCTTAGTTACTGATCTAGGTATTAAAATATACATTTGTATTTACCACAATCTATTATCAGTGTTTTACCACTCAAGTGAAGTGTAGAAATCTTACTCTCCTTTAGACCCTTTTGCCCTCCCCACTTAAAAAATATATATGTCTTAAGTATTTCTTCTACGTACATTGAGCACCACATCAGATGATGTTATAATTTATAATTTTTGTCTCAACCATCAAATCTGATTTATGAAACTCATGAGCAAAAGGATAGTCTTATATTCCCCACCTTTTATTTTTGTAGCCTGTTCTAATATTTTTTTCTTAAATTCCAAGCTTCTTTGGTTATCTTTTACTTTCTTGGTTGTTGTTGTTGTTGTTGTTGTTGTTGTTTGAGACAGGGTCTCATTTTGTCACCCAGGCTGGAGGGTCACCCAGTGGTGCAATCACAGCTCACTGTAGCCTTGTGACTTCCCGGGCTCAAGCGATTCTCCTACCTCAGCCTCCTGAGTAGCTGGGACCACAGGTGTGCACCACCACACCTGACTAATTTTTGTGTTTTTGGTATAGATAGGGTTTTGCCATGTTGCCCAGGCTGGTCTCCAACTCCTGGGCTCAAGCAGTCCACCTGCATTGGCCTCCCAAAGTGCTGGGATTACAGGAGTGAACCACCACGCCTGGCTGGTTATCTTTTACTTCCTATTTAGAAAACTACCTTTAACCATTCTTTAAGGGTAAGTTTGCTAGCTACTTCTCTTTGTTTTCCTTCATCTGCGATTGTCTTTATTTCTCTTTCATTCCTGAATGGTATTTTTGCTTGATACAGGATTTCTGATTGACAATTCTTTTCTTTTCTTTTTTCTTTTCTTTTCTTTTCTTTCCCCTTCCCCTTCCCCTTCCCTTCTTTTTTTTTGAGACAGAGTCTTACTCTGCCTCCAGGCTGGAGTGCAGTGGCGTGATCTCGGCTCACTGCAACCTCTGCCTCCCAGGTTCAAGCGATTCTCCTGCCTCAGCCTCCCGAGTAGCTGGGACTACAGACACGCACCACCACGCCCAGCTAATTTTTGTAATTTTTGGTATAGACGGGGTTTCACCATGTTGGCCAGGATGGTCTTGATCTCTTGACCTCGTGATCCACCCGCCTCAGCCTTCCAAAGTGCTGGGATTACAGGCGTGAGCTACCACGCCCGGCCGACAGTTCTTTTATTTAGTGCTTGAAAATTGTGCTGTTTCCTTTTAGCCTCTGTGGTTACTGATGAGAATACACTGTCATTCAAATTGTTTTTCTCCTATAGGTAAGGTGCTGTTTTTTTGTTTTTTAGTTTTCAAAAGTTTCACTATGATGTGTCTTGGCTGGAATTACTTTGGGTTTATCTTGTTTGGAGTTTGCTTAGCTGCATGAATCTGTAGGTTATGTCTTTTGCTAAATTTGGAACTTTTCCGTTGTGATTTCTTTGAATGTATTTTCAGCTCTACTCTGTTTGTCCCATCCTTCTGAACCTCCAGTGACATGAATATTAGGTCTTTTGTTATAGTGCCACATGTCTCTGAGTCTCTGTTCATTTTTCCCCCATCTGTTTCTTTTCTGTTGTTAAGATTGGATTATTTCTATTCTGTCTCTAAGTTCACAGATTCTTTCCTCTGTTTTCTCCATTCTGTTGTTTAGTCCATTCACTGAGTTTTAAATTTCAGTTATTTGCTTTATTTTTCAATTCATAAGGTTTTTTTGTTGTTGTTGTTCGTTTTTGTTTTTTTGAGACAGGGTGTCACTCTATCACCCAGGCTGGAGTGCAGTTGCACAGTCATTGCTCACTGCAGCCTTCACCTCCCTAGGCTCAGGTGATCCTCCACCTCAGCCTCCCAAGTAGTTGGGACCACAGACGCGCCCAGCTAATTTTTGTTTATTTTGTAGAGACAGGTTTCACCATGTTGCCCAGGCTCGTCTCCAACTCCTGGACTTAAGCAGTCCTCCTGTCTTGCCTTCCCAAAGTGCTGGGATAACAGGTGTGAACCACCATGCCTGGCCTAAAGTTTTTTTTTTGTATCTTCTATTAATTTGTTGAGAGTTCCTATATTTTCTTATTTGGTTCAAGTATGCTTGTAATTACTCTAAAGTATTTGTATGATGGCAGCTTGGAAATTTTTTCTGTGATGATTCTAACATCTCTACAGTCTTCGCTGGCACCTGTTAGTCTTTTTTGCATGTTGAGATTTCCCTACTTTTTAGTATGATGAATAATTTTCTACTGAAACCTGGACATTTTGGATGTTATGTCATTAGAATCTGGATCTTATTTAATCTCCTGTTTTTCTTGGCCTTCTTTGACACCCCTTCTGGAAAGGAGGGGAATGGAAGTTGAGTTTTCTAATTCCACCTCCATTGACACCCACTGAGAGGGGCTCCTTGCTGCTGCTTTGTTGGGTGGGAATTCCAGCTCCCTAGGCCTTTGCTGACCACTGTGGCTGGAGGGCCAGGAGTATCTTGTGACCACTCCCCACGTTGGCCTCCACTGACACCAGCCTGGCGGGGGATTAGACATGTTCTCTTCGCAGCATTTGCTGGCATGGGTAGGGCCCCAGTTTTCACTGTTTTGTGGCTGGGGTAGAGTAGTTATTGTCTAAGGTCTTTTGTCCTGCTAGGCTGTTCTTTTCCTGGTCCTTTAGCTGGAGAAGAGAAGGCTTTTGTTGGGGCTCTTTGTCTGTGCCCATGGGCTCTTCTGGGTTCTTTATTGAAGTATTTTTATTAGGGTTGCTTTAAAATCTCTGTCAGATAATTCCAGCACCTGCTTCATCTCAGTGTTAATGTCTCTTAATTGTCTTCTTTCATTCATTCAGGTTGTGATTTTCATGGTTCCTAATATGATGATTTTTTTTTTTTTTTGTATCCTGGTCATTTTGGATATTGCAAGACTCTGGATCCTATTTAATGTGTGTTTTAGCAGGTAGCCACCCAGTTGAGGTATAGGATAAGGGCAAATGTGTATATTCAATTTCCCTCTTGGTCCCATTGATACCACCTCCGCAAAAGCTCCACTTTTACTCACGCTGCCTCATTGTAGATGGGTGAGGTGGATGTTCAGCTCCTCATTTGGCCCCACCAACACCTCCCCAGTGAAATCGGATCTCAGATTTGCACCTGCCTTATTGCCTCTGCTACATCTTGCAGACGCTACCCTGGCCGGGGAGTCAGAGGTGCTACGGCCTGATGGGCAATGAAAGATTAGCTCCTTGGTCAGCCTCACTGATCTCATCAGGCAGGGAATTCTAACAGTGCCGCCTGCTTTCTCGGGATGTGTATGTGTAAAAGAGTGTTTTCCTACTTGGGCCTGCTGAAACCTCAGTGGGGTGGTGCTGCAGTTTTTCCATTGCTGCAGTTTTTCCATTTTCTTTTTGGCAGTACCCTCCCTGTTGCCTGGAATAGGGAGGGTATTGCCAGAAAGATTTTCAGTTGTTAGCCTACCCTTTTCCTGGTCTTTTGGCTGAAAGAACAGGTTTTTCTTGGAGCTATTTTTTTTTTATTTGTCTATCGGTGCCAGGTTGAAGGCTTTTGAAGCACCTTATTGGGCATATATGGGAGACAATAAGGAAACCCAGGAACTTGCCTCTCAAGTGCCGAAGTCCCTATGCAGTGTGCCATCTTCTTTCCATCTTGGCTTCCTATGTACGTTTTTGTGTCACGGTCAAGGATTTTTAGTCTTAAGGAAGAGGACCTGGAAGGAGTGGGGCTGCTCCATCTTGACCAGAATGAGAAGTCTGTGTGTGCATGTGTTTAATATATAATGAAAATTCTAAAATCTGTTAACACCGTTTTGTATAATAGTAACATATTTTAATATTTAAAGAATAAACAATAATTTATTCTTCAAATATACTATGTATCAGGCACAGTGATTGACCCTTGGGTCTGCAGATAGGACTGAGACATAATCCTTACTTTCAAATAGCTGATAGTTTTGTAGAGTTCAAAGACCTGTGGAATCAATTTTAATTTGCCCCATTATACTCAGATGGAAACCACTCACAATTCTTTTAGAAATAAAAACAGAATCTAGCTTCATACTACCTGGCTGGTAGTATTGTGGGAGTTTCCTCCCCTCTCATTGGTTGAGATAAGCCTCCTTTGGTTTATGAGGTACTAGGCAAATGAGGAAGTGGTCTAGTGCTTAGTGCCTTGTTGTTACTCTGGTTACAATTAAACCCTTTGCCAGGAGCTGCCATCCAGTGGGTAGTGCTTCCCTGGCCCCAACTCTCCAGGCTATGGTGCTTAGTAATCAGACAGGTGGAATCTCCGCAAGTACCACAACTGTCAGAAGTCCTGAACACCCCTCTCTGCCTCATGCAGAAGCTGTGGTCCCATGATCCTCCCACTCCTGGAGGAACCTTAACTCTATTGGATGGGAAGTTCAGCTCTACTGCCTTTGTGAGTCTGGGCTTTATAATCATAAGGGCTGTTAGTTCTCTCCATGGGCAGGAGAAACTAGATCTCAGGGATACAACCCCATGATCTCTGAGTTCCTTTGGAAATTTGGTTTTGATGATTTGGGAATGCCCAAAAGTAGAACATTTCTGAACTTTCTCCTTGATGGTAGTGGGTGATAATGGTGATACTGTTTTTTTAACTCATGTGTGTTCTAAGCATTTTACTTGTATCTTCTCATTTAATCCTAATAGCAACCTCAGGAATAAGTGATATTATTATATCTGATTTTCTCCGGAGGAAATTGAGGCACAGAGAAGTTAAGGAACTTCCCTAAGGCCACTCAGGTAGTAGGTGGTAGAGCCAGGATTCAAATGCAGGCAGTCTAGCTCAGAGCTGAAGTTCTTCTTACCCTTCTTTCAGCGACGTGACAACCTTTGAGTTTTACTTTGCTTTTCTATTATTTGCTTGAAATTAAGATTGATGTATCTAAAATAAGTGTTCTAGGCTTCTAAAAAGTGTCACACAATTAAATGTTACTAAAGTACGTTTCTAATTAGAAAAGTTTTTGTTTTCTTTCTTATTAAACCACATAGATTTGGCAAGAAGAGTATAAAAAATAACCAGTAATAGGTTACATTTACAACTGTTTGGAGTATAGTCCTTTAATAATCAGATTTTTTTGTTCGTTTTTGTAAGTAGGAAACAATGATTTTGTTAGAAATCTCTGCTTTTGGCCAAGTGCAGTGGCTCACACCTGTAATCCCAGCACTGTGGGAGGCCAAGGCGGGAGGATTGCTTGAGCCTATGAGTTAGAGACCAGCCTGGTCAACATAGGGAGACCCTGTCTCTACAAACAGTACAAAAATTAGCCTTGTGTGGTGGCACACAGATAGTAGCCTGTAGTCCCAGCTACTCAGAGGATAAGGTGGGAGGATCACCTGAGCCTGGGGATGTCGAGGCTGCAGTGAGCCATGATCGAGCCACTGCACTCCCGCCTGGGTGACAGAGTGCAACTCTGTCTCAAATAATAATAATAATAAAGAAAAATAAAAGGAAATCTCTGCTTTTTTGTTTGGTTGCTTAGGGCTCAATAAAAAATTTAACCAGATTATTTCTGATTATGTATATCTATTATATATCACATTTTGTTATACATTTGTGATCATTTCTATTGTTTTTACATGTCTTTGTGTTTAAATACAGGTAGTAGAATAACTAGAAGGATGTGACTCACACGTCATTATGTAAATATTATCCATGCCAGTACATTTAAATTCTATAGGGACTTAATTGTAAAGCAGTTATAATATAGCCGTGTTCCTCTGTTGAGAAAAGATTCATACTGCCCTTTACCTTGCTTTTTCAGTGAAAATGTTTAAGTTTTTTCGTTCATTTGAAATGTAGAATCAAAGTTTCATTTACATGCATATTCTATGTACTTGGTACTATAATCTTAGAGTTTGTTCTATTCTTTGTAAACACAGAATGTGAATATAAATTTTCTGCCATGTTTTGTTAGGAATAATGTATCTCTCCATTAATTTGCATGTTTTCATACCATTGACTCTTAAATTTCCATGAACACTAGCCCACAATGTGATTTATCTGAGGCAGATTTTTTTTCAAATTCATATTGATTTATCTTCCATGCCACTTGAATACATTTTGTTGATATAATAAGATTCTTTGCTAGTTCTAGCTCAAGAGAAACCACAGGAGTGAACTTTAGAACTTCCGATTAGTTCATTAAATAGACATTTGGTAACACACCTACTCTAGTGAGTCCTGTTGGTTGTTTGGGGTAAAGGGTGAGAAGGGCATGATCAGTGATTACAGAGTGACCACACTCCAGAAAGGAAAGGCTTATTATGGTGGCACAGAAATTGGGGTGTACTCTCTGCCCTGGAGGTATTCATGGCTGTCAGAGCATGAAAATGTAAAAAAACAGGTTATCCGTTTGAAAACTCAGGTGGTTGGTTCTTTTAACAAGATAATATTTGTTTTTACTTTCTGCCATGTTTAAGTTACATATCTTCTACTTCTTCTTTTTTTTTTTTTTTTTTTTGAGACAGAGTTTCCCTCTTGTCGCCCAAGCTGGAGTGCAATGGTGCAATCTCTGCTCACTGCAATCTCCGCCTCCCAGGTTCAAATGATTCTTCTGTCTCAGCCTCCCTAGTAGCTGGGATTACAGGCGCCCGCCACCACACCTGGCTAATTTTTGTATTTTTAGTAGAGATGGGGTTTCACCATGTTGGCCAGGCTGGTCTCGGACCTCCTGACCTCAGGTGATCCACCTGCCTCAGCCTCCCAAAGTGCTGGATTACAGGCGTGAGCCATTGCACCCAAACAAGTTACATATCTTCTTTCTTTGCCCAGCATGTCCCTTGTCTCATTTCTTATTGGTCACTGTAAGTTTCATCAGAGGTATTTAGAACAGCTGAACTGCCTAACCCATCCATCACATCCTTTTGGTGGGGGCCTTTCTGCTAGGTCTCAGGGGCACAGAGTTAAGTGAGGTACCTACCCTCATGGATCTTAATCACCGTCTGGCTGGGAAGTGAGGCCGCATGGCAAAGCATAGATTCCAGTGCAGTTGTGGTGAGTGGTTTGCTGGAGGTGTGAATAGGGTCTTGGGATCACGAAAAGAGGAGTACACAAAACAAGCTGGGGGGATCCTGCAGTGCTTCCTGCAGGAGGGTTTTGAAGGAGTAAAAGGAGTGAACTAGAAGTAGAAGGGCTGGCTTCTTGTCATTTCAGTAAAGCTAAAACATCACCTCCTTAGGTACTGCACCAGTACTCTATTGAATTGTCTGTTTTGTTACCATAATCTTGTTCTGTTATTTGTTTCCTTGTTATATGTCTCTTCCCTCCAGAATGTAACTTCTTTGTATTCCCAGTGCCTGTTACATAGTAGGGGCTTGAAAAATGTTTATTGGTTGAATAAATGAATGAATGAATGAAGAATGAATGCTTGAGGCAGAGTGTGAGCAGATAAAAGCAAGTGTATGTGAAGGCTTAGTTGAGAAACTAACTGCAAATGATTAGGTGTGACATGAGCAAGGGAGCTTTTCCTTACAAATTAGGAGGTAAAGCATGGAATTAGAATGTTATCCTGAAAGCCTCCAGGCTGCATGATATGTAATGCAGCATTCTTTTCCTGAATTCCTCTGATTAACAGCTGTGAATATTTTAAATTTTCATTATGTGCAAAACTGATGATCTTACTGAGGCCTTTTAGAGAATATTATTTAAAGAGGATTTTAACTAGAGTGCTTCAGTGATGTTCTTGACATCAAGTAACCAGACACAAACATTTTATTCAGGTTTACAGTGTTCTTTGGCTAATTCTCTTGAAACATTGAATTGCTTGAGACTTACGTGCCACTCTTGTTTCAAGACAACAGACAAAACTTTTGGTAGTTTTGTCTCTTCCTCCTTTTGCTTTAGTGCTCAAGGTGTGGTGTACATTGGTCATCAGGCCAATATGATGGTGATAAACAGTTCCTCTTCCAGGCCTGTGTGATAATACAGTTTAATTGAGCAGACTTTTAGTTACATACGTAAGATAAAATGCTAGATACTTGGATGTAAGACAAACTAGACACATGTTAGGAATAACACTTAATATCTTAAGGAAATTGAACACTTGAACAAAAGGATTTTTAGCAAAGCAATTTTGTTTTTGCGCAGAGGGGTGCCTCTTCGGCCAGTTGTCATGAGAATATACTTGAACAAAGGGCACGAGAGTTTTTATTTTTGACGCGAGTTTTGTTTTTGTATTTTTTTATTGGCCGGGGTTGGGTTGTATAATTTAAATTAAATTTGGTTGGCTAAACATTTGATTTTTTGTTTTTTAGATAGGGTGGGCACTTAAAAGAAAGTAGAGGAAAGGGAAGGGGTGTTTGTAATGAGCTAGAAAGTTTTTTTTTTTTTTAAATAAGGGAAGGAATGTGAGCTGGTATTGATAACGCTTGGTATTGAGGCGTGCCTGGGCATTTAACAAAGGCAAAAAGGAAAAAGGAGAAAAAAGGGAGGGATACTATGAATTAAAGAATAAAAGATTGACCAGATTATCTGAAGAGAAACCTTATTATATTTTACACATAGCTCTTTGAAAAATACCATGGGCTGCTGATATATATCTAATAGCCTTCTCTTTCTCTGCTAAGAGAAAGTAAATCTGGCATTTTCTAGTTTTCTCCACAATGTATAATAAGATATGAGGAGTTATTACAAGCTTAACTAGATGCTTTGAAAATCAGATTTTAGGAAAAGAAAATAAAAATTGTTACTACCTATGTTGAATGTATTTTTCACTTTTCTCTGTAGATATGGTTATGGCAAAACGCTGTGACTTGGAACCTTTTTCAGATTTCAGTTGTCCTATTCTGCTTCCTTGCCTGCTTTGTGAGCACATCTATCAGAAAGTGTGGTCACAGGATTTCTAGAGATAACCCAGCGCAGTGCTTGAATAGGGAGTTTCTGTGTTTCTGTTCTATACGTCACAGTCTTTCACATCTTAGCAGTGTTGTAGCCATTGCGCACCTGAGCACCTTGTGCCTAGGTAGCCCGAAGATGTTATACAGAAACAAATTGCTGTTTGCTTTCTTTGAACTTCAGTGTTTTGTTAAGCTCGTGCCTGTTCTAAAGCAGCCATATCTCTCATGAATTGGAAAAAATTAAACCTTGGTGCATTGGCTTTATTTGCGATTTTAGTATTCTCATTTTCTTATTTTATAAGAAAATGTAAAATTAGGATATTGTATTTGCCAGAATTCAAGACTTATAGATTTTATATACATGCATGCACAATTCATCAGTGTGTTGATGAATAAAAACAAAACAGAATCAAGCATTTTTTTATTGAGCACTAATTTATTACCATTTTTGCTCTACTGTCTCTAACGTCAGCAGAAGGTATGAGTATATACGCATGGGTCTGGCTTTTGTTCAGGCTCTGAGTAAGCAGTGAGCAACTTGCTCTGTAGTAGCTATGCTATTGTTAACTACCTGTACATTGTTTATACATGAATAATTGCAAAAATTAAGTATACTGACTTCGATGGTCTCTACATAACTTACTGAAACAATTGGTCATAAGAAAGGCACAGTCAGTCCCTCCCTTGATAAAGGAATCTCTAGCAAGCTCTGTCACTCATTCAACAGAGCAATAGATTTTTCTCTTCATTTGGACCATGCATTTTTATGCTGATCATCAGTCCATAATTTTAAACTTTGTTTTTTATTCTGTCAATATTCTTGAATCTTTATTTAGCAGGGATAATACTTTTGGAATACCTGATGATGTATCTTTGGTCAATAAATTGGTTTTTGTCTTCTGATCTTTTCTTTTATCATGTCCCCAGGAAAGAGAGCAGGATGAATGCCACTTTGTAGGGTAAATTCCTTGAGTATTAAAGGAGAAATGAAGGACAGCCCATTCAAGTGTCAAAGGAATGTGGGAAGAACAGGCAGAGTTAGAGCAGGCAGGTGGTCAGGTATATATTTCTTGTCATTCCCCGCCCCCATCACCTTAGGGAACTGAAATTCAAGGTTTAGGGGGTGGGTAGGTTGAAGGTAAGCCAAAAGTGAAGGAAGCTTATGCCCCATCCCCCTCTTGTAACTCAGGGAAGAAACAGTCTTTCAAGGCTGCTTTAACACAATGTAAGCAGCCACAGCAGAAGAAAATGTAGCATGCTGTGGTTAGGTAAAGAGGACTGCCAGGCCTCCTTTAGCTGGTGAGTGGCTTCTGAGGAATCCCAAAGTTACTTCACACTCCAGGTAGCTGGGTTGAGAGCCAGTGAACCTGTCAGTGGGAAAGATGTGTTGAGGGGCAAGCTGATACCCACGCTGTAGCTGACAGCCACGCTGTAGCTGACACTGATTGAGCTAGGTCTTGGGTGTAAATGAGATTAAGGAGTC
The DNA here is from genome assembly GCF_000001405.40 of Homo sapiens. Lineage (NCBI taxonomy): Eukaryota > Metazoa > Chordata > Mammalia > Primates > Hominidae > Homo > Homo sapiens. Next base: position 18,550,136 of record NC_000023.11, read on the forward strand.
TAGATGTCTTCGGCACCAATTAGAGACAGATCAACTGGGGTAGATCCCTGGGCTCTGGGCCAAGAGAGCACACCTGAGTCTACAGCCTCCTTGAGCTCCAACAGCAGCCTCAGGCCAGTGTCTGGGGTCCACGCGTATAAGGAACCTTGTCTTGGAGACCTGAGAACCTCTACCTTACTACGGTGAAGTTCTGTAACCCCACCCACATCCATACCCACAGCTGCCATCTTGGTAGAAGCAGGGAGAAAATGGAAAAACTTAACATTTACCTGAACAAGACTATAAACCAGAAGGGACTGCACTACCATATAATGCAAGTTAAAGTCAAGTGTGGGGGCTTGAAAAGCAAGGTTAAAACAGTTACAGAAAATTTAAAAGCTACATTTTCTTGGCACGGGTTAAATTTAGTGAGCTATAAATTACTGTTCCTGCCGCAGCAAGATAGTCTTTGAGGATATATTTCCTGCATTTAAATTTAAATTTTGTATTCTTCATTCACAGTGGAACATAGCTTTTAAGTCCAATGATTATCTGAGGTTTAGATTGCCTGCAGTTGGCATGCCTAATGCCATCTTGGTCTCAGTTACTTGATCACTAGAAGTGAAATTTTCATTTTCTCGCCTCAGTGTTATAAAATAAGGACAAAATGAAATAGTAACACAATTGCACAATAACTGCAGTATAGACGTGATGGTTAATACTAAACTGAAAGGCTGTCTGACAGGCATCACTGCCATGTAGTCTTCAAAATTCTCATTCATTTGCAGACAATTTGGTGTGAATTTGGTGTAGACAAGGTGGTTTGAGGGTATCTACATATAATGTTTGAAGATGTGGGTTTTAAATAAAAATGAGATGCATCTCAAATTTTATATGATCTATAAGTATGGAGCTAGACTGTTTTGAAAGTTCACCTTTCTCTCTTTCCATTGAAAATTGTTGGTATTTTCTGCCAGAGGGATTAAGGAAAATTGTTCTCTGAATGTCTCATTTTTCATTTTGATAACTATATTTTACTTTTTGAACATTTTATTAATTACCGAATCTATAATATGAACATAGGGTAGTAAATTTATATTAGTCCTGGAACTATGAGGTAAATTATTTTTAAGTGATTCATCTTGAATTACCCACTTATATACAATAAGATGTACCCATTTTTAGTGTATAGTTCTGTGTAAACTAGCCCTCTTAGTTCATTCTTTGGCATTATCAGCCAGCGTCCCTTCAGGCTGATACTATAATAGTTACAATGGAGCATATTACAAGTACTTACAAAGGATTTCTGGATATGTGGGTTTGTTTGCATTTATCAATTAAGTGGTCCAAGGCTTTTAATATGGTTTTGTTCTCACATTTGCGGCACTCAAATATCAGCCATCCAAGGTGGCCCCAAGTCTCATAGCCTTACTAGATACCTTGACATTATTATTATTATTATTATTATTATTATTATTATTATTATTATTTGAGACAGAGTCTCACTGTTGCTCAGGCTGGAGCACAGTTGCAGCGTCTCGGCTCACTGCAGCCTCAACCTTCCTGGCCCAAAGGATCCTCCTACCTCAGCCTCCCAGGTAGCTGGGACTATAGGTGTGCACCACCACACCCAGCTAATCTTTTGTAGTGTGTGTGTGTGCAGAGACAGGGTTTCACCATGTTGCCCAGGCTAGTATTGAACTCCTGGGCTCAAGCGATTTGCCTGCCTCGGCCTCCAAAAGTGCTGAGATTATAGGCGTGAGCCACCACACCCTTCCGAAACTTTCTAAAGCATAGAAAAGCAGATCTAATATGTCTCCTAGGGAATCTGTCCTTAAAAAAACCGAAATGTGGCCAGCTTACGACTGTAATCCCAGCACTTTGGGAGGCCGAGGCGGGTGGATCACAAGGTCAGGAGTTTGAGACAAGCCTGGCCAACATGGTGAAACCCCGTCTCTACTAAAAATACAAAAATTAGCCGGGCATGGTGGCGTGTGCCTGTAATCTCAGCTACTCAGGAGGCTGAGGCAAGAGAATTGCTTGAACCTGGGAGGCGGAGGTTGCAGTGAGCCGAGATTGTGCCATTGCACTCCAGCCTGGGCAACAGAGTGAGACTCCGTCTCAAAAAAAAAAAAAAAAGAAAGAAAGAAAGAAAGAAAAAACCCAAAATGTATATATTTGCATTCTGTGTTCTTGGCTGGTTGGTTTTTCCTTATGTACCAAGGAATGTCTTTTTCTTTTAAAATTATGGGAGGAAAAAGTGTTAGGCTATGGTAGAATTAGTAACTGATATCCAAAGAGAAGAATGAGCCAGGCCAACAGGATATATGTTTTACATTGGCAACACAATACAGTAAGATGTTTGGACTAGCTGTTCTCCTTTTTTGCTGAGCACATTTTGGACCAGTTGCATTTATTTCTCAACTACAAGCTTGCAGTCTAGTAGTAGAGTCAGACCTTGATCAAGTGATCATGTAAATCTGTAAAGGTGGAACTTTAATGCAAGTTATAAAGAAGAGGCGCTTGCTGAGAGAACACCACAGGGCCTTCAGATCTCATCGAGGAGCCGTGGGAAGGCTCCTCTGAGGAAGTGAGGATTGATTGAGCCAGGATCTGGGGGATGAGAGAGGGTTGAGTGGGCAAGGGAGGGCAAAGCTTGCAAGAACAAAGGGAATAGACCCTAAGGCAGTAGAGAACATGGCAAGGAGAGATGTGACTCAGCAAGCAAAGGAGACCTAGGGAGAGGAGGTGGAAGAGCTACCTGGCCTGCCATGTGGAGCAGCTGCGACGGAGTTGTCAGGTTAGTGGAGTTAGGGAGAATTTTAAGGGGAATGGTGGAGCTTGAAATCAGATTTCCTTTCCCAAGGAAGAACCTGGTTGCTGAGGGGATGAACATATCAGAAGGGCTGTGGCAGTACTGAAGGTGAAAGTACCAAAGGCTTGACCAGGGGTAGGAGGAGCATTCAGGTACAGGACAGTGGACCCATTTGAAAACAATGTAGGAGGCAAAACCCAACAGCACTTAGTGATAGACTGGATGGATTTGGTGGTGCAGACAAGGGAGATGTCAACAGTGATCCCAAATTTCTGGCTAGTGTTTACTGAGATATATGGGACAGGAGACAGGCCCAGGTTTTGTAGGGGAAGATGCAGAAATGGTTAGGCATTCTGTCTGAATATTTTACACTCATACATTCTCATTTTACATCTCAATAAAAGATTCATGGAGGGCAGATCCAGCGCAGAGATGGTAGAAGAGATTTTATGTCTTATTGGAAATAATGAGAAAACAGAGTTGTTGTGTTGGAAATTTATCACTGACTTGGCTTGAAGGCAGTTGTGTGTGTGTGCGTGTGTGTGTGTGTGTGTGTGTGTGTGTGTGTGTGTGTTTTGGAGACAGAGTCTCACTCTGTCTGCCCGGTGGCTGGAGTGCAGTGGCGTGATCTTGGCTCACTGCAACCTCCGCCTCCTGGATTCAAGCGATTCTCACGTCTCAGCCTCCCGAGTAGCTGGGACTACAGGCGTGTGCTACCACGCTGGGCTAATTTTTTTGTATTTTTAGTAGAGATGGGGTTTTACCATGTTGGCCAGGCTGTTCTCGAACTCCTAACCTCAAGTGATCCGCCTGGAAGGCAGTCATTATCTGTACAAAGTCTCTTTGTGAGATCCCACTTCCCATGTCTTCCTTTTTGGCTACCTGCTGTCTCATGTTCTTGATAAAGTATTAGTATTTTCATAAGACTATCCTCTTTTTAGAAACGGTACATGAAGTAAATACACAGTTTTTCTTGTAATGCTTTCTAAATTATAAGAGTTTTCTTAAAGTACTCTTAGCGTACCATTTAATTCTAATTTTGAGCAGGTTAGAGTTTACATCAATGTTTCCTGTAATAATAGCTCCATCATGTCAACCTTAATAGGCAGTTTTGCCAGGTATTTATATATATATATTTTTTTTTTTCTATTATACTTTTAAGTTCTAGGGTACATGTGCACAATGTGCAGGTTTGTTACATATGTATACATGTGCCATGTTGGTGTGCTGTACCCATTAACTCGTCATTTACATTAGGTATATCTCCTAATGCTATCCCTCCCCCTTCCCCCCATCCCATGACAGGCCCCGGTGTGTGATGTTCCCCTCCCTGTGTCCAAGTGTTCTCATTTTGCCAGGTATTGGTATAGACTTGGTGGGACTCCGCTAAATTGTTTTTGGCCTAATGAAAACCATTCCTGAAATTTTTAGGAAAAAAAAAAAGGATATATGTTTTCAGTATACCTTTTGGTATATTTCACTGTCTTTTTTTTTTTTTTTTTGTGAGACAGAGTCTCACTCTGTCGCCCAGGCTGGAGTACAGTGGCGTGATCTCAGCTCAGTGCAACCTCCACCTTGCGGGTTCAAGTAATTCTTCTGCCTCAGCCTCCCAAGTAGCTGGGATTACAGGCCCTCACCACCACGCCAGGCTAATTTTTGTATTTTTAGTAGAGATGAGGTTTTGCCATGTTGGCCAGGCTGGTCTCGAACTCCTGACCTCAGGTGATCCGTCCGCTTCGGCCTCCCAAAGTGCTGGGATTACAGGCATGAGCCACTGCGCCTGGCCATTTCACGGTATAATATTTTAATGGAACCGTATTACAAAAGTTATTATAAAACTAATCATTGTTTTATAAAAATGAGTGTAGACATTTTAGTGTTGTGATAATTTTAATAATTTTTGGAGAATGGATCTTTTAATCTTCTTTTTCAATTAAAATTTTCTTTCATAGCATATTAATCTTTTCAGTAAAGCTTTACCTGATCTCTTCAACAAGTGATCATTCTCAAATTTTTTTTTATTATCATACTTTAAGTTCTGGGGTACATGTGCATAACGCGTAGGTTTGTTACGTAGGTATACACGTGCCATGGCATTCTCACATTTTTAAGGGGGAATGTTTGTACGGAAATACCACAAAATGGTTAAAATGAATAAACTCGAGCAGAGTTTCTTACCCTTAGCACTTTTGACATTTGGGGCTAGGACTGTTGTAGGGACTGTCCCGTGCATTGTAGGATGTTTAGTGGCACTCTTGGTCTCTACTCACTCGATCCCAGTAGCGCCCCCAGCCTATGTGACAACCGAAAGTGTCCCCAGATGTCTTGGGGGGAGCACAGTCACCCCCCAAGGGAGAACTATTGAACTAGATTTAGTTTTTAATGTCAGATACAGATTGTATTTTTTTTAAGTGTTTGAAAAAAGATACATGCAATAGCATATGCTAGTTACATGATTTTTAGTGCACAAAACGATACAATTTATGGGCAGATTCATTCGTAGTGATAAAAATGTGTGGGAATGATACTATCAACTTCAGGATAGAAATTACCTCTGGGTAGAGGGAATGGGAATGAATGAAGTTTTATTTTTGGCATTTTACATTTCAAAAGGCAGGAGATCCACAGCAAATAAGCCAAAATATTATCAACTGTTAAATCTGAAGGGGATATACATTTTTTTCTGTATATTTGCATGATCTTTTTTGAACTCCTGTGGCATATCATATAACACTTGTTATACTTTTTAGCTTTTGTCATGCATTTTTAACTTACTGTCATGCGTTATTACATACCAGGTTGTAGACTTCTATGTATATAAGACAGCTTCATTTACTCACTCATGTCAAACACAGGATACAAAAGAAAACCTTACATAAAGCAGAGGTCCAATAAACATTTGTTAGTTGACTGATTGAAACGCTCTTTTTCTTTGGTATAGATTTTTTGTGTGTGTGATTTGGTCTGAAGTATTGAAATTTAGCAGTAAATCTAACTTTTAGTATTGACAAGCTATGGTAGTTTTCAAATAACAAATAATATAAGTCAAGATCTCTAAGGAATTTCCTGGAGAAATCTAGCTTTTATCACTGAATATCATGGATGGTATTTTATATTTCTATAGTACTTGGCAAATGCATATTAGCTCTGACCTGCTATAGAATGTATCCTGTGCTTGAATTTCCTCCCATTTTATAATTTTACTTATAATGTAAAAATAAATACTTTTGGACTAAGTTATTTTGGAAGGTTTCTACACAGTAAAAAAGATAAAGATGGAAGTAATGAAATACTTGCCTGTACTTTTCAGTGTATAAATATTATAACATATTATTAGAAAACTATTTTGAAATGTTCATTGGTGCTAACATTTCTCTTCAGTGATGTGTGTGTGTGTGTGTGTTTCAGAATCACTTTCTACAACAAAATTTACATACACATGGCTTGCAAAGACAGTATAGCATGATTATGGTTGAGAAATGGCATTCAGAATCAGTCTTCCTGGGTTTAAAATCTCAGCTCTGCTACATCTTAGCTGTGTGATCATGGGACAAATTATGGAACTTCATTAAAACTCAGTATCCTCATCTGTAAAATGAGCATGAGATCTCCTCAGAATGATGATTTGAGAATTAAGTGAGATAATCCACGGGAAGCACTTAGGGTGGGGCTTGGTGCAAGAGTACTTAAAAACAATAACTTAAAATGAAGCTTACTTTTTCTGGGACCATACTGGTCTATAAAGTAGTAGTTTCCCAGCCTGGCCAACATGGCGAAACCCTGTCTCTACTAAAAATACAGAAATTAGCTGGGCGTGGTGGCGTGTGCCTACAATCCCAACTACTCAGAAGACTGAGGCAGGAGAATCGCTTGAATCTGGGAGGCGGAGGTTGAAGTGAGCCGAGACCACGCCACTGCACTCCAGCCTGGGAAACAGAGCAAGACTCCGTCTCAAAAAAAAAAAAAAAAAAAAAAAAGTATCAGTTTCACTTGATCTTAGCCAGAAGGCTGAGAAGCGATAAAGTAGTAATTTCTGTGTTTGTAGGGTTTTACTTATGCTCAGGGAGCAGACAGGATATTTGCAAATAAAACGTGAACAGAAATATTTAAAATACTTTAGTTATGAAGTTATATTCCCTGCTATTTGGATGATGAAATGAAGAATTTCTCCCAAGAAAGCACTTCCTCAGAGAGCAATTAGAAAATGAATTGTAGACTATAGATGGCCCTCCGTATCAGCAGGTTCCACATCGATGAATTCAACCATCTGAGGATCGAAAATATTCAGAAAAGCAGACAAACAAAAACAACTAAAAATACAACAATAAAAAATACAAATAAAAATAACAGTATTACAACTATTTATTTGCATGGCATTTACATTGTACTAGGTAGTATAAGTAATCAAAAGATAATTTAAAGTATATAGGCGAATGTGCATAGGTTATATGCAAATACTGTGCCATTTTATGTCAGGGATGAGCATCCATGGATTTTGGTATCCTCGGGGATCCTGGAACCAGTGGCCCCCTCTATATCCTCGTAGATACTGAGGAATAACTGTTATAACCTTTTGAAATGGCTTAATCCGTGAATAGTAGAATAAAAGAGTATTTTATTCTGTTCTGTTTCATGATACCTGTTGGATATTTTAACTTAGCAAAACATTTGAAAAATAATGACTCCTGCGACTTCCTTATACAGTATATGATCAGTTTAAAGACTTCACTGTTCCAGAGCATAATTAAGTTATATAACTGCATTTTAAAATGACTTAGTAAATTGTATGGCTGTTAATACCAATTAGTTGCTTTGCCAGAATCTTAAGTAAGGCACAATTAATACTGGGAATAAAACAATGACCCAGAGCTTTAGACAGTCAGCAACGCAAGTGAGTTGATGATTATAAGTCTGTCTAGTATGATTCTCTAGTGATTGAGGCTTGATTTTTATGGGGTAGAGATCTTGAGAATATTGAAGGAACTGTAGGCTCTCCAGATATTTGTATTTGTTAGTACTCATAACATTTATTTTTTATTCTCTTTCTGATTTTTTTTTTCCAGCTGGGGAAATTTATTCTGGGAAATGTGAAATGCCTTGATATAGTTTGTTTACTCATGGAGACAGTAGTACAATTCAGGAACCTTTATCTAAAGTTACCTAGTCTCTCTGTTTGTGTTCCAAAGTACATAATACAATTCTAATTTTAAGGTAGAATTAAGGGTGAGGCATGGAATTATCATTAATAAATTACTGATATATTTGATCACATTCTTAGTTTATTGCTTAAGATGTCGGCTTTTAAATACTTCATATTTTAAATAAAGACACTGAAACAAGTAACAAACTATGCCTATCTTGCTAACTACAGCTGGTGACATTCTGTTGCAGACGTTGTGGGGGCAATGGTATGCTTTTATGAATAAATTAAATTCAAAACAAGTTTTTCAGAGTTATTTTTTGTATGTTTTTCTCTTTGTCTACACCTTTATTATATATCGCATCTCAGGGTGGTGGTAGAATAAGTAATAAAGCTTGGCGTGTTACTTCCTACCTCTCCATTAAATACCCACGAAGATGTTAAATACCCATGAAGTTCTGCAGATTAAGAAACTAAACATCGAAGATTGCTAGCAAAGTCCAGGGAGAATTAATTTTATTAGCAGGACTGGGTTGAAAACATAGTCTTGAACATCATGCTGTTCATCCTACTTTGTGAACCCAAATCAGGCCAGATATCCAAAGGGAGTAGGAAATGCCTTGGACCCATGCTCACAGGAACTGAAAAATAAGCAACCATCTCACTGAGGTTAACTATAATCTGACACTGCTAGAGCTGGAGTTCTCACTCCCCTACTAGCCTGCATTAACATCTGCATTTCCAGATCTTTGCAGAGACTAAAATGTCCTAAATATAGTAAGGGAAGAAGCAAAGAAGGATTGGAAAAAGCATGTACCATCCTAGGATTCGGAGTCCCCGTGGCAAAGTGTGGTGAAGGTAAAGGGAAGGGAACAGGCTGTGCTTGGAAATGTGGTCTCCAGAATGCCACGAGGTAAACAGCTAATGAATGGCATGTGCTCTTCTGGCTTACTCAGAGAACCCTGCCCAGGCAGTTTAGTCTCAGACCAGCCAACCCCAATGAGAAGGATGTGTGCTAGCAAGCCAGGTTCTAAAATCAGGCTGGGGTGCATCAGTTCATATTTGAAGTTCAAGTTGAGGCCAAATGCCAGTCCTGGTGGATCTCTTTCCATCTTAGTAAGGATGAGGTTTTTTGTTTTGTTTTGTTTTGTTTTTTGGGAGATGGAGTCTCGCTCTGTCATCACGCTGGAGTGCAGTGGCGTGGTCTCGGCTCACTGCAACCTCTGCCTCCTGGGTTCCAGCGATTCTCCTGCCTCAGCCTCCCAAGTAGCTGGGATTATAGGCACGCGCCACCATGCCGGGCTAATTTTTGTATTTGTAGTAGAGATGGGGTTTCACCATGTTGGCCAGGCTGGTCTTGAACTCATGACCTCGTGATCCGCCCACCTCGGCCTCTCAGAGTGCTGGGATTACAGGCATGAGCCACTGCACCTGGCCGTAAGGATGAGTTTTAAAGGGTGGAGCAGAGAATACACTGAAAAGATATGGGAAGAGAAAACATGGCTGTGAAGATTTACAAGCAACACATGGTTCTGAAAATGACCTTTTCTTTTTTTTTTTTTTTCTTTTTATTATTATTATACTTTAAGTTTTAGGGTACATGTGCACAATGTGCAGGTTAGTTACATATGTATACATGTGCCATGCTGGTGTGCTGCGCCCATTAACTCGTCATTTAGCATTAGGTATATCTCCTAATGCTATCCCTTCCCCCTCCCCCCACCCCACAACAGTCCCCAGAGTGTGATGTTCCCCTTCCTGTGTCCATGTGTTCTCATTGTTCAGTTCCCATCTATGAGTGAGAACATGCGGTGTTTGGTTTTTTGTTCTTGCGATAGTTTGCTGAGAATGATGGTTTCCAGCTTCATCCATGTCCCTACAAAGGACATGAACTCATCCTTTTTTATGGCTGCATAGTATTCCATGGTGTATATGTGCCACATTTTCTTAATCCAGTCTATCATTGTTGGACATTTGGGTTGGTTCCAAGTCTTTGCTATTGTGAATAGTGCTGCAATAAACATACGTGTGCATGTGTCTTTATAGCAGCATGATTTATAGTCCTTTGGGTATATGCCCAGTAATGGATGGCTGGGTCAAATGGTATTTCTAGTTCTAGATCCCTAAGGAATCGCCACACTAACTTCCACAATGGTTGAACTAGTTTACAGTCCCACCAACAGTGTAAAAGTGTTCCTATTTCTCCACATCCTCTCCAGCACCTGTTGTTTCCTGACTTTTTAACAATTGCCAAAAATGACCTTTTCTAACAAACCAATAAAGTTAAGGCATCTGCTTAGTCTCCCAAAAGAAAGCCAGGAAGATATGACCTCTACAGAGAGTGAATAAGCTAAAACAAGGCAAAAAATGCAGAAGTTGGCTGAGATAAGGACAAGTGAAAGAAGCCTAAAATGGATAAAACAAAATTGTTTAGCACTTTCGAACTGATTAATGTTCGTTTACTAAATGTTTATTGAACACCTACTATGTGCCTGCTATTCTAGGTGCTGATGATGCAATTGTGAACTTTGCATACTAAGTACAAAAACTTAGTACAAGACTAAGCAATTATGAAAGATCCAACCTAGAAGTTGTAAGGTTTGTGGTGGAAAATAATAGAAAAATAGGAGTAGGAACAACGTTTAAGGTTGCTATAAGAAGACTTTCCTAATTTCATTGATTTCCAGGTATTATTGATTCAAAAAATACACACACACACACACACACACACTCCTCTAAATATATTCCAAATAATTTAAAATTTTTATTTCAAAGAAAAGGAAAAGTCCTAACAGTATTTAGGCAGAAAAAAAGAAGTGATCTATATTGGAACAAAATCCAAATAGGCCTCATACTTCTTTTCTACTACAAATACCAGAGACTGTCAGGTCATTGTTCCCCATTTGATGCCTTATGTGATAGTATTATAATTTCTTTATGTTAGAAAATGGCAGCCCTTCTTTTTAGACCCTTAATTTTCTTCTTCTTGGAAAAATATCCTAGTATATAGATTTTGTTACAAGAAGACACTTTATTCCTACCTGCATTAAGTTGCTTTAATAAGCATACAGACTCTGGTGTCTGTGATGTGAATGGCATTTTCCAGGGCTTTATGGTGCACTTAAGCTTCCAGTGACTCTGAAGAATAAAAGGTTGCCTTCCCAAGAATTCTGTGCCTATCAAGTTGCCATGTATACGTGAAGATGTTCAAAAATGCAAAGACTTGAAAAATAGGACACTTTGTCAGAAAACCTTTCAAAGATGTGCTCTGGCTGAGCTAAACATGAATGCAAATCAATCACTCAAATATGTATAAACCATACAAGAAAAGGACTGGTGGTAAACAGTGAAGGAAACTGAATATGTAAAAAAAAAAAAAATTATAGCTCATGTATCTATAATTACAAATTAAATTCAACAGTCAAACCCTCCTCTCAAAAATAAATATATTTAACAAAATGGTATAAGAAGAATCAGTGTCAATAACCTCAGATTAATTTAAAACAGTTTAAGGTCACAATACTTTAAAAACTGGTTCTGACATAAGAACAAATCAGTAGCCTATACTAGACTAGGCTAGAGTCCACTAGAAATCTCTGAAAGCACATCTAGTATCTATATGTGAGGATGCTAAGATGTAACAACTAAAAATTTCTGGTAAAGGGTATTGGGAAAATTGATTTAGTGTTTAGAAATTATATTAAATCTGGATTCCCTCAACATGTCATATATTAAAATAAATTACAAGTGAATAAAGATTTAAGGAAAGAAATAATTAAAATATCAAGATACATAAATGCAGATGAATATTAACCATGCTCAGGCTAAGTAAGGACTTTGAGCACAAAAGTAATGGACATAATTACAAAGGCCTATATCAGTAAACTTGACTATGTAATAATTTATATTCAACAACAACAAAACTCTAGTGATCACAACAATCTGGGGAAAAGATTTGTAACAGAATTTGTCAACAAGTTCTCATCCATGAATCAACAAGAAAATATTAACCCTAGTGGACCCGATTTCACTTATTAAAAGAAAGCTTCTCTAATCTCATTGAATGCCAGAGAGGTTTTTTTAAATGATTTTATTTTGCTTTGGCAGTGGGTGTAGAGTAAATATTCTTATACACTGCTGAAGGGAACTGTGACATGACTTTTTTTGGATGTCAGTTTGTCATTATATATTGGGAGCCTTTAACATTCATACCCTTTGAACCAATTATATCACTTATAGAATTTACTCTGTGGAAATAAAGATGCAGATGTTGAAGTATGTTCATTAATAGACTTGTTAAATAGCCATCCATGAAAAATGGTGGTTTTAAAAATAACAGCTTGAAATGTTGCTTACATAATATCAAGTGAAATAAAAACAACATACAATAAGATGTCCAATATTACTACTACCATTTGAGAAAAATTTACTGGAAGAAAATATACCAAAATATTAACAAGGGTTAATTTTGTAAATGTCTTCTCTATATCCTTTTTGTACCCTTTGTATTCTTTTTGTGTTTTCTGTAATGAGTTTATATTATTTTTATAAGCAGTTTGAATACATGTGAAATGTTAAATTCTTTCCAGTATCTTCTCTTAATTGCATGTGTTTTTCACTAAACACTGAATTGGTTTAATGTAGAAAACTTCATCTGTTCGATTTCATTCTTTAAGTAAATACATAAACCATATCGGGGGAGGCAGAGAAAGTGAGTTTTGAGGAGAGAGGATTTTCATGGTATTCTTGAAAGGATAAATAAAAGAATACACATTTTATTTGACCCCCATTAGCCATCTGCTTTATACAGTAAATTGTGTTTATGAGATGCCAGAGAAAAATAACTAATGAATTTATTCAAGGTGGTATAAATGTGCCAGTTACAAATTTAAATTTGTAGTCATATCAGTGGACAGTTTTGAACTGAGTAAGATCTTTTATAAAATCAGACAAAGTTTTAACGCTTAGGATGCAATGAAAGAAATGTATGTGGGAGTCTTTCAGTTAGAATAGAATATAAGATGGAACACTACCTGGAACAATATTCATTTGAGATGTGCGCAGTTTTTCTCTATTCCTGGAAGCTACATCTTTGTTCTGTGAGAAAAGCAAGAGGAGGTTCCTGATATGGTCTGTCCTTTCAGTTATGCTGTAGGTAGATTGCTAGCTAGAGCCATTTGAAAAGGAGCAGGGTAAGAACATGATATCAATGTATTATGGGAGAGTAGCATACATGAAAGAGTCACCTTTGTACTACGTGGGATAATATTCCAGCTGATAATCTCCTGCATTACTTAAAATTGGCAGTTCTTCCTTCCCAATAATAAAATACCTGGAAGAAGGAGTTTCTTTAAGTCAGAAGATCCATTAATGTACAAATAAGTTGTACCCTATACATACAAGTAAGTTGTCTCTACCCTACAATCCTGTTCCTTCATTAAAAACAAAAACACAGTACCTTTAAGAAGTATCTTTTTCCTCCATAATTTATAGCACTTGCCTGGTATTGTGTTTAATTTTAAAGTTTTTGTTTTGATGCAGGGACAACGTTTTATTAAATATTAAAAGATTTGATCTGAAAGTGTCCCCACTTAAAGTAAAAAAGAACAGGCCTGAGTCATTCAGAAGGCTTTTATATGACATGTTGGCTTTGAAGAATTTGTATTAATTATTTTGCCAAAAGCTTTTTTATTCCTTTTATAGACCAGAATTGAATAAAAATTGTTTAGTTTAGTGGTACTTAGTTCTTAGCATTTCCATTTCCTTTCCAGCCCTTGTTTTCTTTCCTCCCAACCAAAAACAACAAAAAAGATTTTCATATTTTCTTTTAAAGCAGAATTCTGTTATTTCTTCTGTTCAGAAGAGATAAGGGCAGGACGAAGGTGATGATTGGTATTTGGTGATGGAATGTTTATCTCACTTTGGATTTGCAGTGGCCATCAATAGGGGCGAGCTGGTGAAAATTAGATATGCTTGTTAGCATTCTGCTACCAGCAACTACTGTGTATTGGAGAGGCCCTTTCTTGGTCTTAGAAGGCCAATTAAAATGTGTCTCTGGACTTCAGAGGGCAGTACAGATGACAGTCTGACACTCATCCTGGCACTTTTGAGTATCCTCAAGACATTGACACTAATGATTTATGAGTTACGCATATTCTGTCACCATATCTGCTCTTTGCTCCACACCCTCTCCCTTTCTCCTTTCCCTTCCTTGACAATGTTTGTGGGGTGATAAGAAAGAGATTTTGGAACCAAGAAATGAGAGGTGGCGGGGGAGAGGAAGATGATATATTTTTAACACTCTGGCTTCTTGCTACTCTGTCCCAGAATATACCCCCAGGCAACTGGAATCCCCAGTCGGAAAAACACTGGAGAATGACTTTCCTTCTGCTTCTTTTCCCTTGCAGGAAACACATGAAATTGTGGCGATCAAGAAATTCAAGGACAGTGAAGGTAGATATATATATATATATATATATATCTGTATATATGTATTTTTCCTTCTGTATAAAGTTTTTATACATAGAGTGTGGAAGAAGTGGGATCTAGCTGGTCAGACACTGTCTATTCCTGATATTTTGAAGTCACAATCTCAGAAAGTGAATATAGCTTATTTCTTATGCTTTGCTTTCAAACATTTAGTTCCTTTTATGTGAATCTTTTCAAATCTCATGATATTAGAAAATTCATCTTTTTATTTTAAGGTTGCAAGCAGCATTGGAAATCTTGCTCCAAAGGCTGGTTAGAAGGCATGTTGTTTATGCTGTTTCTAAATATTATTAAAATAAAAAAACTGGCTTCAAGTAAATACTTCTGTGGGTCCACATAAATAGCAAGTACTACATGAAAGATTTCAGTATTGGTTACGGTGATCTCCAGCTCCTAGTCAGAGTTAGAAATACAAGGATATATTGAGGGATTGATTTTATATTTAGAATAATGCATTGAGAGAATAAAAGCTTTTTAAGAAGAAATACTATGCTTAGGGGCCTTCATCACATCCAGACCATTTCAGACAGAGTTGTAAAATTACCCCATGCTGGGCAAGAAAGTTTAAAATAATGCATTTCAGTAGTTCATTAGTTTTAAAATCTAGACTGTTGGCCATCCAAAGATAGCCAAATAGAGAAACTGATAACAAAAATAGGTATGGCCTTTAAGGTGCTCTAGACAACATTTTTTTCAGACTTTTTGGACTGAGACCCACAGTAGAAATATATTTCATATCCTAACCCAGTGTCCGCACACATATGTAACACTATATGTAAATGAAGCAAAAATGTCACGAACTTCATCTTATGAATGTGAAGCTCTCTACTTTCTGTTCTTTCCTGTTCATGTAAATGCCTATTGTGACATCAAATGGATTGATTTCACTACTAGTAAGTCAGAGCCTGCTATTTGAAAAACTATGGTCTAAGAGTAAGAAGTACCAACACAGCATCAATCTTCATATCTAATTAGAAGTGTGGAAATAGCAGTCATAGCTTACCTTCATCAGCACACATCCCCTAAGTGATGTAAGACACCAGCCTCTATATTTATGAACAGTTTCATCACCCTCACCTCAAAGACTTAGCAAACATTAAATAACAAAAAGGGACTTGCTCCAGGATAGATGTAGTAGTATTTGATGTAATCCATCTCTGATGTGCTAGTTATATGAAACACATGCATATCAGCTGGGAACTTTAGCAGTCATTGTATGGGCAGGCTTAAAGGGAAGGTAAAAAGTGGAAGGTAAAAAAGAACTTTTTGCTTGTTCTGGGGGGACAAAAAAATCTTGCTTCAAATGGGATATTTGTGGTCTAGCAGGAAGCAGTAGCTCCAGGCTATCCCACTGTGATACCATTGGAAATGAGCTCTTTGAGCAGTGACTTTGGGTCAGCAGGTGGCTGAGAGACAAATGGTGATTTCCTAAAAAGAATGGTTGCAACAGTAGATCAAAGCACAACCTTCGCATGCATGTAAAGGCTTCTGGCTGTGCATTCATCTTTCAGGGCATATTGGCAAGCATCAGTTACCACCAAAAATAATAACTGTCATCAAATTTTGTAAAAAGTACAATCTAGGCCATGTATGCCACCTTTTTTTGTTTATGAGACAGGGTCTCACACTGTCACCCAGGCTGGAGTGCAGTGGCGCAATCTTGGCTCACTGCAACCTCCACTCCCCGGGCTCAAGTGATTCTACAGCCACAGCCTCCTGAGTAGCTGGGATTACAGGTGTGCGCCACCATGCCCAGCTAATTTTTTGTATTTTATTTGTAGAGACAGGGTTTCGCCATGTTGCCCAGGCTGGTCTCAAACTGCTGAGCTCAAAGTGATCCGCCTGCCTTGGCCTCCCAAAGTACTGGGATTACAGGCGTGAGCCACCTTGTCCAGCCCCATTACTTTCTTTTTAAGTAAATACCATGTTCTTTATAATCTCTGTCTTGTGCATACCAATTCTTAGCTTCAATTATATATTTTTACCTGTGTTAATGATACCTTTAGAGTGGAAATCTAGTGTATCCGTTGAAATTCATTGAGCACTGAGTGAAGTGCTGTAAGAGTTGAGGTGTGGATACTTTCAAGAAGCATATGACCTATTAGGAGAATTAAGACCTGCAAATAAATAACAATAAAACACAGTAGAAAACAGTTATTGCCTGAATGGAGACATGGAACTTGGATCATTTTGAGGTGAGAGAAACTGTTTCTGGACGTGGTATTGGGAGTTCATGAATAGTCTAGACGTGGAAGACATTTGATCTGCCCTTATTTTATTGAACCAACAAAACATTAATCTGCTCTGCCCTCATCTCTGCCAGACCCTTATCACTCACCATCCCTCAGAGGCATGCAGCCTTATCACCCACCCCACCTTGTCAATGACACCTACGTACCACCTACACATACTTCTAGAGGGATACTTCCAAAACATTTCTGTGCTAGAACCCAAAAACATAACCAATTATTCATAAACTTTTTCATTCCAGTCTGGCCCACTTACCTACTGTTTACATTTCTCCCAGGGAGATACTAGTACTCTCTTTTTTCTGTCTTTACCCTTTTCCTCTGGCTGGAGTAGTGTCTTGCTTAATGGAAAAAAGGGTACATGTTTGGTGAACAACTCTTTTGGAGTGTGAAGTGTATATAGATAGTCTCATTCAGGTAAGGATGTCTATTCAACCCCTGGGTAAACCATTTAATTCTCAATCAGTTTATTAAATTTTAGCCAATTATAATAAAAAACAGTGTCGTGATAATATTGCCCTCATTGTCATGTAGCTCTCATTAATCCCCTTTATTAGTTATTCTTGAAATATTCATTTGATATTATGGCAGTGATTATCTAGATCTAATGTTTAAAAGTCTTAGTGAAGATAACGAAATAATCCTGTAAAAATATTGTTAACTGAAATAGGATCTGCACTTGGTCTGAGCCATGTTCAAGGTAATCCAGTGCAGATGCTCCTTGACTTGTGATGAGGCCACATCCCAGTAACCCATCATAAGTGGAAAAAATTGTTACGTACAAAATGCTTTGGCTGGGTGTGGTGGCTCACACTTGTAATCCCAGCACTTTGGGAAGCCGAGGCAGGAGGATTGCTTGAGCCAGGAGTTTGAGACCAGCCTGGGCAACATGGCGAGACCCTGTTTCTACAAAAAATTTTTAAAAAAATTAGCCAGGCATGGTGGTGTGTGCCTGTAATCCTAGCTACTCAGTAGGCTGATGTAGGAGGCTCGCTTGAGCCCAGAAGGTTGAGGCTGCAGTGAGCCGTGATCATGCCACTGCACTCCAGCCTAGGCAACAGAGTGAGACTCTGTCTCCAAAAAAAGGCTTTACTACACCCAACTTACCACACATCATAGCTTTAGCCTAGCCTCCTTTAAACATGCTCAGAACACTTATGTTAGCCTATAGTTGGGCAAAATCATATAACAAAGCCTATTTTATAGTAAGGTGTTGAATATCTCATGTAATTTATTGAATACTGTAGTGAAAGTGAAAACCAGAATGATTTTATGGGTATTCAAAGTATGGTTTCTCATGAACGCATATGGCTTTCATGCCATTATAAAGTCAAAAAATCGAAGTCAAACCATTGTAAGTCGGGACCATCTATTCTCTCACTGATATCACGGAATATTTTGTGAGAATATATGTTAATTTCTGGTAGCTTTAAAAGATTATGCTAATGTCCTACTTTCTTGTTAAATTCATATATATTCACAAATTTATAAAAAATGTTTGTGAAACTATATTTTGTTAGACTACTATTTAGTTCAAGAAGTCTTTATTATCCCAGGATGATAGATCACTATTTAAAATGGGAATCAAAATTTCATAGTAAATAAAAGTTTATTTTGGGACTTTAAGTGGATAAAATGAAACTAAAATTATGAAAATAAGTTTATAGTTAACACAAGTTAGGTTATAGTAGTAACTAATATGCTATTTCAAGAAAGAATGAAGTGTTAACCTTTTTGGGAGGAGGAACAGTTTTTACAGTAAAATTGTAGGCTAGGCCAATGAATAGCTTCTATAGTAAAGAGGGTCATTAAGAAATATACAAAAAGCTTTGTCAGTTTTCTCTTCTTCTTCTTCTTCTTTTTTTATTCCTGTCTATGTGTCTTCTTTTTCAGGCTGTGTGTGTGTGACAGGGTCTTGCTTTGTATCCCAGGGTAGAGTACAGTAGCATGGTCATGGCTCAGTGCAGCCTTGAACTCCTGGGCTCAAGCAGTCTTCCTGTCTCAGCCTCCCAAAGTAGCTGGGACTACAGGTGCGCACCACCACTCCCAGCTAATTTTTTCATTTTTTGTAGAGGCAAGGTCTCGCTATGTTGCTCAGGCTGGTCTCAAACTCCTGGGATCAAGAGATCCTCCTGCCTCAGCCTCCCAAAATGCTGCGATTACAGGCATGAGCCACCAAGCCTTGCCTTTTCGAGGTTTTTATTTTCTAGTTGTTAGCAGATACAATTCTATCAGACAATTTATCAGTGTCTTTGCCTGTGATTCTCTCTGAAAGACTTTGACACCCTGACTTGGGGATATAGACTCCTATTAAAAAGGAAGAATGTTTGAGTAATGAAAAATTTTGTCTGAGCTTACTTCATTAGTTAATTTTTTCTTGTTTTGATGACTTCTGTTTGTTGACCCTTCATAAATTTGGAGTCTGTGATAATGAGTTCTTTAAGATAACCCTAAATGATGGTATTATAAGTTTGGCTATTAAGTTCCTGCAGAGAAATTTTATCTAGTAAACACCTGACCAACCAGAAGTCTCCATTGTATTCGTTCTGCTCATTGTAATAGTTCTGCTCATTATTTGGATTTTCTGAGAAGGGAAAAAATGACCATAGATCATAAAGATACTAGAGATTATTTAGTTAAAAGGTACTTTTCAGACTATGTATAAATTATAAATTTAGTCCAGTTCTTCTACCCTTTCTATGACTCCCATCTTCTACAGTGAGATTTGATGTTCAGATGATAATGTATCACTGTTGTTTTGTCAAGACAAGTACAAGTGTCTGCTGTCCTCAATTTATTAAATAACCCAAGAGCGCTGATTTAGATTATATAGCTTTGGACCAGCAAGAATTCAAAATATTGTCTGTCCAGCCTTTACTTTAGGAAAACCTATTGTCTAGAATTTATTTTTGACATACATTTGGACCTTCTTTTTGCTTCTTTAGACTTTTCCATCTTTCCTTAAATGTAAGGTGATGGAGTGAGGGGAGAGCCTCTCTGCTTGTCACTGGGCCTCTGTGCATGGCAAGGAGGCTGACTCCAGGGAGCTATACACTAGTCTACATTTAAGATGAAACTTAGGTTGTGTCTCTGCTTTTATATAAAATAAAATTACTTGCATTTCGTATTCTGCTGAATGTTTTCTATAGAGAACTATTTTCCTCTTGGAATGGACATATTCTTCTTAATTATTAGAAAACATTTAATTGATCATCTGTTCTGTCTTCTAATTTATTTTATTCTTCTGTTTACCCAGACACTGGAAAGCTCTATACTGATCTCTGGATCAGGAGTACTCTGGTCTCTTATTTTATATAATGGTACAAAACCAGAGTTCGTAATCTGGAGTCCTTAAATTCAAGAGCCTGATTTCTGTGTGAAAGAGGCCTTGAAACAAAAAGTCCAACCCTTGATTAAACAAATAATTTGATTAACTGAGCTTGAGCATTCTGGCTAGTCATGATTTTACCACACTTCCTTTTCATGTTCAACATGGACCTCCTTCAGACTTCAGGGATTCTTCTAGGATTTGGTGATCATTTTGCATCTTCTGTGATTTAATAAATTTCTACTGTGCTTTTACCTGTTCTTCATCTCTAAAGATTGGAGGGTCCTCATCTTTCTTGGTGTATGTAACAGTAGCACTAGCATTCAAACTCCCTCAGCCACATTGTCTGTCTATTGATGTCCCTTCTTCAATAAGAGCAACCAGACTCAAATATGGTACCCCCGTGGTTTTGATCAAGGATGGGTTGATTTTTCTTTATCAGTTTATCTGTGTAAAGGTCCATTTGGGGTGGGGGGCTCTTTGGCTATACAAAAATGTCAGGTTTGTGATTTCACAAAGTAGGTTACAGCTATTCCTGGATTTCCTTTCTAAGCCCACAGTTCTTTAAAAATAGAGTTACAATAGAGTTTCTGCTCATCTTTAGATTTTTCTCTTTTCATCAGTTATCTTTGAATCTCCTTTGCTCCTGTGATCTTTCTTCTTAAGAATTGTTCTCTTTAGCAAATCGCTCTTGATTTTTAGGTGTGTTAACTTGCCTTACTGGTAAGTTTAGAAGTAGGACAGTTTTTGGGTTGTTTTTACTTAACATCCTTTTTCCACCCTGCCATTTTGTCCTCACTCAGTGGGGTTTCTATATATCTGCACATAACTTTGTCAGAGTTGATCCTGCATTCAGCTAAACCCCCTCAGTGGTAACTGATGACAAGATGGGTCAGCATGCACATAAGCAGTTATCACATAGAAGTATGGACTCGGGAAGAGTCCTTCTGAATAATCCAGTATAACTCAGCCCCAGTATACAGATGATGGACCTCAGGCTCAAAGTTGCATAGCGTGTATGTGAATAATTGCAACTAAAATGCTGACCCAGGATCTTTGTTGAGTTTTTCTTCCACCCATACTATGCCGCCTTGCCGTTCAGCTAAATGGTAGCATAGTTATACCTGAACCTGGGTACTGTGACTCACTTTCCAAAACTCACTGTATTGTATACTATGCCACCTTTGTGCCTGTGTTCTACTCAGACTATGAGGTTGAATATGACCCTCCATTCATGCACCCTGAGAAAGTTATCCTTTCTAGACTTGATTTCTTCATTTGTAAACTGGAGCCCAGCCTTGATAAAGAATCCTAGCCTAGACAAAGAATCCACGGGGATTATTTCAACTAGATGGCAGTGATTTTTGTGCTCATTTCAGTGGGCTGTGCTACCACCCTTTGAAAATGCCTTACTGAATGCTTTTTGTAAGGCATTTTGTAATGCCTTGCAAAATGCTTTCCTACTTTGTGTACCTCTGAGAAGAGAAGCCTGTGTAATTGGAATGTGCCTTCCTTCTCCCCTCATCTGATAATTTAGTTGACAGTTTTCATCATAAAGTGCAGGGCAGGCCAGGAACCTTCAAAGTACTTAGAAAAACAAAATTATAGGATGTACCCAGTAATAATGAAGAGTGCCCATTTTGCTTGAATTTAGGGAATTAACTCCACTTTCTGCCTGTTCCCATTCATTGCAATCTTAGTGCTCAAGTGTTTACCTCAACTTTTAATACTATGACTGGCATAAAGTAGAAAAGCCTTTATTTCCTAAAAACAGCTGCTCCAATGAGGTTGTTTGGGCACTACATTCTAGGTAATTTTGTGTGCTGCTTTTTGATGATTCATTTATCTTCTCTAACCATTGTTAAGTGGAGTCAATACAGATTCGAATAATGTATGTATAACAAAGCAGCCAAGTTCCATGAGGTTTAGGCTCATAATCAATACAATTTTAATGAAAAGAAATAATAGATTATTAGACTTGAAAAAGGCAATAGGATTTTTGGGAGATGGAGGCATTTATTTGTTTCTTTTACTGATGAAAAGTTAAGTGGCTTGCCTAAAGTTGCATGGTGTACTGTTAGTTGATTAAAAGACCGAGTCCAGAATCTAGGTCTCCCTAGTTAGTCCTGGTCCACTGTTCCTTCTACTAAAACCATCCTGATGCAGCCATTCTGAAGAGGGTTTATTCATTAGCAAAGTGAAACTGCCACAAGTTGGTAATAAATAATAGTACGATGTTTTTTCATTTGCATTTCCAGTACCAAGAATTCACAAAGCATCATAGTTTATGGACGCTCTTAATGATTTTATTTTTATTTAGGTATTTGTGTGCATGTACTTGTGTGTGTTCTTGACCCTGAGCACTGTCAGTGTTCTGTATCCTCCATCATTTCTAATCACATACTGTAGAAGACACCTAGGGACAGAGGTGAATAGGGAGAAGAGAAAATTCAGTTTATCGTACTGCCTGATAAGCGGTGCTTGAGGAAATTGACAGTGCTGTAAGAAAACTGAGAGGCAAAGTGCCTATTGTTTGCCCTCCCGTTGCTGTGGCTGAAGTGAGGAAGAGTTACGCATGTATGGGCAGAGATTTCCTTATGGCCACAGGTGAAGCATTCATGTAGGAAGAATGTATTGATCACCTCTCCTTGTGTCAGGTACAGTCCTGGTGTATATTGTTGAACAGAAGAATTGAGTCCTGTCCTCCATGAGCTCTTGATTTAGCAGGGATGGCTGCATAGATTGCATACCACTAAGCAAACAAATATATCAAGAAAAATGGTAAGAAGTTCTGTGAAAGAAAAGTCCAGAACTGTGATAAGGAATAATGGGGATGGAGGCCTACTTGCTTTTGTGGTCTGGGAAAGGCTCTAGAGGAGTGATATTTAAACTAAAACCTGAAGGAGCAAGCCCTGTCAAGAGCCTATGTAGTAGACTGAGCATTGTAGGCAGAGGGAGCAAGTCTGAAGGCCATTAAGGTGGAAAAATGAAGTTTGGGGCTATTTTGGGAACTGAAAGATGGAGGTGAGGGAGAGGGACATGAGATGGGGATGGAAAGGCAGGCACAGACCAGGTCATGAGTAATCAGTAGACTTGTCTCTTGTTAAATTAGTCCCTTGTTAGATCATTTGTTTCTTATTTGAGATCTGTGTGTTATTCTGTTTCTTAGAGATAGATGGATTTTAGTTTGATTACCCCAACCTTGAGTAACTCAGAGGGGATATTAGAGAAGCATGTTCTCGATCTTGCTTCTTTAGGAAACTGCCGGTGTTCCTGTGCTTCAGCAGCTGCAGCTACCTTAGCATTCTAACAGTCACAGAACACCACTGTTCTGGCTCACCCCCAACTTGCAGAACACCTGGACCTTTGTCCCCTCCCAATGCTCTAAGCTACTTTGGGATGTCCCCGATTGCATCTCAGACATTCCCCCACTGCCAGGTGACATCCACTGTCATGCTCTTTTCCCTGTAAGTACCCAGTTCCCTGTTGACTGCCTTGGTGTGATCCAGGTAATTCGCTGCTTATGCCACAGTTGGCCTTTCCTACTGCTGGTTCTTGTCTTCTCATAGGCAGTATCTCTCTTGGTCCTAATCTGTGTTCCAGTGTTCTCCAACAGCTTTCTGGCTAAAGTAGAATACTTCATTTATGTAACCAGTTCACAAGGGAGTGTTGACTCCGTGTTCCCAGTTTGTTATGGATACTCGGGTGCTACAAAGCCCTTGCTTTTATGTCATTCCCTTTTCTTTAAACTCAGTTTGAGTTGGGGGTTGGGAAAGGGGGCTGGGATAGAAAATAATCTGAGGAAACATTCCTGGGTCTGCATTTAGAATCTTCCCTCTCCCTTTGGAATCCATTCAGCCTTTTTCCTCCTGCGTGCCTTGGTTAGAGAGCCTTTCTTCTAGAGGGCATATCAAGTAGGCTTCCGTGCCCCTATCTCCACACTCCATTTTCCTCCTTCTCACACTGAAAGATGTGTCTAATCCTGAGGGTCACACAGCTCTCAAGCTAGGATTCTGGCCCTTACCCAAAAGCTTGTGGCTACATGTGTTTTAGACTTCATAATTTTTGGATTTTAGAATGGACGTGTGGCATGTTATAATGCACAGCACTCAGTAATCAAGTAGTATTTCTATAGCACAACATATGAATGTTCATATTAGATTGGATAAACAAAGACTTTATGTAGTCTCCTGTCAGTTCAGGTGTTACCTCTCAGTGAATTTGCCCCAAACTTAGAAAAAGCTTTCAGTTTTTAGACTGTGTTTTGGATTTTGGACTTGCAGATGAGGGATTATGAACCTGTATCCTGGTACATACATGCAAAAACATGGTAGTTAGGATTTCCCGGGTAAATCTAAAGGTATAATAAAAACTAATTTAAATAGAAATATTATTTTCATCACTCCCCTGCCAATTAATCTATTAGAGTTAATATGACTTCTGTCCTTCCTCCATAACCACGGAGATTATCATGAATGAAGTTGATGGTATGGAAGAGGGTCTATTGGTTCAGCATAAGTTCTCCATCCCAGAACAGCTACACCATCTGGGATGGACAGATGGACATGCCACAGGGAGGACAGCAGGAACCTACAGCAGCTGCTGTTCAGAGAGAAGATTAGACACTCTCAGAATTCCCTGCAACTTGGCTGTGACTTGAATTGTGGATGCTTGGCGCATGACCTCTGCTCCCTGAGGTGACTCATGCAGCCTGAGGAATAAAATGTTTTTTTAGGCCAAAGTTTCAGGCCATCCTTAAAAACATCAGCTACTACAGATGCCGGCTGCATAGAGGTTCTTCTGCACACTGACAGTTTTGATTCCTTATGGCCCTTTTAATCTCTTTCCTTCCTTGTATAGAGTGTTATAGTTCAGATGACAATGGAGGCATATGTTGTATCTATAAGTGTGTTTTTATACATACACGTAGTAAAAGAAGTATAAGAAAATTTTTATACATACACATAGTAAAAGGAGTATAAGAAAATATAAGCAGGAAGTCAAGTTTGTGCTGATCAAGTAAACCCTTTCTTCGATTTTCTTATTCTTGATCCTTTCAACAAGAAAACGTGTTATTTAATATTCCATTCTTGTACTTCTTATGCAGAAGTACTCAAAGCAGAAGGTGAAATTGGGATGTTTTCAGTGTTCTTGGAATTCTTTGAATAGTAGCTTGAAAGTTTTCATTTTAGTCTCTTCACCATTGTTTACATTCTAGAAAATGAAGAAGTCAAAGAAACGACTTTACGAGAGCTTAAAATGCTTCGGACTCTCAAGCAGGAAAACATTGTGGAGTTGAAGGAAGCATTTCGTCGGAGGGGAAAGTTGTACTTGGTGTTTGAGTATGTTGAAAAAGTAAGTCATTAATTGCCAATGTGCACATTTGCCCGATTCTTTTATTTAAGGCTGTTTCTGACATTATTTAAGAAAGTACTGTTATCTAATATGGCTTATCAATGTACTCATAATCTGAGGACTTTAAAAATGAAAGTGTTGTTAATAATCATTAGAAATTCTGAAATATATTTAAGAATTTTGTACAATTAAACTGTATAGAGATAATCGTAAGTTTAAACAATATACTGATTTGGCTTCTGAAGTCTTAAACTCTATGTTCAACAAGTAATTTTTAGACTTGACTTAACTAAGCCTAAACTGAGGGAGAAACTGGTAAACTGACAGTGATGGTACAGGCTGGAAGAGGCTGTATAAGATACCACACTGAATCAGACCTAGGCTGGGGAATGAGTGGGCCCAGGAAGCAGCTTATGTGAACTGCCAATGCTTTGGCTTTATTTGAGGGAAGGAGCTGTGCCAGGAGGCCTAAGGTGAGGCTTGAGGTGGTAGATGAGACCGTAAAAGAAAAGCATGCATTGTTTGAGCTGTCTACACTTGCCTTAGCTTGTATTAAAAAATGTTCAACTTGTTGGAGACAATTTTAATAACATGACCTAAGGGCAAATGTATGTTACAGTAATCAATAATGTGTGCCTAGAAATTTCTTGGAGAGGGGCCTGGTGCAGTGGCTCACACCTGTAATCCCAGCACTTTGGGAGGCTGAGGCAGGCGGATCGCTTGAGCCTCAGGAGTTTGAGAATAGCCTGAGCAACATAGTGAGACCCTGTCTCTAAAGAAAAAGAAAAAGAGAAATTTCTTGGAGAGCAGCTGACCTACAGCAGTTGTTATGGTCAAAAACTTAAACAGATAAACACTTTAACAGTAGTAGAAGAAACTGGAGTGGGGCAAACCTTTAAGCAAGTTTTCTTGATGAGTAAATAGGTGGCTCCTGCCGATTCCTATGCTGTTGTCCAAAGAAGGTTGAAGTGGGAGAAGTTTATGTTTGCTGCAGGTCTATACCCAGGTGCTTGCTATACCATAAATGACAGAGTATCAACATTGTCATAACCAAATGGAAAGCAGTATTGCCAGGGTAACTGACCAGTAATGTGGCTTTGAATGCATTCAGCCTTTACAAATTGTTTTTTGAAATAAAAAAAAAAAATACATGTAATAATTTCCTTACTAGAAAAACTGGAACGGTACTAGCAGGTTGTTTGTAATCTTAAACCACTGCTTTATGTTCCTTTTCCAGAATCTGTTTTAAGTTTCTTTTTCTGTGTCAACTTATACATTCCTCTAAGGTACCTTCCACACCAAAATAAAACTAAAAGTTTTTTTTTTTTTTTTAAAGTTCTATTAAAAAAAAAGGATTGCTGTATTAGGATTCCAGGGGAAACCAGATGCTCTTTATTTTTTAAAAACTTTTTAGAGATGGTGTCTCACTATGTTGCCTAGGCTGGAGTGTAGTGGCTATTCACAGGTATGATTATAGCACACTGCAGCCTCAAACTCCTGGGCTCAAGCAAATCTTTCACATCAGCCTCCTGAGTCGCTAGGACTACAGGTGCGCGCCACCATGCCTGGCTGCTTTTTATTTTTTCATTATCATAAATAATCATGCAGTTTGTAGTTTTCACTACCAAATAAGAAAATTTTGACATCTCTTAGTTTATCCTTTTTATTTTTGTTCTATTCATGGTGGTTGTTCATTATTAATAATAATTTAATATAACAAATGGAGAAGTCACTTCTGTGTATCTGTTTCCTCACTGGGAGAGGCAATTTTGTGTGTCTGAGATCTCCCTGCTGGTAAATGGCTGAGCTGCTACTAGAACTCCAGTCTTCTGACAGTCAGGCCTGAGATTCTTCCCCCGATCCTGTGGTTCTTAGGTAGAATGTGACTGTCACACCTGCCACATTAGTGGCAGTGCGTCATAATTGACAGTGAGTCTCAGGAGAGCAAGGAGAAAGTTCTCTAAGGGATAAGGGACTGGTAACAGAGACCCAGGATTGCAGAGGCTTAAAATAGAAGTTTCTTTCACCCTCACATATAAATACAAAGGTAGGGCAGTACAGGACTAGTGTGGCAGCTCTGCTCCACCACAGCGAGGTGTGACCCTTGTCCTCAAGGTCAGGATAGAGTTCCAGCTGTCATATCCCATTGGCCAGGACATAGTTGCATGACCACATTAGCTGCAAGGCAGAAGAGAACTGTACTCTTCGTTCTGGGCAGCACTTGAAAATTGTGTTCCTGCGGAGTAAGGGAAGACTGGATACTGGAGGACAATATGTCTGCCACTGAGGAATTTAGAATAGAATGTGAAACAAGAGATACAATTTGTTTTCTATATTACAAAGCCTTCTTATTCCACCTGTGCATTTGGGACCATCTATGAATTTGTTAATTGAAAAAGAGAATTCAAATGGAGAATCAAAAAATGATGCATACATACTTAAAATGTTTATTTTAATTGGAAACATAAATACTGTATGTATTCATTTACCACGCTATAAAGGTAGGGTCAAGGCCTTTTGCCTATCGCTCTTCTGAAGTTCTGATTGGTCTTTTTTACATACATCATACTCGTAATGCATCTTTAAGGTAAAGCAAATGTGCAAAAACATCTGCAAAGGAATCTCAGTGCAGAATCCTTCAATTGGACATGCTTATCCCCACTAGCACCCATTCCTTGCCAGTGTTTTGTAGTTGTCTCACATTTGATTAGATGGCAATAAGTTTAGTGGCTTTTCATTTATTAAGCCTTTCTAAAGTATTCAACTTTGTTTTCTTATAAACAACAACTCTTTTTTTAAAAAAACATTATTTCATTTGTTTATATGGTATTTAATTATATTAAAATAACAAGTGCATCTTTTATAAATAGGCATGGGAGTAAATACAACTGATTCTTGATAGGTATACAACTTGACTGGTGGGAACAAAACTGTGAGGCCAAATTAGAGCAGTGATTTTCTGACTGGTCTTATGGCCCCTTCACACTCTGAAAATTATTGGGAACCCTAAGAACTTTTTATTTATGTGTATTTTATCTATTAGTGTTTCTCATATTAGTCATGACTGAGCAATATAAAAATATTAGTTCATTTTAAAATAACAATAAACGTATTGCATGTTAACATAGATAAGTTTGTATGTCAGTTATTCTTTCAAGTGAAAAATGGCATTCCACATAAAAAGCAGCTCATTCAGCTTGCATCTCAATCCTCTAAGTGCTTTTCCTCAGGACAACCATTGGACAGATGGTGCATGTGCAGCAGAAGGGCTTTATGTGCAGTCTGCCATTTTATCATGCAGATTCCAAAAAAGACATGTACTCAAGAATTGAAATTTAGTCAAAGTAATATTTTGTACTGCTTCATCAAAGATGTCCTTAACTAAAACGTCTGTTTTCTTTTTTAAAGGCAAGGTTTAATTGGATTAAAGAATCCAATGCCTTGATTCATGCTGAGGTGCCAGCAGTTTACCCATTGTTGCTTTGTACCATTAGTGTAAATGCCAACACAGTGAAAAAGGCAAACATCACAGTCTTATTATGAATATAGTTTTGACTTCATGGGCCCTCCGCAAGATCTGAGACCCCACAGATCCACATGTTACACTTTGAGAACTGCTGTCCTAGATGGTTGCTTACAAACAATAAGCTGTGATTGTACCACGGGCCTTGTACTTTACAGTGAGAAAGGAGAATGGTTAATCTGGAAATTCAGTAGAGACCGGCTAAGTGGAATTTCTACATAATAAAAAATTTTGCATGAATTTTAGTTATAATGGTCTCTGACTCCAAATTAAGGTTTTTGAATATTGAATTGTAGGGGGTCTGTGACTCTTTATTTCAATAGTATTTTCTGGCCTGTTTGAATTTTTGTACTAAATGTATTGATCATTTTTAATTTTGGACATTTTTTTTTCTACTAAGAATATTTCGTGGATCTTCCAGGTGTATTTTCAAGGCTTGATTTTTATCACAAGATTCTGTTGCAGAGATACAGCACACTGTGTTTAAAAAGGCTCTTTCCCCCCTTTATACATTACAGTGTCATATTTCTACTTTGTATTGCTTTTCTCTTCTAATTATTCTAAAATAATGCCTGAAAACCTTTAGGGAGAGTGAAAAGTATACAGGGTTATTATTTGGGGTAGCATTAGGGAATAGTAAAAATGGAATTCCTCATAAAAGAAAGCCCCAATTTTAATGCTGATTCAGCATGAGAAAGTTGTAGATAGAAAGCAAAACAATTAAAAAAAAAAGCTCTGTATTGGATGAATTATTCTAGATGCTTTGTAAAATTGTTAATACATAATTTACGGGCCTACCTAATTTGGGAAATAATGACTCTATTTAATTTTTAGAATATGCTCGAATTGCTGGAAGAAATGCCAAATGGAGTTCCACCTGAGAAAGTAAAAAGCTACATCTATCAGCTAATCAAGGCTATTCACTGGTGCCATAAGAATGATATTGTCCATCGAGGTGAGTATGAGATTTTTAAAATGGAAAATATTAAAACATCAAATAAAGTTAAGAGTATTTCACATGTTACTGTCTTTAAGAATATTTTCATAAGCATTGGCATTGCCATTTAAATTAAATATATTTTGAAAGTGCAAGACATGAGAAATATTTGCTCTCCATATCTCCTTTTCTATCACCAAAAGGATGGATTACAAATTTATTTGGATATTGTGGTGAGATCTTTACATTTGTATAACTATTATAGATCCACTCCCAATTGTAGAAATGCCTAGTGATATAAGAGAACTCAACAAATGTGAACTTTGAAACTTACTTGGGGATAGGAGAAGAGCAAAATGTTGATCTCTATAGCCTTGGTCCTGCAGGTAGACCAGGTAATGTGAAACAACTCTGAATCAGGCTTTATATAGGTGGTTCCTAAGTCACTGGCCCCTATTGGCACTCATGTCTCATTCCTTCTTACACCAACAATCTCCAGTATGTATCTTCACCTCCTAATTTTCTCTACCCCTTAGTGAAAAGTGCCCGTTGTCTGCAGTTGCAGGCATGATCAACCTTGCATAAAGGTCATAATTATACTCCCATAAACTGTTTTGTCCTTTACTGCCATGAAGTGGGTGGTTTATAGCAATGAAAGGGAAATTACTTGCTCAGCATCAACTTTGTCTCTTCTCCTGATAATCTTTCTTGCACTGGAGAGTTTTACAGTAGTGGGACACAAATTGATACAACAATGACCCTAAATATTTATTTAAAAAATTGCAGTATTTACTTTTTGTCTTTAGATTAGCAGATAAAAGAATGCTACATTTTAATTTACCTATACACAAATGCACAAGGATATCACTTTAAAAATATTCTCACTTGTGAGAATAGTTTAAAGGTCATATGAAGAATGCCATCGTCTTTTATTCCTAGAAACAGTTTATATTTCTCTTGCATTTGACTCTCATAGCAGTTACCTTATCAAGATTGTTGGTAGCATGGGTAGATCTCCACGTCAACTGGACATCCAGTGTCTAGGGTAATGATTCTAGTAACAGTCTATACTGTAGTTTGGGGATATTAATGAGGAGCCGAGTTAGGTGCATTTCCATCATGATACTGTGATTTGATTATGTGCATAGTGAATCATTGGTTGCAAATTAATGGTAGAAACCATGATTTGAAATCTACAGATTTCACTACCTCTGCCCTTTCTCCATTTGCATCTCTACCATATGATATAGATCATGGGTATTCTACTCTAAAAATACAATTGCGAGATGCCTCCCAAGGAGAGAATTCAACTGCATTTTCTGTGAATTTCTACTTAACTCCCACCACATCTTCATAACATCCATGGAAAAAATTAGAAATCTTAATTTGACTCATCCAGTATGGCTTCAGCATTAGACATTGATAATTGTGAACCATGCAGAAAAGCTAAAGAGACGTAAATATAGAAATTATGTAGAAGAATGTAACAGAAAGCATGTCTTGTATGTCTTCTCCAGTAAATATAATGCTAGCTACTTATTCTCATGTATTTTTAAAGTATCTTGTGGGTGTAAACATTTTATATTTCTATCTCCAAAAATTTGTATTACTAGTATTTTATGAAGTAATAATAGGTTTTTGAAATGTGTTGGCCTATATTTAATTATTCTTAAAATTCTTTCAGAGATCCAACTAATCCTTTTAATACTTAAAGAGGAAAAAAATATTTTTGAAGTTGTGGTCTGCATGTTTCTGAGAAAGAAATTCATTGAAACTTTTATGTACCAGCATAAAATGTGTTACTTTATTTTTGCTGCCACAGTTTTCTATTCAAATTACTCTAGATATTTCTAATTAGATGCTATTACAGTGATCTAACAGTGTCAATCAGGAGAACATAGAACATTTTTACTAATTTTTTTTTTATCTTGACACTCCAGATATAAAACCAGAAAATCTCTTAATCAGCCACAATGATGTCCTAAAACTGTGTGACTTTGGTAAGTTAAAAAGAAATTAAGTCCTGGTACTTACAGAATTAATTTATTGTAACACATAGGTAGCTTTTAAAGGAATATTAAAAGTAATTGTTATGTTTTGACTTAAATTGGTAGAGGAACATTCTTTTGAGTCACATGTTGAAAAATTGATTGCTGGAGGAGTACTGCTCTCTTCAGAGTATTGTCTATTTTTAAAATTTTATCATGGTTTTTGTTTAATCAGAACTAATTCAAAGCAAATACACCCATATGCCCAATATCTAATGACTTCACAAAAATTTTTTTTGAATGTTGATAGTTGTTCCAGGTTTAATCATGAACACTAAAATATCCCTCTGTAAATACACATAAGTATTTTGTATATGCAATTGTTATATATCTATAAAGTCAAAAGACATTTTTAGAACATTTTCATTTGTTCCCTCTAAATGTTCAATGAATGGGGTTAGTCATGTATAATATTACAGCTTTTGATTGAATGTATAGGGAAATTTTTTTAGTTGTACTCTCTCCTAGTAGAAAATTGTCTGTGTCTCCCATGTAGATAACTCTGTATTAAGCTCTATTAAACATTTAAATTAAAATAATTCAGAAAAAATTTTAGATTGTATGTTAGGGTCATGGGTCACTTTTTAAAATAATAGTTTTGCCTAACCTGTATGCTGAAAAATGAACACTTGATTTTTTAAATGTCTTTTTTCATATATTTAAATATAATCACAAATACAATGTAAACCTCCACATATAACTAAGAATCCATCTCCTTATAAGGAAAAATTAGATTAGATTAGTGCATAGGAGATGAATTACACAAGCAAGAAATAGAGGCATTGTCAAAATTTGCTTCGTAGAATGACCCATTTTGTCCAGTGTAGCAAATGGAAGCATGTGTAGCTCTTGTCACTCAGTATTTTCAAAGATTTTGAATATTATTAACCTGTTTGTCTGAGAAAAAATGTTTTACAGGACTTAATTTTCTTCATATTTTATGATAAGGAATGATATGTAAAAGAGTCTGTGTCCTAAATTTATAAAGAATGTACTTAGGAAAAAGGAAATATTGAATACTGGATCTGAAAGATTTTAATTGTGGCATTTTTAGCATTTTGTTAGCATTATGATTTTCAGGAACAACATCTGTTTCTGATTTCCTGTCCGTGATTGTGATTACTACCCAAAACAGAGACTTAAGTTACTGAAAATATAAAGCAAGTTATAAATATAAAAGAATGCCCATAGAATGGTTAGTAGTAGGAAGAGTACTCCTGGTCTGGCATTTCTCAGAGAAAAGACTGTTGTAAATGGTCAGGAAGTTCCTCCTGGCAGCACCACATGCGGTATCCTGTGTCCTGTGTATCCCTAGCAAGGACTTCCTAATTGCTTCCCCTCCCAGAGTACGCACTCCTTGGTCTGACTTGAAGAACCCCATTCAAAAATACAAATATTTCTTCAAAGCGTGTCTTATGAAGAAACATTGATTATCTGAAGTTAGGGGTTTTGTTTTACGCTGGGATTGTTTTTATTTTTTACCGTTTCATTTTAAGAAACAGTATTTTCCATGTCTCAAAACTGACGTACACCTTGATTTTTACTCTTAATTTTAATGTTCTGATTCTCTATAACTATTCACAGTGAACCTATGTTGTGTTTGGTGAGTTAGATGGGTGATTAACTTATCCTCCTGCCTTATTTTGTGGCTATGCAGTAGCCCTAAAACCTTTTCAAAGGGTGGGGGTAAAAGTAGTGGTAGAGTCTGTAATTGGTAACTAAGATACCCCTAATATTCTCAGTCATTAGGAGATGATAGTAATTTTGGCCTGCTTTGTTTCCATCACTGTTTATGTAAAGGCTAGAATTGCTCAGCAACAGTACATATGCAAATACTGTGTAAGTGCCACATAGCAAAATTAATGACCGTCTACAATATGCTAGTTTGACTTTGATTTTGATTTCTAGCTTTTGTGGGGACTTTATTTCATTTTTTTCCTAAGGTTTGCATTTATTGGGAGAGCTGATTTAAAAGTATGCTCTGAATAATTATAAAAGCATGGGATGACTTCGAAAACCCGGTTTTCTTTAGCATAGTGAAGAGACTGGTTTTGTAGTGAATACATTGTATGTCTTTCAATTGACATGGAACACTCTACTAACTTTTTAAGATAACAAGGATATTATTAATAAATAGCCCATGCGAGAACAGTCATTACATTCTTTTGATGTTGTTTAAAGTATTACTAGCGCTGAAATATTTTGCCCACATGAATTATTATTTCTTTTTCAAAGTTACAACTTTGGACTTTGCTATCTTTCAGGTTTTGCTCGTAATCTGTCAGAAGGCAATAATGCTAATTACACAGAGTACGTTGCCACCAGATGGTATCGGTCCCCAGAACTCTTACTTGGGTGAGTTACCGTCCCAAAATAGAATGACATTTCCACATCTGCTGATTCTATTGTCATTTGCTTTGAGTTCATCTATGGAAAATAAGAACTTCAGTTAATTAAATGTGTCAGTTACATATTGCAGTATAACAAACTACCTAAAACTTAATGGTATGAAACAAGCACCTTTTTGTTTGCTCAGAATTCTGGGTGTGGGGGAATCACCAGTTTGAGTTCAGCTGGATGGTTCTTCTACTGGTCTCTCTTGGAGTCACTCACGAAGTTATAGTCAGCTGGTAGGTCTTCTGGGAGCTGGTTAGTTTAGGGGTCTCAGCTGGATCAGACCATCTCTGATCCCTGGAAACTTATCCTCCAGTAAGCTATTCCAAGTTTCTAAGTGTGATAGTTGGAGAATTCTGTGCTATTAAGAGGGTAAGCCCCAAAGCAACAGCAGCTTTCAAGCCTTTTTTTGTATGGCTTTTGCCTCGTTGGCCAAAGCATGTTACATGACCAACCCCTGATTCATGGTATGGAGAAATAAATTCCATCTCTTGATGGGGCAAGTGGCAGAGCCATATTATAAAATGGTATATGTATGGAAATGGAAGAAATTAATTGTAGCCATCTTTGCTAATAAACTTCCACATTAAGAATGTGAATATCCACACAGTTTGACATTCTGGCTTATCTATTTGTTCATTTATTAATTCTTCAAGTACTTATCAAGTATCTC
The DNA here is from genome assembly GCF_000001405.40 of Homo sapiens. Taxonomy (NCBI): domain Eukaryota; kingdom Metazoa; phylum Chordata; class Mammalia; order Primates; family Hominidae; genus Homo; species Homo sapiens. The sequence goes on from NC_000023.11 coordinate 18,585,066, forward strand.
TTATGTCCAACCACTTTGCCAGGCACATAGAGTAAATATTGAACCAGACTGAGCACAGTGGCTCACGCCTGTAATCCCAGCACTTTGGGAGGCCAAAGCCAGCAGATCGCTTGAGCTCAGGAGTTCAAGACCAGCCCGGGCAACATGGTGAAACCCCGTCTCTACAAAAAAATACAAAAATTAGCCAGGCATGGTGATACCTGCCTGTAGTCCCATCTACTTGGGAGGCTAAGGCAGGAGAGTCACTTGAGTCCAGGAGGCAGAGGTCGCAGTGGGCTGATATCCCACCACTGCACTCCAACCTGGGCGTCAGAGCAAGACTCCATCACACACACACAAAAAAACCCCAAAAAACAAAAAAATGGACCAATTGCCATTTTTGTTCTGAACAGTGTAAATCCTGTTTGATGATAAATGGCTATTCAAACTAGCACTGCATTGATGATTTTCTCAGTAACATCTCTACATTGATCTACTTTGTGGCCACCCTTTAACTTTCAATGCTCTTTCATTCATCTGTTAACACCAGAAAAAGGTCTTCTGATAAGGTTCTTTTCTTTTTAGTACATTTTAACTTTAAAGCCTAAGAAGGAGCCTGTAGTTCTCATTAATAATTCTCTACCTACCCTAGTTGTAGGATTATTTTCCTTAGATTGTATTTCCTTCTTTGGGACCACCCAAAAACAGATAATTTATACTCCACAAATAAAATTAGATATAGTGATAATGATGACAAGTGCGCAAATTGTAGGTCTCATTTCTTTAATTTAGCATGCCATACGTGTATCTGGGGGACATGAGGAATTTAATTTTTAAAAATGTTTTTTATATAATAGCAATATAAGTTTCTGGATTTTTTTTCTGAAGAGCATGATGACGACATGTTTAAGTTACTCACTGAGGGTTTATTTTGATATTAACTACTTATTTTCCAGTGTCTACCAACCGTCTAGTAGTAATTCTTGATTCATTGCTGACCTAAAGCCTGTAAGAATCATTGACATTAGTTTTTGAAAGCTTTACTATTTTTTTTAAATCAAAAGCTTGCTTTATCCTGAAAAACAAAGATGCTTAGTCACTTTATTATCTCTTCCATTGTGTAGGCAGAGTTTAGAGTTTTTATGCTAATTTTTAATCTTAGAATTAGGATTGATTTTCTTTGTGTTTGTCTATATTTCTTCCGTGTACCTTTTGGACTCATTGGGATGCATAGTCCATTTTCTTTTGGGAGAATTGAATTTACTGGACACTTTACCAATGGAGAAATGAGTATGAAGTAGATCATTCTTAGAACCCCATCTGAGGACTCAAGTGTAGTAGAAGGGCTTGTTATAATATGGTGGTGTCTGTAACATGGCCCCAAAAAGTTTATTTTGAGGACAGCCTTATTGTGAATCTTCAGAGAGTATCTGCTGCTTAATAATACCTGTAGAAAAACTGGAGTTATGTTTAGAGATGTGTGCTAGCTGCTAAAAGTATGGGGACAATGTAACTAAATTAGTGCTGAAATGAATATTGCTAATTAAGTGATTGTCAAGTACTAGTTGAAGAGCCATATTTGTAAAAATCCTTTTGAAATCAGGTATTTGGTTATACATTAAGAATTTAAGTTTTATATATTCTCAAGGCTTTGTCCTTGACATTCAGAATCATTCCAGCTGCATAAATTATTCAAATCAGATGACAGAAGAAAAATAGCTTGTAGTGAGTATGTGAAAATTTTCCATAAGTTTCTCCATCTAGCACTATGGAACAAATTTTCTCTTTCTCAAACAGATACGAAAGAAAGATCAGTATCTTGCCCTGCCCAACAAACTTACCAAAAAGATCTAAATGAAGTTTCCTTGTGTAGTTCTTAGGTTGATATGGGAAGGAAATGAGATAAATGAAATATTGACTTATTATTGCAATGATTTGTTATCCTAGAAATTTGTTCTGTATAATGTTAACAGTCCTTTGATTTAAAAGTTTTGTTTCACTACTGTATCATTTTAGCATTCCAAAATTTCTTTCCATATTCTTTTTCAGATATTTTCTTTTGGCTTTCCCTTCTTAAAGCTTGGATTATTTATGTTGGAAATGTGTGTGAGCGTGCACGCGTGTGTGTGTGGTTTCTTAATTTGCTGTAAATTTAACACTCTAGATATAAAGCTGTTTTGAGGATACCTAGATTTTCATATACAACCTCCATTTATTAATAACAGCAACACTCCTAAAGCCCTCTGGTAAACTCACACCCTAGAAGAAGCTATAAACCCCTAAATAAACTGGAAAATGTTTTGAGGGAAATAGCTACCATAAAGCTCTATATACATAGGTTACATATATTATATTCAAATAAATAATATAGTAGATCTTAGCACAATCTTAGTCATCAGAAACTGTGATGCTGAGCGATGGAAGGTTAAATAATATTCAGTGTTAAGGAAACACATAAATCAGTACATAGTAAATTTTAATAGACTGAACTCATAAAATGGATAAGATGTATCTTTTTGACATTTAGAGAGCTAAAGGATAATTATTTGTCTTAGAAAATACAATTATTTGGAAGCATTTCATTCCCCAAGTGAGGTGTTACTTGCCAGATATGTATACTGTATTAGGGTTTATTAAGCCGTTCACATTTAAGATACATATCTATTTATGTGAATAAATTTCAAATTAGTGTATACTAACTAAATTGTTATTAAATTGATGGCTTTATTAGCATAGGTTTATTCACTTGTGTTCTGATGATTTGCTTTTCAGCCTTCTTTTCACATGGAACTTTTTAATTTCATAAATATACAAGTGTGCTGCACATAAATTTGTTCACAATAATTTGGAAATTATCAAAACATTATATTTTTTCAGTTGCCAAAATAATCTCTTCCTTTATTTTTCAGCGCTCCCTATGGAAAGTCCGTGGACATGTGGTCGGTGGGCTGTATTCTTGGGGAGCTTAGCGATGGACAGCCTTTATTTCCTGGAGAAAGTGAAATTGACCAACTTTTTACTATTCAGAAGGTGCTAGGACCACTTCCATCTGAGCAGATGAAGCTTTTCTACAGTAATCCTCGCTTCCATGGGCTCCGGGTAAGAGGTTTTGCTGAAACCCAAAATGGAATCAATACTGCAGTATTTGAGTCATTGTTCATTGCACAATGGAATGCTAAACTATCCTTTGAATACTATTTCTTTTCCCATTACAGTGTTTATAATCCCTATTATAATATTTTATTTCCGAATTTTTTAATAGTACTTGTGGATTTAAAAAGTGGTTAGAATTCAAATTCTAATCTTTTTTCTAATTTTTAAGTTCCAGTTTTTCAAAATCTTTTTTAGTGTATACATTTTTACACACTAAACTTTGGTTATCTTATATTGTTTCTTTATCCAAAATATTAAGCATCCCCCAAATATACCAAATGTATGAATGTTGAACAAACATATTTGTAGTGATTTGAGGAAAGCCCTGAAAACTTGGATTCCCCAGATTTGAAGGTTCTTGTTTTAGTAGATGTTTCTGGTCCACTGACGGTGAAACATCAAATCTTCTTTTCAAATTAGTGTATTGTCTTGGGTCCGTGCATGGTGGCTCACTCCTGTAATCCCAGCACTTTAGGAGGCCAAGTTGGGCAGAACACTTAAGGCCAGGAGTTCGAGACCAGCCTGGCCAACTTTGTGAAACCCCATCTCTACAAAAAAATACAAAAATTAGCCAGGCATGGAGGTGCACACCTGTAGTCCCAGCTACTCGGGAGGCAGAGGCAGGAGAATTGCTTGAACCCAAGAGGCAGAGGTTGCAGTGAGCCGACATCATGCCACTGCACTCCAGCCTGGGTGACAGAGTGAGATTCTGTCTCAAAAAAAAAAACAAAAACAAAAAAAAAACAACAACTAGTGTATTGTCTTGGGCAGCCTTTCCTAGACTTGACAACTTTGTACAAAACTTTTCTGAGAATATGTGAAATAGCGTCTTAGAAAGTATAAACTTTCCCCAAATGAGGAGGAGTCACCTTATTAGAGTGCCCAGTGAGTTATAGGCTACTTCTTCCACCTACCCCAAAAACAACTTTTTAAGTTTTCAGCCAGTTTTTTTTTTTTATTATACTTTAAGTTCTAGGGTACATGTGCACAACATGCAAGTTTGTTACATATGTATACATGTGCCATGTTGGTGTGCTGCACCCATTAACTTGTCATTTACATTAGGTATATCTCCTAATGCTATTTTCCCCCCTCCCCCAACCCCATGACAGGCCCCAGTGTGTGATGTTCCCCATCCTGTGTCCAAGTGTTCTCATTGTTCATTTCCCACCTATGAGTGAGAACATGCAGTATTTGGTTTTCTGTCCTTGGGATAGTTTGCTGAGAATGATGGTTTCCAGCTTTATCCATGTCCCTACAAAGGACATGAACTCATCCTTTTTTATGGCTGCATAGTATTCCATGGTGTATATGTGCCACATTTTTTTAATCCAGTCTATCATTGATGGACATTTGGGTTGGGTCCAAGTCTTTGCTATTGTGAATAGTGCCGCAGTAAACATATGTGTGCATGTGTCTTTATAGCAGCATGATTTATAATCCTTTATATACCTGGTAATGGGATGGCTGGGTCAAATGGTATTTCTAGTTCTAGATCCTTGAGGAATCACCACACTGACTTCCACAATGGTTGAACTAGTTTACAGTCCCACCAACAGTGTAAAAGTGTTCCTATTTCTCCACATCCTCTCCAGCACCTGTTGTTTCCTGACTTTTTAATGATCACCATTCTAACTGGTGTGAGATGGTATCTCATTGTGGTTTTGATTTCCATTTCTCTGATGGCCAGTGATGATGAGCATTTTTTCATGTGTCTGTTGGCTGCATAAATGTCTTCTTTTGAGAAGTGTCTGTTCATATCCTTCACCCACTTTTTGATGGAGTAGTTTGATTTTTTCTTGTAAATTTGTTTAAGTTCTTTGTAGATTCTGGATATTAGCCCTTTGTCAGATGGGTAGATTGCAAAAATTTTCTCCCATTCTGTAGGTTGCCTGTTCACTCTGATGGTATTTTCTTTTGCTGTGCAGAAGCTCTTTAGTTTAATTAGATCCCATTTGTCAATTTTGGCTTTTGTTGCCATTGCTTTTGGTGTTTTAGTCATGAAGTCCTTGCCCATGCCTGTGTCCTGAATGGTATTGCCTAGGTTTTCTTCTAGGGTTTATGGTTTTAGGTCTAACATTAAGTGTTTAATCCATCTTCAGCCACTTTTTTGGGCCAGCATGGCAATTGCTGGTCATTGTGGGAGCTATAAAATAATCTCCCCACCATTTCTTTCCTTTCTCTGAAATGCGTAGTTCTCAAACCATGTTACCTTGCCATTTACAAAGCACTTTGTTTTTTTCTTTTGATTTTCTGGCCCCCAGTTAATTTCCCTTTAGAGACCACCACTGCTCAAACCTGAGTGCCCAACCGTCCAGATCCTTCTAGGCTCAGTGAATGTGGGCGAAATGAATGGACAGAGGCATGCCAGTATCTTTTTTATCTCCTGCTTTTTGTCTGTCTTTCACATCTGTCTGAGTTACCTCAGGCAAGTTTGTTGTTTCTCCTTTTATTTTTGCTTTTGTAAGCCAGAAATTTGCCAGCTATGACCAGTAATTGGGGTGCCAACAGCATATGTGGTTCAGCAGGTTAGCTCAACATTTTTGAACATTTGTCATACTAGGTGTTGGAAATATGACAATAAATAGGACTTGTCCCCAGTCTAGAAGAAAGAAAAATCTATTATACTCAGAAATAAAGTTAGTCATAATTAATGAATTGCATTTTCACTGAAAATCAATCTAAACTCCTTGCCGTAGCCTATGAGACCTTGCCTGACCTCATCTCGTACCTATCTCCATTCCCCCCATTCTCCAGATTCTCAGCACACTTGCCTTTTTTGTTCTTTGGCTTCCATAAACATTCCAGGGTTTTTCCAGTTTCATCAACTTGGGACCCATGGCTGCTTCTCCTGGCAAGGTGCTTCCCTCGTGTGGTCCCTTCTCATTCTGTCAATCTCAAAGAGTGCCTCTTTCTCTGGCCACCCAACGTACCACCCTCACCTCCATCCTAGTCTTTCTCTCCCACAGCATCCTTTTTCTATCATAGAACTTACCACAGTATGGAATTATTTTGTCTGTTTCTTTACTTGTTAATTGTTAACTATCTAGTCCTCTCACACTGGAATATGTTTCTCAAGGGCAGAAATCAACTGTTTTATCACATCACAGATGTGTTTCCAGCATTTAACACAGTATCTACCATATCCAGTGAGTATTCACTACATATCTGAGAAGTGATTAACCAGTCTGTGGCATCAGCATTGAAACTCAACTGTATTTCTTTTCTCTCCATCTCTCATGCTTCTTTTACCCTTTTACCTTTACCTAACCTTTGACCACCACCCCCAAATAGATCCCCCGATCTTTCTCTTTTCACTTTAGCCTTCTCACATTTCTCAAACCACACAATTCTCTTTTTTGTTTAGAAACCTCTACAAGGTTACTGATAAAGTTTAAACTCTTTAGGGTAGCTTTAAAAACCCCTTCTTAGTTCTCCAGCTTCATTTCTGCCTCCCCGCTAGCCCAGTTTGTGCTCTTTGGCCACATTGAACCTCTCACCATTTCCTTGACATATTGCTTTTATAGTCTGCATTTCCATCTCTATAATGCTCCCAACACTCACCTGTCTTTCTTCTCCTCCTCCTTCCTCCCCTAGACTCAGGCCAAATGTCCTCCCTCCGTGAAGACCTTCTAGACTATTCGAGGGGAAACTGGTGACCCTATAACACTCTGGTTATACCTCTTTTGTAGCACCCATTGCATTCTCCTTTAAGTAGCTGTTTGCAAATATGTATCCTCACTGGACTGAGGAAATGAACTGTTATGTTCACCATTATATTTGCAGCACACCTAGAATAGTGCCTGCTAGGCTGAATAGTGTTGAATGATTAAATATTTGACCTCAGGATTTTAACATTAACTGCTGGAACATTAAGCCTGGTTTGCTGGCTGACTTGTTCTTGGCCTGGTTAATGGGGCTGTATGCCGGATTCTCTGAAGAGAGTATGAACAGATCTGACATGCTGCTTGGCCTTAATAACTTACAAACTAGCTGAAGAATTAAGACTTTCATCCATGAAATAATTAGAAAACAATACAATTTATAAGAAAGCGTGGTATATAATAAAGTACTGCATTGTTTACCTCATTGTACGGTTTTCTAATGTATCTCCATATGGTTTAGACCATGAGAGTGTCAAATATTCTGGAAAGTTAGAAATCATCATTGGGGATTCATTAGAGAATGCTTTATGAAGCATTTGACATTTGAAATGGATATTGAAGAACGAGGAGCATTTGGATTAGATAGGCCACACAAAGGATTATCTCTTTCTCATTTGTCTGTGGTCCTGTTTGTTCATAGTCTTCTTCCCTAAACAATACTGTCTATAAAATTCTAGACAGCGTGTGATAATGCTGCTTACAAACATCCTTCAGGGAAATTGCTGCCTCCATCACACTTTGACTTTTATAAACCTTAATACTTTACATTTTAGTCTGAAAGTGTTTGTGGTGTTTTAACTAAATTAGTTTAATCTCTTTGGAGGCTTGACAATATCTTTTGAGGGAGAAATTTTCTTTCATGATGTTATTTGAAAATGTCTATGACAGATAGCTAAGCACATGGGACATGTAAACTGCATCTGCTGTGCACCATGGACTCACCAGTAACCAGTCCAGTGTGATGTGCATTTGAAGTTAGTTGTGTAGAGACAGGAAAATCTACAAGATGTTGCTATAGTGGTTTGCATTATTGGGATAAAGTAACAATTGATGCCCCATAGTATAGGGCCTAGGCTCTGGAGTTAGATTGCTGTGGTTCAAGGCCTGGTTCCGTATTTACTATTTTGAATGATGCCAGGAAGTTATTTCACCATCCTGTGCCTCTGTTTCTTCTTGTGTAAAATGATGATAACCAAAAGACTGCCTGATTGGATTGGTGTAAAGATGAAATATTATTTGTAAAATGTCTAGACCAGAACCTCACGCATAGTGCTCAGCAAAGAGGCATTCTCATTGGATTGTATTGGATTGGCCAAGTGATTCAGAAAGAGACAAGACTGATTGAGATATACTTTAAACTTCTATGCATGAGTTTTGGCTATTTGTTGAATTATTTCATATTAGAATGGTAGGTCTCACTCAAACGCATGTAAATTAATTCTTTGAAGTTAGGAGTTTGCTTGGTCATTTTTTATTATAATATTTCTAATACCTTTCGACTTTCAGCATTAATTTTCTTATCAATGAAATTTCACTCCTAGAAAAAATAAGGGGGTATCTGGTAGCATAAGATAGACCTCATACACAAAATATTAACATGTACTGGTATAGGGTCTTTTATCACAGCATGGTAGGTGTCTTTCTATTTGGGCTGATATTTAATGCTCCAGTAACATCGAAGGGAGCCTCTGTACTTCCCTTAGGAGAGGCACCTAGGTTTAGAAAGAGTGTGGGTTTGGATCACAAGACTGGGTGCAAATACTAGTTCTACTGCTGTTTAATTATGTAACTTGCCTTGAACCAGTTATTTGAACTTTCTGATTGTCACCTTCTTCATCTCTAAAATAAGAATAATATATCCAAAATGCCTCGCATAACATCACTTCCCTCAGAAATCAGTTTTAGGTTATTGCCTGTGCATCTGTATTGAGTTCATGTTATTCCTTCTACTCCTCTATCTGGAAGGTGCTGTCCTACTTTTCTCTGTCTTCACATTTTTCATATTTTTCAAAACCCAATTCAGATATTACCTATGGGTTCTTTCTTCCACAGCCATAAACCATCTTGGTCTTTCCTTTCTCTGAGCTTCAATTAGAATTTATGGTTGCACAGTTTAACATTGATTGCTTTCCCAACCAGACAGCAGATTCCTCAAGAGCAGGGTTTGGGTCTTACCTGTATTTTTTGTCTCCTGCTATCCAGAGCATGGTGTGGAGATGATGTCATAATCACTCCTTAAATATCTTGTTTGAAATTTTACTGTATAATTAGTCCTCCCATTTACTTATTTAGCATGTTTAGGGATTTCGGTACTTAGAAATGCTTGTATGTTGGTATAGAGGAAATAATGTATGGAAGCAGACTAGCCCTGACATTTGGAAGGGAGTACATGGCATTGGGCTCTGCCAGTCATATTACCCAATACTTTAACATCCACTAGATATTGCAGAATGTGAGTTGGCAGAGGAAAGAACAAAAAGCACATCTAAATAAACTTGACCCCTTCCCCTCATTTTATTTAAAAATGCATTTGTTAATCTAGGAACCTGTTTGTCTTCGGTTCCAACTTTAAAAAAGGAAGAATTTGAAAACAGGTCATTGTAAGAGCATATTAAAAGCGATGACAGAATGTGTGTCTGAATTCACTCTCTACTTCTGTGACCTTTTAGGTACTGGCCACTTACTTTCTCTCTATTTTTACTTCTATGTTTTCAAAAGTAAATGGTATGTTGTTGTTAAAAAGCTATAAGGATTCTATCTAATGTCTTATCATATCCTTTCTGCTAGACCCTCAATTACTATCAGTAATTAAGAATCATGTGTATAAGCAGACAAATTATGTATACACTGTATTAAAACTGAATTGTTTATAATCAGATGATATTCTATTTTACTGCATAATTAGTTCAAATTTTTATATTTTAGTTTGTTTCACATGCCTTAGTATTGTCTGCCTAGATTTAAGTATCATCTTTCACCTGTGAGTTTTCCTATTATTTGACACCCAGTCGTAGTAATCCATATAAAAATACATAGACGGCCGGGTGTGGTGGCTCACGCCTGTAATCCCAGCACTTTGGGAGGCTGAGGCGGGCAGATCACAAGGTCAGGAGTTCGATGCCAGCCTGGCCAATGTAGTGAAACCCCAGCTCTACTAAAAATACAAAAAATTAGCCAGGCGTGGTGGCAGGTGCCTGTAATCCCAGCTACTCAGGAGGCTGAAGCAGGAGAATCGCATGAACCCGGGAGGCAGAGGTTGCAGTGAGCCCAGATCGCACCATTGCATTCCAGCCTGGGCAACAGCATGAAACTCTGTCTCAAAAACAAACAAAAAAAAATACATAGACAACAAAAGTAATATACAAGTATGAATTTGACTGGGATTGGCATTTTTGCTTATCTGCTCCCTTCTGCAACACTCACAAGCACGTGCACACACATGTCCTTCCCCAAATGTTAACATTCCCTTTGTGTATGTCTCACAGTTTCCAGCTGTTAACCATCCTCAGTCCTTGGAAAGAAGATACCTTGGAATTTTGAATAGTGTTCTACTTGACCTAATGAAGGTAAGGCCAATTGATATTATCTCTATAAAATGTCTTTTGGTTTGTGGATTCTTTTGTGTCTACATGTGACCATAGCCTGCTTTTATGAATGAAATTTTAGGAGATGTGGAATGGCAAATAATGGGGAACTATGTCATATTAAAAGGCATGTAACTTATTTAAAATTACAATGGGATCTGGTATTGTCACAGTCCATCTAGACAGAATCATGAGACCCCTAAATGACATTCTTAAAATGGACAGAATAATAAAAATCTGTTAGCATGCAAGAGCTGTTCAAGCATAAGGTTTTAAAACAAATCTTAAAATCAATGTTGAAAGAAGAAATTCAACAATTTTTTCTGACATGGTATTTGAAGCCTCCCATCGCCTACACAGATTTGATCAGTGAATCTAATTTTTCTCTTTTTCTAACTTGGTCTCTTCTCTCCCAGACTCTTTCTGGCTCTACTTTAGACGTATCAGGATCATTGCTAATGCTGTGGCCTGAGTGTTCTTCCTTATGCTACCCTCCCTGTCCAGAAGTCTTCCTGCTCTATACTCTAAAAGCATTCTCAAATTTCTTTATTCAAGTTTATTTTTTTTTCTCCAGTAGACAGTCGGCTCCTTGAGTGGGAACTGTTTTTCATATTTCTCCAGCTTTCACTGCAGCCAGAAGTGCATAAGCAAGTGTTGGTTGTTTGATAGTAGACCTTCAAAGAACACTTATTAATGGATCAATTTTATTTTATGCCCAGTCAGTCAACTGTCAAAATCAGTAGAGGTTACACTGTGCATAGAGCCTTTAAAAGGCATACTTAGCACAGTCGGAAATTTCTGAGTGGCATTCTCAGAACTTTGCCGTGCTTTAAACTATGTTAATCTGTGTTCCAGGGAACATAGTGTACATAGGTGTGGGGGTGGAGGTGGGGGAGGAGGGTGTGACGTTTCGGAAAGGCCACATACCATACAACCTTTTGTAGAGATGCACAATATTCATTAATCCATAAAGGCTTTCAGAAATATCACAATAAAGAGGCATTTCTGTCTTACCCAATATTTTCCAAATTTAATTAAATACTGAATACTGTTTTTTATAAAACTCTAAAGCTCTAGTGTTCTTCTGAATACAGATTGAGAAATGCTACTGGCAAAAAAGAACCCTTAAAGCCTTTTGTTTAATTAGTCATAAATTATCACTTAAATCAGGTAGGTTTTGTCAATACACTTTTTCACACAGTCAGTCCTCATGGATTGGGACCTCAATAATTTGGTAACTTCTAAAATGTGAATAGAATAAAGTAGGAACATGGAATTAAATACAATTTCATGTTTTCTGCCTTTCATCTTTCTTTAGTTAAAAATAATTGAATGTTTTTGTTAAATCATTACCAAATATAATTGCCAAGCATCAGTGTGGTACCAGATTAAAAGCTAGCACAAATAAAAGTAGAAAGATTACCCGAATCATCCTGTGCTTCTGCCAGTTTAGAAGTTAAACATTCAAATTCCTATTTATTTAATATCTTTACCATCAGATTTCTTTAAGTAAATATTTTTATTGACATGTCCTTTCAGAAGGTGCGCAAATTGTATCTATATGTCAGTTACTTTTTATAATGTAAACATATTAGTGTAACTCTACCCAGATGTAGATAGAGAAAATTACTAACACCCTGGAAGCCTTCTTATGCCCCCTTCCAGGCTTTATGCCACCCCACCCCCCTCAGAAACCAGTTCCGACTTCTGTCACCAAAGATTAGTATTGCCTTATTATCAAATGTTATATAAATAGAATCATTCCTTTTGTTTTTTAGCTTTTTTTGAAAATGAATTTGAAAAATGAAAAATACCAATTATCCCTTCTTTGAATATTTCAAAGAGAAATATTCTCTTTGCCATTCTCTAAAGCTGCCGTGTTAATTTTGTCCACATCTAAGTACCTAAAATGGCCATCTCATCCTGTCAGCCAATTTAGTGGGGGTACAGGTCACCAAAATTAATTCAAGCCCCTAATAACCTTAAGACTAGCTGTAGTAATTATATTGGCTCTATTTTAGTCTTAAAAAACGTTTTCCCTCCAAGTACTGAACTTAAAAGTTTATGAAACTTTTAAAAAAATGTAAAAGAAGAAACTTTAAAACCAAAAAATTAGAGTTGAGGCTCTTTGCTGCTACAGAATGATTTTTTTTTTTTTTTTTTTTTTTTTGAGACAGAGTTTCACTCTTGTGCAGACTGGAGTGCAATGGTGTGATCTCAGCTCACTGCAACCTCCACCTCCCAGGTTCAGGCAATTCTCCTACCTCAGCCTCCTGAGTAGCTGGGATTACGGGCATGAGCCACCACGCCCAGCTAATTTTGTATTTTTAGTAGAGACGGGTTTTCACCGTGCTGGTCAGGCTGGTCTCGAACTCCTGACGTCAGATGATCCTCCTGCCTCGGCCTCCCAAAGTGCTGGGATTACAGGCGTGAGCCACCACACCTGGCCCCGAATTATTTCTTAGGATCTTATGTCAAGTGGGAAGAAAGCTAAATTCAGGCAATTATGTGTATACTACTATGTGGGTAAAATAAAAGGAACAGGTAGAGATATGTATAGGGAATATCTATGGAAGGATGCCTAAGAAACTGGTAACCTAGGCTGCCTCCAGAAAAGGGAACTGGGTATCTGGGGGATAAGAGAAAGATTAAGAATGTATATTCTTTCAAGTGAATATCTACTTAATTAAAAGTGTACTTTAAATTTTTTAATTATATTGTAAAAGTGATTTTGATTAATGATAAGTGCAGGATACAAAACTGTGTATATTTTGTAAAAGAAAATATGTATATAGGATATTCAAAAAAGGGCTGGGATCATATATACAAAGAGGAAAATGATGATGAGATTATAGGTGATTTAGATAGTCTTTTTTTTTTTATTTCCTGAACTGTGTTTACTTGATATTCTGCAATGACTGTGTATTTCTTTTATAAGGAAAAAAATAAGGTTTTTATTAGAACTTAAATTTGACTTTGTAATGTTCTTAACGATCCTAAATTTTATTTCCTAAGAATTTACTGAAGTTGGACCCAGCTGACAGATACTTGACAGAACAGTGTTTGAATCACCCTACATTTCAAACCCAGAGACTTCTGGATCGTTCTCCTTCAAGGTCAGCAAAAAGAAAACCTTACCATGTGGAAAGCAGCACATTGTCTAATAGGTAAATATTCCCTTTTAAGGAAATACAGATGCAGTGTTGGTCTTACAAGTAGGTGGAGGAGGTGGCTGCTTAAATGATGCAATTAGAGAAAAGAAGGAAAGCCCTCTTTATTCAAAAATATCTTCCTTATGCTTATTGCATGATTCAGAACCACAATTAAGGAGTTGTGTGGGTCTTAAAGACTTTCTTATCTTTAACTAGTATATGATGGAAACCTATGCATTCCCTGGGAAAGGTAGCATTGGGTTAGCAACTAAGGGGGTTTACAGCCTCAAGAGCTAGAATATTCTGTGTGAATGAAACCCATCAGTGATACCCGGAGGAAGAAAGCTGGGTGAAGGCAAGGGGATTCCTGGAGAGAGAAGAGGATGCCAAACACAGATGGTGGATGGAAATGTACCTAGTGTAATCTTTGTGACTGGACCAAATAGGTCTGGCTCTACAGAGAGGTCTTGTGTTTTTGTTGCTCTTGTCTTCTAATCATTGAGTTGAGAAATTAATTTTTCATAAGAATAAGAATATGGAAATAGTAAAGTCAGTGATTAAAATTGTTGCTCTTTAAATATTATTTTTCAGCATAATTTTTTCAAAGCCTGTTTCCTGAAAAACACACACACAGGATTTGGGCCATACAATCAGGTTGTCTTTCAGACCTGACATTCCTCAATTCTGTTGGTTGCATGTCCAAGAGGACAGTGTCCTAGTCATGGTCTCCCTGTTTTCCTTCATCTCCCAAGAGGCTGATCTTGTCATCTGGGGTCGTTGGATTATGGAAGATAGGAAATAGTTTCTCTCATCTACTATTACAAGATAAATAGAAAACAATGATTCTTTATTTTTATTTTTTAGTTTTTTTAGAGACAGGGCCTTTGCTCTGTCGCCTAGGCTGGAGAGCAGTGGCATGATTATAACTCACTGCAGCCTTGAACTCCCAGGCTCAAGCCTCCCTCCCACCTCATCCTCCTGAGTAGCTGGGACTATAGGAGCATGCCATCATGCCTGGCTAATTTTTTAAATTTTCTGTAGAGATGGGGTCTCACTGTGTTGCTCATGATGGTCTCAAACTCCTGGCCTCAAACAGGCCTCCTGCCTCAGTCTCCCCATGTGCTGGAGTTACAGGCATGAGCCATAGCATCTGGCTGAAAACAATAATTCCTAATATGAAGGTTTTTTAATATAAATTTTCTTCCCACCTGCAACCCCAAATTTTCCATCCATATAGAACCATTGTTCTTTTTTGAGACAGTGTCTTGCTCGATTGCTCAGGCTGGAATGCAGTGGTGCAATCATGGCCCACTGCAGCCTCTGCCTTCCTGGCAAGCGATCCTCCCACCTTAGCCTCCTGAGTAGCTGGGACAACAGGCATGTGCCACCATGGCTGGCTAATTTTTTATCTTTTGTAGAGAATTCCTGGGCTCAAGCGATTCGCCTGCCTCAGCCTTCCTAAGTGCTGGGACTACAGGGGTGAGCCACCACACCTGGCCAATCAGTTGTTCTTAATAGATCAGATTTTTAAAAGCTCAAGATCTGGTACTATTTAGGTCTGGGAGAGCATCCATAAACTGATGATGACCATTTATCGTATGTTTTCTCTGCTTAACTGTGATAGTATAATTGTGTTTTAGAGCTGTTTACTCTTCTTGAAAATGACTGGTTTCAGTTTGTTTCCCCTCACATCTTATAGACCTTTCTTAGCTGGCTTTCTTTGTTTGTTGCCATGAAATTTTTAGGACACTAAGTCAAGGAATAGTAGTCATCATTTGGTTGCTCCTTTGCATTTAGGGGGTGCAAATTAGTCCTGTGTCTTCTTTGGGGTTACTCTCAGTTCAGGTGCTTTTATCTCCTTTTTACCTTAATTGTCTCTTAGCTCCTTTAGTTTACACCGAAAAATTATCCCAATGATATAAAGTCCAGTAGACTGATAATAAGTTTTTGATTTGTGCTATAGTGATTAGTGATATAACCCATACTGTGAAAAGAGGCTGTGTATTTGTCTTCTAGTGACTCACTTGAGAGACAGAGTTCTTGGAATTAACCAGTGGGGACCTGAGGCTCTCCTCGGGAACCTCTTTAGGGATCTGTTAAGGAGGATGTGCTTGGTGATGATGTTTTCAGCAGATACAGAAGATATGATTTGTTTGGGTCCTTGAGGAGTCCTCCCAAGTCCCCTTTTGAAATAGAGGAGAATAGAAATTATAAGTGAATTTAAAATCTCTGGAAGAATCATTTTCAGGTCTTGACACTGTATTGAATATATTAAAGAAAAAGTCTTACATGATTTTTCTAGGAATGATCTTACCACATTTTACATATATCTGAGGGCTTTTGCTCCACACTGGTCTATGGTCCATACTTATTCCATGGATGCTTTTTTGGTTAGAGACATTAATTCTAGCTTGAATCTCAACACAAACGATGGCTCCCTAAGACTTCTCAGGACCATTTTAGAGATGCTCACAGCACCATATCACATTGGTTGCCACGTACAAACTCCCCTGCCTTGTCTCTGGAGACACAAACATGCTGTTGCATACCTTGTCTTCTAAATTTTTTCTCTCTAGGAGAGGCAGTGGACTCTTGTGTTACTTAGCCCCTGGCTATCTCCCTCAGGCTCTCCTGAGGTTCTGCCCACCATGGACACGGTGCAATGGTGCATCAGCTGCCCCATACTGCCACTCTCCTGGTCCTTCACCAGCCTTCTCCATCAAAGTGTAGCTTTGCACCTTCGACATTTGCTTTTAAAACTTACTTTAACTAAATCGTTATCTATCCATCCATCCATCCATCCATTCTGCAACCATTTAAGAAGAGTTTGTATGTAAAATTTTTTTAACTAGTTGGCAGTTTAACACAGATTCCTTACAGTTGTGTGTCGAAGAGATCTATGGAATTTTCAAAGCTGTTTTTTATTGTTGCACTTTGGCAGAGCTCCGATGCAAAGGGAGTATGATGCCCTTTCCACATAGGCGTTATGTGCAAAGCTCAGTGGTTTCCAACTAATCCTAAGACACAAACACTCAGAATGGCAGTTTAGGCTCTTTGTACACTTATGGAAAACCTAAAGCTTTGACACGTTTTACCTTAACTGGATAACCTCTCTTTTCATGTTAGAATTGTCTCTTACGTTGCTCTGAATGTGTTCTTTCTAAGATCCACATGTACGTTTCTGCTTAACGTCGCTAACAGTGTTTCTAAGAGTTCCAAAGGCTCAAGCAGCTGCCTTTGCTGTTCTCTGTCCCTTTATGGTCTTTGTGAGCTGAGGACGTTTCCCAATATCTGTACATGTTATCTGTCTACGATTACTATTTCTAGGCCTGAAGGGGAATGGGGATGAAATAGGGTTCTGAGAGTCCAGGGAGAGCTGGACCTGGGTAGGAAGAGCCACCCTGTAGAAGCTGTCATCTAGAAGGACACAGCCACGATCTGAGTCAGGGTGCAGATGCCTGCAGGGAAGGAGCAGGGAAGACATCCCCCAGCCCCTCTCTCCTCTTGTCTTGTGATGCCTTCCACTGCTAAGCCCAACCAGAAGCTAGCTGGCTAGGAAGCGTGGGTGACAATCTGCAGCATTGGGTTCCTGAGGCCCAGGGCCGGGCTCATGGGGGTGGAGGACGGATTGGAGGTTGGGCAAATGGAGAATAACCAACACACTTAGATCTATTTGTGGATGAGACAGTCTATCACTATTTAGGTTTGAAAAGTCGCTGAGATATTTCAGTTACCAAGATATAAGTTGGCAAACAACTCAATGGTTTAAAACCTGATGCCTTTAGGATATAGGGACTTTATTGATCTGGGGATAGACTCTGTTAATATAATTTAACAGAAAGTGAAACTTAGCATTTTTTTCTTTGTAATTCCTTTCTAGGTCTGGGCTTTGCCATTTTAGTGCTCATATTTAGGAGTCCTTTTATTTAATGCTGTAATTCTAATGACCTAACTGGAAGAGATTAGTGAGTACATTCAAGAGATGAGGCCCCCCACACTGTCACAGGCTTGCTCGATATCAGATTTTTTTTTCTTTTTTGACACTCTCAGGTAGCTTTCTGGCAGAGATTACTGACTGAAAGGTAGACTAGGAAATGGGTCCTTATGTTATTTAATGGCTGAGCATGCAGGTTCTCATGGGGAAAATTGGAAGTCAGAGCTTCACAGACTACCATTCTACATGAACAAAAAAAAGTGACTTCCAATTAGTGTGTCATGGGAACAAAACTCTCCCAAATCAAACCATCTGTAGCAATAGCAATATTTGCAGCAAAATTTTTTGAATGCATAGTAAAACCAGAATTGTGTAAATCATTATTCATTTTTAAACATTCTAGTCTGTCCCAAACTACAATTAGATCCTTTCAATAGTTACAGTAGCACAAACTGGCCTTGCTATGGTGTCAGTTTCAGCTTTCAAATAGAGGACAAGATTTTCCTCTGGATTTATATTTTGTATTTTAAACCAAGTGTGAAATGAAGCTTTAAGTCCTAAAGGAGGGCTCAGTCGGTCTAGGATAATGAAATGTTAAATAAAAAAGAGAATAATTGTGTCTTTTGGAGAGAAACGAACTCTTTCAGATCTCTGTAATCCGGTATAGTACAGGATTCCTGTTTACTGTACAAAGAGATATCTGAAGAGCCCCAAGTAATTGCCACTTCTCCAAGACATAAACATTGATCATCATGTTTTCCAACAAACCTCACTGGACAGTTTACATTTCTTTTTAGAGGGTCATTTTCTTTTATTAAGTACATTGCTAGAATTCTCATTCTTTGATTATGCAGGCAGAAGAGACATTGGTGTCTGTGTATGTGCTGTGAGTATGTATCTCTGAGGCAGGCTACAAGTTTTACAAATAAAAATGAAGTTCAAGAAACATAGTAACCTTTAAGTCTAAATGTTGTCTTCTGACATTCAAGCAGACAAAAGAGTTATAAAGAGTTTATAGCTCAGCTCTCTTCTTAGCAGTCATTCTATCACAAACACTCATATGAGTACCAATATAATGAGAGTATGTTTTACCAGATTATCATTTAGAAACTGTTTTGACAGCAAGTTAGCTGAGCATTTAGCAGTGCCAGAATAATTTCATCAAGGCCAGTGCTTTGTTACAGAGTGAGTTGGTCTAAGAAACTTAATTGCTGTTGATAGGTTACTTGTTATTCGAAGGCACATGCTTGAGAGAATTAATGTTTTTAGTCTTCCAGGTGTTTTGAGTATTTGTTCTTTCTTTTTAACAATACTTTTTGTGTGTCAGCTATTGAGGGAAACTGATATACTTCTTTTGTTTTTAACATAGAAACCAAGCCGGCAAAAGTACTGCTTTGCAGTCTCACCACAGATCTAACAGCAAGGACATCCAGAACCTGAGTGTAGGCCTGCCCCGGGCTGACGAAGGTCTCCCTGCCAATGAAAGCTTCCTAAATGGAAACCTTGCTGGAGCTAGTCTTAGTCCACTGCACACCAAAACCTACCAAGCAAGCAGCCAGCCTGGGTCTACCAGCAAAGATCTCACCAACAACAACATACCACACCTTCTTAGCCCAAAAGAAGCCAAGTCAAAAACAGAGTTTGATTTTAATATTGACCCAAAGCCTTCAGAAGGCCCAGGGACAAAGTACCTCAAGTCAAACAGCAGATCTCAGCAGAACCGCCACTCATTCATGGAAAGCTCTCAAAGCAAAGCTGGGACACTGCAGCCCAATGAAAAGCAGAGTCGGCATAGCTATATTGACACAATTCCCCAGTCCTCTAGGAGTCCCTCCTACAGGACCAAGGCCAAAAGCCATGGGGCACTGAGTGACTCCAAGTCTGTGAGCAACCTTTCTGAAGCCAGGGCCCAAATTGCGGAGCCCAGTACCAGTAGGTACTTCCCATCTAGCTGCTTAGACTTGAATTCTCCCACCAGCCCAACCCCCACCAGACACAGTGACACGAGAACTTTGCTCAGCCCTTCTGGAAGAAATAACCGAAATGAGGGAACGCTGGACTCACGTCGAACCACAACCAGACATTCTAAGACGATGGAGGAATTGAAGCTGCCGGAGCACATGGACAGTAGCCATTCCCATTCACTGTCTGCACCTCACGAATCTTTTTCTTATGGACTGGGCTACACCAGCCCCTTTTCTTCCCAGCAACGTCCTCATAGGCATTCTATGTATGTGACCCGTGACAAAGTGAGAGCCAAGGGCTTGGATGGAAGCTTGAGCATAGGGCAAGGGATGGCAGCTAGAGCCAACAGCCTGCAACTCTTGTCACCCCAGGTACAGTTGAGCACCTTGACTGAATCTGGTGGCCCTTCAGGGGAAGGTGGTACGAGGGATGTGATGAGGGTCCATCTACTATTTTCCCTACTACAGGAGGTTGTGCTTTTCTTGATAGGATGCATTTAGGGAAGCAATACTTGGCCTAATCTCTGTTTTTTTGTTTTTTGTTTTTTAAATCTATTTAGATCAACCGTTGAGTACTCAAGAAAAGTCAAATTTTGTTTTTAGTGATCTTTTTTTTTTTCTTAAATGTTCTTTTCTGGAATATTTTGTTGAGAGAATCCTATTTTGATTTATTACAGAATTCATCAGCTGTATCAGTTAGGTTTTAGTTTTTCTTAAAATACAGTGTGAATTCATGGGTATTTTCTCTGATCTCTCCAAACCACATTTGCTTAAATCAAAAGCTTTTGCTAGTACCTTACTCAATATTTTAACTGAATTTAAAAGTTTTAAATTTGTCCAGAACTACAGATAAATTTAACTTCATACCAGGATAAATGTTAGTTTTCAGTCTTTTGGATTGTTTTTAAATCTTAAAACAGCATTTTTAGCATAATGCTTCCTCCATCTTATTCATCGTCAAACTCTAGAACTGACCTAACCTGCTTAAAAGAAGTAGCATTCCTTCACTTGAACCTGGGAGGCAGAGGCTGCAGTGAGCCAAGATCACACCACTGCACTCCAGCCTGGGCAATAGAACGAGACTCTGTCTCAAAAACAAAAACAGAAACAAAAACAAAAAAAACAAGAAGTAGCATTCTTACAGTAGAGCATGTTTTAAAAATAATGTTATCATGATTTCATCTATAAAGTACTGTGCCCAGTGCCTGGCACAAAGTAAGTGTCTAACAAATTTTAGTTATTCTTGCTGCTTCTGTGATTGTGGAGGCTGATATTTGGACATTGAACACCTTTTCTATGCTGGGTGTTCCCAGGCACTCAAAAGAGTCTGAGAGAGCTCTTGCACTTGAGAAACTTACCTGCTCTTGGGGAAGATAAACTGATACATGATAACAATGAAATAAGTAGCCAGGTGCAGTGGCTCACGCCTGTAATCCCAGCACTTTGGGAGGCCGAGGCAGGCAGATCACGAGGTCAGGAGATCGAGACTATCCTGGCCAACATGGTGAAACCCCGTCTCTACTAAAATACAAAAATTGGCTGGGCGTGGTGGCGTGTGCCTGTAATTCCAGCTACTCAGGAGGCCGAGGCACTAGAATCGCTTGAACCCAGGAGGTGGAGGTTGCAGTGAGCCGAGATCGTGCCACTGCACTTCAGCCTGGTGACAGAGCAAGACTGTCACACACACACACACACACACACACACACACACACAAACACACAATGAAATAAGTAAGACCTAAGTCAATATGGCACTGGCTATAAATAGGAACTGAGAATAGAGAGAGGTCATTGTGAGCAGAAGCAGTTAGAAATGGCTTTACAGGCAACTGAAGGTCTTTCTCTGGGCTAGGATGTATAGACAAGCTTTGAATTGGCTGAAGAGTGAAGGTATGTTCAGGTACGTCCTGAGCTAGGCAACATGAAAAGCTCTAGCTAGAAAGATGAAAAGAATAGGTTCCCTGTCGTCTTAAGTGTGTGGGCTGGCAGGGGACACTTGTCAACAGATAAGTTGTTCCACTACTGTGAGGTTACATTCTGGCTACTGTGCTAGAGGCATGCCAGTGTGGCAAGGGAGCGAGACAGTCCAAGTTGTGAGTTGTGGGAGCTCCTAGAACAGGTGGCACCTGAGCAGAGACTTCCAGAAAGGTTGGGAAGAAAGTGACAGTGACCTCAGGAAAGAGGGAAGAAAAGAGCATTGGAAGGAGAAGGAAGGTAACAGATGTTACATAGCATGGTATGCTTTGGGCATTGCAACTTGTTCCACTTTGCTGGAGTGAAAAATGCAAAATTTGGAGTGGCTTTTGCAATAATTCAAGCACGAGGTGAAGAGAATATGTTTGGGATTAAGTCAGTGCCAGTGGGAAACGGAGTGGATCTTCTACTCCTCAGAAGTAGAAACAATAGGATTTGTGATTTGAAGGATTGAATATAGGAAAAAGGAAGACTTCATGGTTTCTTTTCTAGGACCTCCTTTTTGGAGTGAAAGAGAGTAGTTTTGAAGTCACCTAATTCAACCCCTTCATTTCACAGATGAGCATGTCGAAGCTCAGAGAAGTTGGGTGAGTTGCTCCAAGTTTACCCAACCAGCTCAGGATGGAGCTGGGATTATGAGGCAAGCTCCAGGTGCTGAGGCCAGCTGCTTGCCACTGGTGTCTTGCGGACATGTTGAATTTGAAGTGACCTTGGCCTCTAAGCAGAAGTGTGCTCTAAGAGGCTAAAAAGATGGTCTGGCACCCAGGTGAAAGGAGAAAGCAAGAGGTGCCCATTTGCAGAGGCTGGAAGTGGAGTCAGAGGAATGGTCAGAGGAGCCCTGAGGAGATGCTGTCGGGAGAAAGAACCTCCAGAGCCTAGAAAGATCTGGCAGCTTCCTGCAGAGGAGACATGGAAGGGAAAATTGGGTAAAATGTGCTAGCATTCAGCATGGTATAAAATGGAGAAGAAATCGGAAAAACAAATAGCTTTTTAACTTAGAAAAAGTAATTGCTCTCTGAGAATTCCAGGAAAAGAATTTTTGTGAACATGGTGGTCATAAACGAATTATAAACAGTTACTGTGGGCTAAGCACAGATCTGTTACAGACTGTGAAGGCCAGTTCAGGAGGTACAGTGCCCAGCTGCAAGAAAGTACAAGTTTAAAAGCACAAAGATACCAGAAGGCTGGAAAAGTAACTTAAGCTGTGAGTGAATCCTAGGAATCACTCCCATGCAAAGTATCGGGCCACCTTGAAAAGCACAGAGACTCTTACTGAGTTTATATTAGATGTTAATAATTTGTTTTCTTAAAATAATTTTTGTAGAGGCCTTTGTAAACAGTACAGGTGGTAAAAGTCAAATGAGACATTTTCATAAAATAGAAAGAAGGAAGGCTATGTTGGATGAATTCCTGCCCAGAATCCTCAGAGTACATTTGGAGAATGAGAGGGAGAAAAATAATCATATTTTAAATCTTAAATAAAATGTTTTTGATATGTCACATAGGCTTAAGGTAATGCCCTTTTCTGTGCATAATATACAGATATACGATGCAGCGAACTCCTTCTAATGACTTGGTAATTTTCTTCCTTAATCTTTTTTTCTGATGATAGAAAATGCTGTGTTTTTTCCCCTCGGTGAACACCATTGTGGACCGAGTACTGTTCTTAGCTTGTGACTCACTTCCTTGAGAGAGAAAGATAGTGGTATGTCTTTGGAGATGAGCACTATCATGATTTGGCTTCAGAAAATACATGAAACATAAGTGCTGTTATCCTAGAGAAGATTAAGACAAGAATTTAAGCACATAAACTATAGTAGTTAAGAGGATTTTAACACAAAAAATTATTAAAAGGACTTACTCTATTCCTTGATATATTCAAAAATCATTTATTTTCATCTGACTTTGCCATATAAGTCCTGCATGAAATATACTTTTGGAACTGCACAGTTCATTTTGGAGAACTCAGACTTAAAATCTGCTAGAGAAATTTCAGATAAACTAATAGAATTCCTAATCAGAGGGCCGCTCAGAACCATGACTGTCTAGATATTAGAATGGTAATTTTTTTTGTTTTTAATAATTAATTGAACTATTTTCAGACTAATTTGTTCTCTGCTTGCCTTAACTTTAATGAGAATTTTACTTTCCATCTGTGTGAAATTTGACTTATATTACATTCATCAGATTATTCACTTTTATGGGACTATTTGTATTTTAGCCAACTAACATTTTTTATTTTAGCTGGTTATGGTCCTAGTTCTACCAAATAAAGGCCATGATGAGTTCCATCCCTAGGAACAGGATGCTCTTATAAATCCTTTTAAATTTTACTTCCAGCCTGGAGAACAGCTCCCTCCAGAGATGACTGTGGCAAGATCTTCGGTCAAAGAGACCTCCAGAGAAGGCACCTCTTCCTTCCATACACGCCAGAAGTCTGAGGTATGTCACAATAAAATATGCCTGTAAACATTTGTTCAACATCATTACTGCCTAGCTTTTAAAATGTATTAATACCCAGTCTCCCACAAATAAGTTGAAGTGGCTTATAAAGTAAGTAGTTTTCCTTGTGGCATAATTCTGAGTTTTCTTTCAAAAAGATCATTAAGTCAATTATAGATTGATTAGGTACGGTTCTAAATTTGGGCCAGGTGGCTCACACATGTAATCCCAGCACTTTGGGAGGCTGAGGTGGGAGGATTGCTTGTGTCCAGGAGTTCAAGACCAGCCTGGGCAACATAGCAAGACCCCATCTCTACAAAAAGTTTAAAAAATTAGCTGGGTGTAGCAGCGTGTGCCTGTAGTCCCAGCTACTCGGGAGGCTGAGGCAGGAGGATTGCTTGAACTGGGGCAGTCAAGGCTACAGTAAGCCATGATCCTACTACTGCACTACAGCCTGGGCAATAGAGTGAGACCCTGTCTCAAGAAAAAAGTCATAGGCAATATTGTCATCAATGTGTGGCTTAACTTTTATAAATTTCTTTCCTGCCTCAGGGTGGAGTGTATCATGACCCACACTCTGATGATGGCACAGCCCCCAAAGAAAATAGACACCTATACAATGATCCTGTGCCAAGGAGAGTTGGTAGCTTTTACAGAGGTAAGCCCACCCCCGGCATTCAACAGGTTCCCCTCTCCTCCCTCTCTCACTTTATGTGCACACTGCTTTCACCGACTCAGGCCAGCGGCCTTCTCACCTACACTGTCGCCTTCCAGCGGTTCTCCCTGCCTCTGCTCCTGCTAAGTCAGGCCCTCCTGGCTTATGAATTGGCCTCCTTAGGTAGCCTCTTAACTGGTCTCCCTATCTCCAAGGTACCCATCAATATAGAGACTAGAGTGATCCTTCTGAAGCTGTGTTCTGACCATACCACTCATTTTGTTCTGTCAAGCCATAACATACTTATTGATGTTACCTGTGTGTCTGGCACTGTTCTGGCTTAGAACTTGTTGGTGAACAAGATAGTCAAAGATCTTCACCATCACGGAACTCACTTCCTCGGGAGGAGAGATGGACACTAAACATAATAATTATATAGAGCAGTAAAAGATATTAAGTGCTACAAGGGGGGAAAAAATAGAGCAAGGCATCCCATTGCCCACCCCACCCCACCCTACTCCTAATCCCCTATCACTCACCTGTTGAGAGTCTTTTGGTGGCTTCCCATTGGCATCAGGACAAAATCTGAATTCTCTAGGATGTCATTCCAGACTTCCCATGATCTGGCCCTTGCCATGCTCTCCAGCCACTTTCTCCCCCACCCCCCAGGTCTCTCTCGTACCCAGCCTATGGGACTGCACAGGCTGTGCCCTCCTCTGGCCTGTAATGTACTCTTCCTCCTGCTGGAACAGCTTGTTTCTGTCCCTTTCTTTAAGGTCCTCTTCAGTATAATATCTTCCCACAGTTTGTTCCAGATGGACTGAAACATTTTCTTCTCCGTTCTGTCTGTCGTACCTTGCCTGTAACTCTGATGTAACACTGACCACATTGCACTGATTCTTTGTCTGAGTTCTCTCTCACAAGGTTGTGAGACATTCAGTTCTCTTCGTGTTCTCTTCTTTTTATTCTCATTGACTAGTACACTGCCTCGCACAGTTTCATAAATATTTGTCAATTGAATTAAAGAAAAATTTCAAGTGTACTTGCACGGGCTAAAATGTACTTTGTTATTTAGCAGACAACTAAAACAGATGCTTTTGGGGTTGTACAAACTTAGGAGACATTGAATGACAAAGGCAATCCCTTTTAGTAACTATGCAGTAATAGATTGTAAAGCCCTTGGGCATTCCAACACCCTGGTGGAGAAAATGGACAGCAAGCCCACAGGGCCAAGAGCAAGGCCTTGGGTCAGGAGGCCTGTAAAGCCTTCAAGAGTCACCACAGCTTTCTAAAGCCTCCTATGCCCATGTTGCCTAACTTCCCACTATTTCTGTTGTTTTAAGAGGATAGTTGGAAAGGGGCAGGATTTGGGGCGGGGGCATGGAGAACTGCTTAGTCATTTTAATTAGGAACCCCAGCTAAATAAATGCACAGAAGTGTTATTTAGGACTAAATGTATATTTAATGATTAGGCTACTCTGTTCCTTCCCTTCCAGCCCCACCTTTGGAAAAGCATAAGGTATTGATTGAATATGCCATTTTTCCTGATACCATGATTACGCTTTAGTATTTTATGGGACTGGCCGGGCGCAGTGGCTCACGCCTGTAATCCTAGCACTTTGGGAGGCCAAGGCAGGAGGATCACGAGGTCAGGAAATCGAGACCATCCTGGCTAACATGGCAAAACCCCGTCTCTACTAAAAAAAATAAAAAATAAAATAGCCGGGTGTGGTGGTGGGTGCCTGTAGTCCCAGCTACTTGGGAGGCTGAGGCAGAAGAATGGCGTGAACCCGGGAGGCGGAGCTTGCAGTGAGCCAAAACCGCGCCACTGCACCCCAGCCTAGGCGACAGAGCAAGACTCCGTCTCAAAACAAAAAAAAAAAAAAAAAGAATTTTATGGGACTAAGCTTTTAATTAAGATTTAATTTAATTAAAATATTGTAACATACATGTGCAAAAGCCTTTTCTTCTATCACCAAAGCATTACCTCCAAAATGTAGCATAGGTGTGTTATTTCTATAGATGTCTGGAGAATATACATTAATATAAAATGCTAATGGAGATTTAAGTTAGTTAGTCTTTGACCTCTGGAAACACGGTTTTATTTTGATTGCAAAAAAAAATAAATTGGTTAATTCAGAGAAATACTTCATATGTCTCTACCTCATTAGTAGAGAGGGTAGTGAGAGCTTGGCAGGTGGAATGTTTTAATTTTAAAAATTTCAGATATAGAAGGAAAATATTTAACTAGATGAAACATCTGAAGACATCTGTCATTTCAATGATACTACTAAGTCCTAGAGGAAGATTTGGTGGTATCATTGAAATAACAGATGTTTCCAGAATGCTTCCTGTTTTCATTCCTATTGGTCAAGAGTCAAGTGAAATTGTGTCATTTATCTTTATATACAGTCTGTATATTCCTTTTGTGGTAAAATTTCCAGTATATTTTTATTATAACCATTCTTAGAAATTGACAGAAAAAGTTAATAACTATCCCCCCAAAAGCAGAAAAGTATTTATTCACATACATTATATTTTATCTTTTTCTTTTCATTTAGAATTTAGAGAAAAATAATATTTTTGTAGAAATAGCTAAATTTCTGTGTAATTTTGTTTAAAAACGAGTGATACTACCTCCCAAGTGTCAAGGCTTAAACTGTAGTTTGTCTGTTTCAGCACACATATTAATTACTTCAAACTAAGAATAGATTTTACATTGTTGGTCTATGATAAGAAAGCTTTAACTTCAAAGAATGCCAAAACGGTGGCAGGGAATGGTGGTAGGGGCTACAAGATTCACACTTGAAAATACCCTGGCCGGGCGCGGTGGTTCATGTCTGTAATCCCAGCACTTTGGGAGGCTGAAGTGAGCAGATCACTTGAGCTCGAGAGTTCGAGACCAGCCTGGGCAACGTGGTGAAACCTTGTCTCTACAAAAAATTAGCCAGGTGTGGTGGTGTGCACCTGTGGTCCCAGCTACCCAGGAGGCTAAGGTGGGAGGATCACCTGAGCCTGGGAGGTGGAGTTTGCAGTGAACCATGAT
The DNA here is from genome assembly GCF_000001405.40 of Homo sapiens. NCBI lineage: Eukaryota > Metazoa > Chordata > Mammalia > Primates > Hominidae > Homo > Homo sapiens. The sequence continues at coordinate 18,612,614 of NC_000023.11, forward strand.
TGTGCCACTGCACTCCAGCATGAGTAACAGTCTCTTATTTAAAAAAAAAAAAAAAGAGAGAGAGAAAAAAAATATAATGTTCTTCACTTTATCAGCTGGCAGGTCAGTTTACTGTTTTCAATACACATTACTTGGTGTTAACTAACCCTTGCAAATTAGTGTCATAAGCAGTGGATGGAGGGACAAGGTTCCCTGGAATGCCTTCACCCTCAGAAAACACAAAAGTTATGTGAAGAGCTGATGAGGATTTTTATATGTTTGTTTGTTGTTTTATTTGTGTTAGAGAAAATGCAGTAGGATAACGTGAAAACTGCTTTGACCAAAAGAGAACATCAGCCGTCTGTGGTGGTTCATGTCTGTAATCTCATCACTTTGGGAGGCTCAGGCAGGAGGATTGCTTGAGCCTGGGAGGTCAAGGCTGCACTGAGCCGAGATCACGCCACTGCACTCCAGCCTGGGTGACAGAGCGAGACTCTGTCTAAAAAAAAAAAAAAAAAAAAAGAAAAGTCCATCAGTGACTTACTTTTTCTTTATTCAGTGCCATCTCCACGTCCAGACAATTCTTTCCATGAAAATAATGTGTCAACTAGAGTTTCTTCTCTACCATCAGAGAGCAGTTCTGGAACCAACCACTCAAAAAGACAACCAGCATTCGATCCATGGTGAGCATTTTGGTTTGTTTTTACTCTTCCTTTTTTTAATTGTAGATTTAAGAGTTGAAATAAATTCTGGATGAGCTTTTTAGTGTCCTTTCTCCTGCTAGGCCTTTTTTTCTCTAGATAAATTATTGAATAAGGAAAATGTGATTTTTCATTATTGGTAACTTTTTTCCAGTTTGGCATTTAGATTAAATATCATGTAAGGGAAAAAAAATCTCCTGGATTATTAAATACCTGATACGCTTTCCACTGTGTTGTTCTGATATGAATGATGACTTTTGCGGTCTCCTTTTGTTGACATTGAGCCAGGTACACTTTGCTTAGCATTTGATGTGCATCGTCTCAGTCAGTTCTCATAGTCACACTGTGCTTCCATGCTAGTGGCAGGGACACTGAAGCTTGGAAAAGTCGAGGAACTGGCCCGGTGTTGGACAGCCAGTAACATGGAGAAGGGAGCCAGGGTTCAAACTTAAATGGGCTCCGACTCCAGAGCTCATGGTTGTTACCTCTGTGCTACCTGTCTGTCATTCAGGGTAAAAAGAAATAGGGGAACAGTCCTTTATGCTACCATAAAAGCATAATGGTAATGAAAGGCACAAATGATGTGGCAACTTTTCTTATTCTTTTATCTTTTTTGTGTCGCATCTAATAAATATTTAGGGAGAGAATTACAGTTTTATCAAGATCCATTAGCAAATCTGTCTGAGGAGTAAGGACTTTAAGAAAAATAATAATGTAGACTTCTTCTCAACTACCCTGAAAGACTGCCCAGGTTCTCTACCAAGAGCATAAAATGGGACATCACTGTAAGACACTGGATTTGGAACAAGACCAGTCTGTCAGAGAGTCCCTCTCTGGTGTTTGTTGCCAGAAGTAACAGAAGGGCCTTATGTCAGTACTCCTGACTCCATGTGATGTCACAATTTGGACCCTGTTGATAAAGTTACATCAAGGTTTCAGTGTTGTTGTGCCCTATAGTGAAAATTACTTAATTATTCTTAAAACAATATAAAAAATGACTTCTTAAAAGCTATAAATACACTTTTGCTGTATAAGCACAATTTACATCCATTGCCTATTTATAAAATGACAGTCTTAATGTTCGTGACTAAGAGTTTAGACTCTGGAAATAGGATATCTTGGTTGATGGCAACTTGTCTATCAATCAGAGGACTGTGTCTATTTGTCTCTTGGTTTCCTCATGTGTAAAATAGGGCTAAGAATGGCACCTCCCTCATAGGGTTCATGTGATAATTAAATGAGGCAATGCATTAAAAGCACCTAGAATAATGCCTGGCTCCGTAAGCATTCATTAATGTTAGTGACTGCAGTTACTATCGTTGTCATCTAACTTCAACATCAGGTGTTTCCCCTCCATTTTGATGATAAACTTTGGTGTTCTTTCTCCATGTGACTGTTTTAAGCTCCCTAGTATATAGAAAAGATCTGCGAATTAACGTGAGAACACAAGTATAACTTCTTTACTTACCAGTGTTGACCATTTTCTGGTGTGGCTTTGATAAGTCATGACAAAATTGTCTAAATGGTGAGAATACAGAAGTGCAGAAGGAATTGGATTCTCTTGATTATTACATAATGAAGTGGTGATGATTTAAAAGAGTAACAATTACAGATTACCTTAGTCCTGTGAAAATTAGGTCAGATCAAAATTAAATCCAAATTTGAGATAGACAGTGTTAGTAATGTATTATTTCTGTCTTTTGATAATCAGTTTAAGTAGAACTTGTTTTACGCGTGGATATGTACAGAAACCTAAAAAGAGTTGTTTTAAAAAGAATGAGAGGCTCAATTGGGATGTTGAACTTTAGTTGAGTCTTCATCAGGTCATCCTTATTCTAGTATTGCTGTTATGAGACTTGAGAGTTCCAGAATTGCCAGTGATGAACTGGCTCTATTCTTTTGTTTCTGTTAACTCTTCGTGATAATGCTGCTATGACGTATTTCCTTCCTTCATCGCATCTCACTTAGTCTGTCATTAGTTCAACTTGACTCATCTTGATTTTTTTTCTTGAACAAGCTCTCGAATTGGTTCATCAGATTCTTCATATTTGAGAGAAATGCACATTTGGTAACTTACAAAAAACATCAAAGAGCCTTGTTATGGTAATATAGTGAATTGCTATTCTTTGTTGCGAGGGGATGGAGACAGGGTCTGGCTCTGTTGCCCAGGCTGTAATGCAGTGGTGCAATCTTGGCTAACTGCAACCTCTGCTTCCTGGGCTCAAGCTATCCTCCTACCTCAGCCTCCTGAGTAGCCCAGACTGTGGGTACATGCCACCATGTCTGGCTAATTTTTGTATCTTTTGTAAACATGGGGTCTCACTATGCTGCTCAGGCTGGACTCCAGCTCCTGAGCTCAAGTGACTGACTGCCTCAGCCTCCCAAAGTCCTGGGATTACAGGCATGAGCCACTGTGCCTGGCCGTGAATTGCTATTCCTAAATAATCTCTTACCTAAGGTCAGTCTGTTTTTCCTTGGTAGTTGTACTTCAGATTTACTTCAGGAAGAGAATATTTGTACAGTGTACCCCTTTCTTGCAATGGAAAAGTCAAGCTACTATGTTATATTTTAAAGCAATAAATAGATATTGCAGTATGATATCCAGAGCTGTTATTCTGGCCATCTCAGTTATGTAGAACCCACTTAAGAATCAGGAGATAGCCAAAATATCTCAGAACAAGCAAAATAGAGTTAATATGGTGGGATTAATCATCTTTACTAATAGGATAACACCCCTACCCTCATTTGGAGTCTGTTCTTCATTTATGCTCAGTTCTAGCAGGCAGCACTGAGGTTGTCAGGGCAAGAAATAGTTCAAGGTAATACTACAGTATGCAGAGGGAAAAGGATCCAAGCAATAGCTATGGAGAGAAGCAGGTTGGAAAATCATACATATCATAGATCTCTATGGAGTGTGTGTTTATAAAACAGGCAGCTTCACTTTGCTTTGAAAGACAAAATGTATAAATATGTTTAGAAAGACTGCTGTCAATTGGGTTAAAAATTGATGTTTAAAGAGTAAACCAAATTACTTAGAAATCCCACTAGTTGGCCAGGCACGGTGGCTCACTCCTGTAATCCCAGCACTTAGGGAGGCCAAGGCGGGCAGATCACCTGAGGTTGGGAGTTCGAGACCAGCTTGACCAACATGGGAAAACCCCGTCTCTACTAAAAATACAAAATTAGCTGGGCATGGTGGCGCATGCTGGTAATCCCAGCTACTCGGGAGGCTGAGGCAGGAGAATCATTTGAACCCAGGAGGTGGAGGTTGCGGTGAGCCGACATTACGCCATTGCACTCGAGCCTGGGCAACAAGAGCGAAACTCCGTCTAAAAAAAAAAAAAAGAAAGAAATCCCACTAGTTAAATGAAGAATTGCTGTAACTTGCACAATTCCAGCCTTCTTTTTCTCGTAAGGTTATGAATATATTGATATCCATTAGTGCTTGTCATCATAACTTTCAGAGTTACTCCCGTAGAATTATTCACTGACTCTCTCTTCTCACACATTAGCTAACCACGCTTATCACATCGCCAGGGGAGGGGCAGGTGGCAGAGAAAGTGTCACAGAGTAATGCTCCTCACCACTTCAGCTCACCTTCCATGCTGCTCTCAGAGGGATTATACTGAAGTCCCATAAGCCTGACCATGATGCTCCCCCGCCCCATTCCCTAGCTGTCAAACCTGTCCCCTACCCCCAACAAGAGTCTGTGAGCAGCTTGAGTGAGATCAGATTCGTTCTTTTATTTTTCTCTGTTTCTTCAACACCTAACACAGGGCCTGACATGTATAAAGTACTTGCTGAATGTTGGTTGAGTGATTCATTGGATTTTAATTCCTTCCTTTCTTTAGGTGAATCTTTGGAATTGTGTCTCCTCTTGGACCCTTATGGAAATAGCTGTCATGTTAGATAACGTTAGAGTCCCATGCCTGTGTGCCTGCTTACCACTTGTCTCATTGCCCTCCTCCCGTACTGTTTTGGTCCCAACTGCTGCTCTGGAGAAGGTGCCAGGTGACTGGATGAATAGTCCTTCTCAAAGCTTCTGTCTCTGAGATTGATGTGAACCCCCTATTTACCCTTCTTTTGTGCTGCTCCTCTTTACCCCACTCAGCACGAAGCTGCTGTCTTCCAGGTGGAATCACAGGGGCCAGAATGCGCAAATGAGGGAAATGACCAACCACACCCTTACCCATATGGCTCAGTTCCAGCTGTCAATGTATAACTCATTCTGCATTCCTTTATACAACACAGCTTTTCAAGTGCCTTTGTTCCAGCCAGCCTCTTTCCATCTGTCTCTGAGTCACTCTGTCAGCCTTTTCTCCCTTCCCTTTCTGTGTTAATTCTTTGGGTATGTATGTTTCTGCATAGCTTCTCGCTTGTTTTGTTTTTCCTCTCTGACATCCTTCTTTCTGTCTTTGGTGATGCAAACACACGCTTCGCTCCTAGTTTTCACCCACCAGTTCAAGGGTAATTTATTTCTTTTTTTCATTTGGCCTCTGGGATCTTTCTCTGCCTGGATCTTTGAAAATGTCCCAATCATTCCTCTATCCCCACCTGGGCTGTGGTTTATCCAGTGCCTCTTGAAAAGCCCCTGTAGAGGGTCTTTGGCCCATCTTCCCTGTGTCCTGGGGACCCAACGATGCAACATGCAAACTGCAAACATTGAGCTTTCCTTTTATTACCCTCCCCTTCTCACTTTCATCTTATTCACCGTTTCATCCTGCATAGATTCTCCTCTTACCATGCAAGATCCTACTTCCTCCTAGGACTGGTGTCTCAAGCCTTCATTTCCTCTTGTGCCAGCATTAACATTCTTACAGTAATGCCCATTCACATTCTGAGATGGCAGTCATGATGAATATGTCTTCCTTAAAGATTTGCTGGATTGGCAGAAAGCACTTTTACCCTCAACACACCTGTGGTATTTTGTGAGACTTTCATTCTGCTTGGTAAAAACTTCTACCCATTAATCTGAATATTCTGTTGTGCTTCTAGGTTGTGTTTTTGCAGATAGTATTGTGGAACGACATAGCTTTTTCATAAACGTATAATTCTTTAACCTCTAGAAGTTACAGAACGTTAAAAATAGTATTGCCATTTCTACTAGATGCTCTCTGAGGCTCCTTTCCATCCAGAGTCATGCTTTTGTGATTCCAGAAAACCCCACTCTTCTGCAGTGTTCCTTACCAATGGCAAGTGACTGAATGCTGTGTCTTGGAGTTTAGCTTACGACAGTCTGTCTTTAAGCCCCATGCAAGAGGGTTTCATCTCCTTAATTGCAAAAGAACTTGTCACAAGAAACTTTTACCAAATTCCCAGGGCCTAGGCCCAGTCTGTCATTGGGTTTAGAATGTTTTTCGCAACAATACAACACTACATTTAAAGACTCTTTTGGCTGGCCGCGGTGGCTCACACCTGTAATTCCAGCACTTTGGGAGGCTGAGGTGGGCAGATCACTTGAGGTCAGGAGTTCGAGACCAGCCTGGGTAACATGGTAAAACCCTGTCTCTACTGAAAGTAAAAAAATTATCCAGGCCTGGTGGTGCATGCCTATAATTTCAGCTACTTGGGAGGCTGAGGCAGGAGAATCACTTGAACCCGGTAGGTGGAGGTTGCAGTGAGCCAAAATCGCACCATTTTACTCCAGCCTGGGCAACAGAGCAAGACACTGTCTCAAAAATAAATAAATAAAAATAAAGACTCTTAAGTTTTCAACACTTACCCATTTCATCATGTCTGAAGTTTTCTGGCTTTCAAAATTATAAATGTATCATTCTGAGTTCAGAATACCTGGTGGTGTCAGTGGTATCAAGCTTAATGTCAGTATTTTCAGTTAGAAGCTTTTCCCCCCGCCCCGTGAAAGCTTTTTTTTTTTTTTTTTTAAAGAAACAGGGTCTTGCCGTGTTGCCCACACTGGTCTAAAACTCCTGACCTCAAGCGATCCTGTCCCAGCCTCCCAAAGTGCTAGGATTACAGGTGTGAGCCACTGCACCTGTCCCTACATTTTTTTCTTAACTATTTTTATTTAGTTTTAATAAATACATAAAAGGTTTAATAAGTAGGATATTTCCAGTTTCTGGCAAATTTTTACTTTCATTCAAGATGTTTTTATAGCTGTATTGATCTTTATGTTCAGTATCTTGACAAGTCGCTAATAATAAACTTGTCGAGCTGGTTTTTAAAAGGTAAATAGAAAAATGAAGGTAGGTGTTGAAAATGTTTTGCTCTTTCCCTTGTAGAGTTACAGAAAAGCCATCCTTTAAGCTGTGTACTTTTCATAATCTCAAACTCTGAGGTCTTCAACAGCATGGAAATAGTCTTGCAGCAACAGTTACAGGTCATATAATGCTCAAATTGCTCTTTTGAGTGAGCCTGTGCCAGAGGATAATCACTAACCATGGTTGATTAAATTTAGTTCCTCCTGTGCTTTTTTAGAGGCTCTTTACCCAAGTGTTTGATTCTTCCCGGCTATAGGAACCTAGTGTCATGCATTTTCAGTCCTTATTATATTTGTCACACAATGGCAAGAAAATGATTGAAAAATCAATATGATAAAAATGTCTTCTCATTTAGGAAAAGTCCTGAAAATATTAGTCATTCAGAGCAACTCAAGGAAAAAGAGAAGCAAGGATTTTTCAGGTCAATGAAAAAGAAAAAGAAGAAATCTCAAACAGTAAGTAGATGACCAGTTTCTATATATAATAACATGTTTCTGCATTATTCAATGGATACTTTACACTTTGCACTTGGCAATCAAAGTTGATTGTTTTCTTATTGAGACTTGACATTTTTGCACTGTATTATGTCTCTTTCTGAAATTCTTTACAACTATCCTCTCAACAGAGCCTTTTCTACATTCAACAGAATCTCCAGGAATAGAAGAAATTTAATTTGGATGACAGAGAACACTTTAAGCCTTTCTCAATATACTTCTTATCTATGTGGGCTTATATTAATGTAAAAACTTTGAAGACACAGGATTTGTTTCTCTCTGGGGATTTAAAGATATGCATAAACTTAGGAAATGGGTTTTGGTTTACTTTTAAATGTTGAAATTTGTAAATAACCATCATTCCTTATTCTCTCCTGGCTGGTTACAGAATTCCTACGTTGCCAGGTGTGTTTCTGAGTTATATAGTCACAAAGATCGTATCTGGGATTTTAGGGCTTGCGTTAGAAGGAAAATATGTTTGCCTTTTGATCGCGCTGTGGGTTGGAATGCACCTTATCTCCTGGGAGCCCTTTGCCTGAACAAAGAGCTGGCTCCATGGGACCGTTCACATCACTTCACTGAACCACCCAAGCAAGGATCCTGCTGGTTTAGTGACATGAGAACCTTGGGGAAACCCGGCCTGTAGGACAGCAGCAGGAGTAGTTCTTCCCCTAGATGAGGCTGCATCCCCCTTTTCTTTATGACAACTTCAAGGCTAAACAAGGTAGAGTTAGCCGTTTTTATTTATTTATTTATTTTAGAGACAGGGTCTCACCCTGTTGCCCAGGCTGGAGTGCAGTGGCATGATCTCAGCTCCCTGCAACCTCTACCTCCTGGGCTCAAGTGATCTCCCACCTCAGCCTCCCAAATAACTGGGTGCACGCCATCACACCCAGCTAATTTTTTGTATTTCTTGTAGAGACAGGGTTTCACCATGTTGCCCAGGCTGGTCTCGAACTCCTGAGCTCAAGCAATCTGCCCACTTAGGCCTCCCAAAGTGCTAGGCATGAGCCACTGTGCCTGGCCTAGTTAGCCATTTTGAATGGTTTTGGTTCTAGTTTTACTTCATACGTAATTTATTCTTATTTATTTGAAGAGGAAAAAGACACAATCAAAATGGCCTGTTCAGATGGACTTCACTGATTTCATCTATAAGTTTAGTAGATTAGACCCAGTGTTTCTGAGGCCCTTTCTATTATGAAAATTATAGAATTATGACTCAATGGGAAGTAGATTAGGTAGATGTTCATAGCAATGTGTATAAATAACCTGAAGTAAGCATTTTTATCTCACAGATGTTCTAGAAATGTTAACAAATACCTTCCTAGATAATCTTTCTAGATCATTCTTTCACTTGCTTGCTTGTTAAATTTATGTATTTCCTTATAAAATAAATATGAGTTCATTATAGAAAATTTGAGAAAAAGAAAAAGATCGTTTTAAATCTTAATACCCTACCACAACTAGTATTAGGATTTTGGTATATTTTCCTCCAGCTGTTTAGCCTATGCATATGTTTGTGGCAAGAAGGTGGGGTTTTTTTTTGTTTGTTTGTTTTTTAAGTTTTAAATTAGAGCAATCCTTTTAGTACGATTTTGTATTCTGGCTTTTAACAGTTTATCTATCTATATCTACATGCACAGAATATGTATGTTACTACAAATACTTTATTATCTTCAATCCTAATGGCTGCATAATATTTCTGAAGTAGTCATTAAAAAAACTGCCCATATTTTTAACTGAAGCTTACTTTTAAAGTGTCAAATCAAAATGCCACTCAGTCAGATACTACTATAATTGTTACTTAAACTGGGTGAACAAATAGACCTGATTTAACATAGGAATACTTAAAATGTTTAAAGTGTTAATAAAACTTTTATCATTGTCTGTAGAACATGTTTCTCTATCATGAGCGTTAAACTTTGGCTACCTCCTGACCACTGTTATTTTTATTTTGTGGTTTTTGTTCTAAACCACAGGTCTCCTGGCATTGTGGGGTGATTAAGTGGTAGAAAGTAGGAAAGATTAAGGAATTGAAGGTGTTTTTGTATATAGATTTAGATTTTGATGTTTACTGTAGAGCAACATTAAACCTAAAGTCCCTGGCTCACTGTGGCACAAGTAGAGTATACATGTTGGCTGACTTTATTATTCAGAATTTAGTTAAATTTTAGATATTTTAGTAATATAGATTAGAGTAAAAAGGAAAATAACCATTCTCTAACATCCTCTCGACTTAAACTTTTTATTAGGTTTTCATAAGTTTCCTTTTTGATATTAAAGTAACTGTAGAATATCTCTGCATAGGCCATAATGCCTTAAGCTTTACCAACCCAAAAGTTGTTTGTATCTCTGCATCTTTTAATTAAATGAAACATAAAATTTAAGGGCTTTGGGATTTCCAAAGAGCGCTCAGTACAGCCTTCCAAACCTCAGAGTCCTACGCCTGACATTGGGTTAACTCTGCCTACTTTGAATGAGCATTTAAACTGTTAATAGTTTTTCACTTTCTAGAACTCAGCAAAAAGAAACTACATAGAATAAGCTTCAAAAGATTTAAGGCATTGTGGCCTTTGCATAAGATTCCAAAAGAATGAAAATCTGATGCCCAGTGTACATAGAGACGCATGACATGTTAAAGCTGAGGTGGATCCTAAATCTAGTTGAATTTTTTTATTCACTGGTATAGGAACTGAGCCCAAGCAAGTTGTGGGCTTGCTTCAAAGCCCAAAAATCACATAATCAACTGGGAGAACCAGAACTGCGTTCTCCTAAATACCAAGTCCAGGCTCAATTCATACCATGGACCCGCCTCTGTGGGGAGCCTCTAGGAGCTCTCCTCTGGCCTCTTCAGCGATGCAAGTTAAACTCTTCCTCGAGGTTCCTGTCATTGGAACAAGAAAATTTGTGGGATGTTTTACTCAAATCCCTTTTTACATATACCCTTAAAAGATTACCTAAATACTTGAATACCTTCATAGACATTCTAGTTCTCTGACAATTGAGATATCCAAAACAGGGAAAAGTGGTGACAAAAAAAAATAATTCTGTATTGTAAAGGTGCCTGCTTCGACTCAAGCAAATCTGGAAGCTGCCTTGGGAAATCTGGCTTTGGTTACATATCCAGAGTTACATAAGTCCTCAGAGCATATGGTGACTTTGCCAACTTGGTAATTGTATCCTAGTTAGTTAGTATCTCAACTTGTGATGATGCTTCCATTTAAATATTGAAATTTCTGTTTCTTCTCTTTGAAAACCAGTATCTGAATTGTGCTAGATGTTTTCCATTGGGTAAATATTTCTAGCAGTACAGAACAAGGCCTCTTACTCAACATTAGTATCCCACCACAGTGATCAATACCTCTTCCTAGTGATGTTTTCAGGCTTAAAAGTTGACCAAATTCGAAAGGGTTTCCAGTATGTTGGGATTTTTTTTCTCCTAATAGGCAAATTACATGGTAGATTTTTTACTTGCTGAAGTCCTCTCTAGCAATTAGGAGAAGATTGAAGTTTATCAGTAGCTCTTTAACACAGTTCTTTATAACCATATTTCTGATAGTAAGTAAAAATTATTTAACGTTTTATAAGCTTAATGTGAGTAGGTGTGTCTAGGTCTCTTGGCATTCCTACTAGAGGTATTGATCATGATCTCACATTATATACTTAGAAGAAGTTTGTGCTTGTCTTGAATTTGCATTATTGACATCTTCACATCCAGGTGAGAATTGGCACAGAAGCTCTAGATGCACAGCACCGAGATTCTTTCAGTGACTGTTAATATTTAGCAATTTGAGGGCTTCCAAGGGCTAGTAGTTTCAATAAGAGCACTTTTTTTTTTTTTTGCAATTAGTTTATTTGTATCTTATATTGCAGACAGATTCCACCAACGGGGAGAATCCAAGCATCAAGAAATCCCTCTTTCCTCTTTTTAATTCAAAGAATCATTTAAAGCATAGTTCTTCTTTGAAAAAGCTTCCTGTAGTCACTCCACCCATGGTACCCGTTTTTATGTATGGTAGCCCTGAAAACTGCTCCAGTAAACTTGTTTTACTGATGACAACAGCATGTCTTATTTTCATGAGGTCATATTCTCTTTATGCTAGTTAAGTACGTGAGCCAGTTCCATAAATTCACTGGGATATAAATTCATTGCCATTCTTCTGAATCAGTTAAGAAAGTTGAAGCACAAAGTCTATTAAGCAAACAAACTAGTGAAAGGCTAGTTTGTCATGTCTGATTAGCCAGTTATGGGCAGATAACATTTATAAAAGCCTGTATTTTATGTAAGGAATTCTGTTAACATTTACAGTTAACAAATATCTTTGCATTTGACTCACAGAGTTTGTTAACACTTGATTGGCAATTTGTCTTTTTGAAGCCAAGTTGAATTGACCAAATTGAATGAGCTAACAGGCTCCATGAAAAAACAGCTTGTTTCCTTGTCTGGCTTGAGCTTTTGCTGGTCAGTTTAAAACCAGGGCTTTTGCTTGGCATTTGACATTACTCTTCTGTGTTCACCAAAACTGGTGAATAGAGCAATTGCATTCATCTGGAATTTGTGGCACAGATTTCCAGCATTTCTCTAGTACATAATGATAGATCCAGATATATCAGACAGTGGTTTGGGAATATGATCCAAACCATACTTTCTCACTTTGCTATCCTTGAAAGCCTACCAGACTTCTTTGGCACTACCATATACAGTGTTTGGATCATTTTCCCAGCAGGAAAAAATTTCTGTTTTATTGAACTGGTTCACAACCTAACTGCAATATGGAATGAGGATACGACAGCAATTCCTGGTACAGCCCTATTTAACTGCTCTCTCTTACAGCGACTAAAACTAACAGCATGGGAATGCTTTAAGGGTTGAGGTTTAACAAAGCTGCATGACATCTGCCAATTTTTCCTAATGCAGGGAAAATTATTAAGAGGGCAGAAGAATTTAACTAGCATCACTTGCATTGTGAACATTGGGAGAGATTGGGGTTCTATTTTTACTGGGTTATTTGAGTTTTGGTTTGGTTTGCTTTTTAGTTTGGTTCTCCTCTTGGGTGTGGTTGCATATCTTAATTAGGCTTCTCAGTGTGCTTATTGAATGCTTGTCCATATTTTGCTCTAGGTACCCAATTCCGACAGCCCTGATCTTCTGACGTTGCAGAAATCCATTCATTCTGCTAGCACTCCAAGCAGCAGACCAAAGGAGTGGCGCCCCGAGAAGATCTCAGATCTGCAGACCCAAGTGAGTGGATCCTGCACCACTGCTAGACTCTCCAACTCTCCAGTAACTGTCCTGAGGAGCGGGGAGGGCATGCTAGAGAAAACTTAGCCTCTCAATGTTACAGTAAGGCTGAGCACCTCCTCAAAATAGACCCTCAGTTATAGCCAGATGCATCTCGTGAGCCAGGATGAATCTTGCTTCAGTGACCCATGTTCTACTGGGAAAGATGCAAGCTTCTGTTAGCCTTCACCTAGCTGGAGGCAACTGAAGATGTAGTCCCAGCCCATAAATACAGCCCAGGAAAGAGCTGAGCTGTGTTAAAGAACCATAATTCATGGTAAAAAATGAGGCATGCCATAACATTTCAGGCAGGATGAACACAGATGGTGGGAAGATTAAGGTTTCATTAAAAATAATAGCATACAAATTGAAAGACAGGTATGATAAGTTTTCTTGAAAGAATATTTCAACTCCTGAAATCCATACTGTTTTTGACAGGAAACAGGCAAACAGTTGCATTAGGAACTACATATTAGACTGTATTATATAGTCACATTTATCTTCCGTAATGGAGGAATAAGCAGAAACTGAATCAGTAAATTTTTCAGGTATCTGAGGTTTATCTCCTTTAAACAACTATTTTGGTTGGAAATTTTGTAATGTATCTTTTCAGTATCCCATAATGAGCATTTTGTTTTTTGATATTGAGTATTTTATAAATCCTTTATTCTTCTGCACTATAATTTCTGACAATCCTCCCGAGCTTTTGAGGCTATAGGATTACTTGTGTCTGTGATTTCTTGTGTCACAGATTTCTGTGATTGGGAGAGCGGACTACTGTTTTTTTTTTTTTTTTTGAGACAGGGCCTCAATCCCATTGCCCAGGCTAGGGTGCAATGGCACAAACTCGGTTCACTGCATCCTTAACCTCCCTGTGCTCAGGCAATCCTCCCACCTCAGCCTCCCAAGTAGCTGTGACTATAGGTGTGCACCACCACACCTGGCTAATTTTTCGAATTTTTGGTAGAGACGGGGTTTTGCCATGTTGCCCAGGCTGGTCTCGAACTCCTGGGCTCAAGCAAGCCACCTGCCTCTGCCTCCCAAAGTGCTGGGATTACAGGGATGAGCCACCATGCCCAGCCTCTGTTTACTCTTTTTAACTGTAAGCTGTTGCATAGAACTGCTGGCAGAAGTTCCCCATATTCCCATTCTATTTGCCCCAGCCATTTATATTTTCTGCTTCTAACATAATATAAGCTGGGGATGGTGGAAGCATAGAGAACCAGATATCCAAGTTTATTGGATATGTATGCAAACTAAAGAGACAAGCCTCTGAGTGAGGGCCTGCTTCTCTATTCCCAATTTCAAAACAAAACAAAAAGAATAGAGAGCTTTAGAACTTTCTTTGTGAAACCATTTCTTTTACCAAGAAGCCCTCTCTCTCTCTCTCTCTCTCTCTCTCTCTCTCTCTCTCTCTCTCTCTCTCTCTCTCTCTCTCCCCCCTCTCTCCCCCCCCCTCCCCCCCCTTCTCTCTTTCTTTCTGGCAGGGTCTTACTCAATCACTCAGGCTGGAGTGCAGTGGCAAGATTATGGCTCACTGCAGCCTTGACCTCCTGGGCTCAAGCCATTCTCCCATCTCAGCCTCCAGAGTAACTGGAACTACAGGCACACGCCACCATACATGGCCAGTTTTTTAATTTTTTTATAGAGACGGGGTCTCGCCTTGTTGCCCAGGCTAGAAGCTCTTTTCAAATAACTTTATAGCTCTTGCTGAATGCAGCTTATTGTAATTGCTTGATAGTTACATGTGGTCAAGGCTATAAAAATCACCAGGAGTCTCATCGTGTTATACCAATTTAATTATTTTTAAAAAGCCACTTTTGAGCACTTAGAGTGTACAGTGTGCTCTGCTACTTCCTGTAGGGAGCACAAAGCTTTCTTGGGAAGACTTTGAAATGATGATGGAGAATACTTTCCCCTGAAACAATATCTACTTGAGTCAGTTCTGAAGCCATTTACCTTGGGTTTCAGTGCCTAGTTCCTTCAAATCTTGTAATGTTCCTTGAGTTCGTCAACATTTTATTCAAACTTTACTGAGCCCTTAAATGCATGTCCCTTATACCATGACATTTACAGCAAAGGTACTCTGAGAATTGGCCCCAGAGGGGTCCCAAGGCTAGGGTTGTAGCCCAAGTGGCCAAATCCAGCAGTCATGATTGGCTGTGAATTTCCAAGTGCTTTCCATGTCTCTTCCGAGATCGAGGAAGAGGAGATTGAGCCATCTTTCATCGTTCAGGAGCATGAGGCTCAGGAATTGTCCAGTGAGCAGACGGCTCTGAGGCTCCTCCCCTCTGCCCTGAAGTCAGTCTCCCTCCTTGATGCAGCACCTGGGGATGTCTAGCTGCACAGTAGACAGACAGGCAGGGCGGACCACTGTGAGCCCATGTTAGGAATTGAAGGCCTCCTGTGAATTAATTCTTTAGATAGTTCTGATGGGGTTTTGCATATTTCTTTGTGCTTTGCATTTTCAATGCCCAAATGTTACCCTCCCCCTTTCAAAAAAAAAGCAAAAAAAAAAAAAAAAAAGTGCAGCAAGGGAACATTTGAATTTTGCAATATCGAGAGAGGGAAATTGGGGAGATAAGAACGAAAAGGGCTATACGACTTGTAGTTGAGTACATTGCTAACTAAAACATTCCATATTTTCAGCTTCTCTTGCTGCTAGATATGGCTGTGTACCTAAGTTCTAGCTGGTAAAATATAAGTGGAAGCATTTTGTGGAGCCTTTGGGAAGTCTTCTCAAAACAGAGAAACATACACCTTTTGCTTTCTCCTTCCTGCTGGTTGAAGCATGAGATCCCCTGATTAGAGATAGGATGCAACCAGGTAGATGAGCCTGGGCCTTTGATTGGCTGCCGTACCAGCTCTATATGTCTTATCTAGATTTCTAGGCTTTTCCATTAAATAATAATACAGTCTTGTTTGAAAAAACCCGAAGAACAGATATGGCTGGACCGGCTCCTCCTTGCACATGCTTGCCCTTCCTGGCCACACCCAGTCACCTCACCTCTAAGCCCCCTTCCCTCCCCAGCCTTATGGTCGCTCTAACTTGAATCCTGTGTGCATTCTCATCCTTTCTTTCAGAGCCAGCCATTAAAATCACTGCGCAAGTTGTTACATCTCTCTTCGGCCTCAAATCACCCGGCTTCCTCAGATCCCCGCTTCCAGCCCTTAACAGCTCAACAAACCAAAAATTCCTTCTCAGAAATTCGGATTCACCCCCTGAGCCAGGCCTCTGGCGGGAGCAGCAACATCCGGCAGGAACCCGCACCGAAGGGCAGGCCAGCCCTCCAGCTGCCAGGTCAGATGGATCCTGGTTGGCATGTGTCCTCTGTGACCAGGAGTGCCACAGAGGGCCCTTCCTACTCTGAACAGCTGGGTGCCAAAAGTGGGCCAAATGGGCACCCCTATAACAGAACAAATCGCTCACGAATGCCAAATCTGAATGATTTAAAAGAGACAGCCTTGTAATTTGTGCTGGTAGGGGGGAGGGGTGGACAGACAAGCCAGTGGGGAGGGGTGGGAAAGGGTGGGCTGGGCTTGGGGCATGGGCCGGGCCAAGTGGTGAGCCAATATTTTCAGCTTTATGAAGGTGTGTGCAATATTGCATGTGTTGGGGCCGTTGAGCTCCTCGCGGCCACAAATGCTAGTCAGGGATCTTAGAGCCACAGGAGTTCCTTAGGGATCGCCACTCCCCACAGGTCTTGTGTGAGAATAGATAGAGTGTGCCATTGAGGAAGAAGAAATTCTTGCCAGTTTCTCCCCTTTACATTCCAGCTTTAGTGCAATCTCTGTTGAACTTGGGAATGCCAGGATGTGTCCTGGCACTGCAAGGGATAGGAAAGTCGTGTTGACCGATGCCCTTACTACATATTTTTTTCTGCCTAGAGTAAATGTGGGGTTTATTGTAATCCAAGAGTATCCCTTTGAAGGGTTAGCAGATGAACTGTATGTCTTAAATTGTTTTCTAAACTTCCATATTTGATAGGATTTGTAACATTTATTTATAATTAATATTGTACTGTTAAAATCATATCTTTTATGTTATAATGTAAAGTTATTTTGAGCTGTTTGAAACATTGTGAAGCAGTGGGACAGCTACAGTAGTTTCTATAAAAACTAAACAGTAACATTTATATATTGCATCAGGAGTATTTTATTCTATATATAATATATATATATGGTAAATATCTGTTTTATAAATATATTCATTTAAAGAAAGTATCGTTATGACACTATCTGCCATATTTTTATACATTTGTGATATGAAGTGAGTATTATACTTCTACTAAAGGGAGTTGAATTGTGGCTACACGTGACTGTAACAGTATGAACCTTGCTCAACTTTGAGGCCCCAGCAGTAGCCTCTAGACATGATCCTTGGTAGCAGACGAGATGCAGCATCTCTTTCCAAACCTGCAGGGGAAGAAAGTCAGATAGGCCAGTGAGAATTCCAGCAGGCCTGGTTTCCGTCCTCACACACTTGGCTCCTGTTTGTGTCCAGGGACGTTACTTGCACACAGGGGAGAATAGATTGAGGCGTTACTCGTGGGTCTTTGTAGAGAGAATGTGCTCTTCCACTTAGCATTAGTGTAGAGCGTAGACCAAAGATTTGCCAGTGAACATTCCTTGTTGTGAGATCATAAGAGGTACCTGTCTGCAGATCTTGCAAACCATCTCTATGCTCCTGAATATTGTCCACTGTCCCGGAGACTCTTGGCTGATGGGGTGTGAGATATATGTGTGGCATTTCTATTTCTGAATGCCTTTTTTGCTATTGCTCTCTCCAATACCATATTTAAAAGGCTCCTGGAGCAATTCCAGATAGATAAAAAATTACTCTATCCATTTTTTTCTTCCTGGGGCTGTCCACTTATGACAAGATTTTCATGCACACCTGTTACGCACACAACCCCCATCAGAACAGGACCTATCTTCCCCTCATCTGATCTCTTTCAGCTCCCAAGTTACTCCCAAGTATCATCAAACCCTTTGGCCATCAAGTGTTATCCTCCCATGCCTCTGGGTCATCCTTGAGGGAAGTCACCTCAGCACCATCATCTATCAGTAGTAGTAGATTTTTGGAATTAGTCTCTGAGCAATAATACTTTTAAAGGTCCCTCCCACCCCTCAAAGAGATAACTTCTCAGTATTTATTACTTGTCCTCAAATTCTGAGTGTCAGCCCCTGCATCAAGTCAGCTATGATCAAAATGTGCTGTTACTGTTAACCCTCCCCCGAGATTTTGAGAATCATAGCTCTGATGATTATGAAGATTATAAAGACTAAGGTCCTAGTTTCCCTGAAGCTTAAATTGTGCACATATTGCATTTTTATATAAATACTATAATGTGTATTGATTATATAGATAGGTCATTTTAAGGTGCTTTTTATTTAATTTTAATGAGTGTAATAGGCACTAAAATGAAACTCGACTGGGTACTATTACTGAAAAAATTTGACTCAAACCAATAGTTTTGCATGCTCTTTAGTTCTTTTTCTGTCTTACTTCTTTCACCAGTTCAGTACTGTTTGGGTAGCTCTGAATTCTGGCTTTTCCAGGCAGCTGCTTGATGATACAAATGAGGTGGACCATCAGCAGTTTTGCCTGGACACTAATGACTCTAAAAGGGTGTGTATTTAACTCTTCTTTTTCATACTAGATCTCTACCTTGTATTCCCCCCTTGCAAACCAGAAACTACACTTTTTTTCTCTGGAAAGACTTCTCACTGTGCTATGCGCTTAGGAACTGCACGGTCCCGTTGCCATGCTGTGGCATTCGAGGCTCGTCACCTAGGGGCTGGTTTCCCATGTTGTCATCCTTGCTAACACTGGGATCTCAGATGTTTGCAGAACATTTCTATTCATGACGGTTCTTCAAAGAAGGGCTAGAATATTTGCCTTCTACCTAGAGCAAAGTAAACCTAATTGTTGAAGAGTCAATACGTACTTTTTGTACTTTCCCAGATTTGAGCCAGAAAATACCTACAGATATCTACAAATGTTTTCAACCAGTGTTTTCGAGGTAGCTCTTTAATCCTCTTCTCAGCTTTTGTCTGTTCTGACTTTTCATCCAATAAGCTGTAAGTGAACTACAATCTGCATTTCCAGCATGCAATTCTCTTCCTGCTCACGGAGGGGGATGCAAAAGTTTTCTCTCACACCTAATGGGCCCTCTCTTAGCTTTTAACTGTTGTTTTCCCCTGTTGATGAAAAATTACTGACATCACAAAGATTGCCATCCATGGTAGAAAGGACTTGATTTAAAGTCAGAAAAATTTGCCTTTTCTTTAGGAAGGGGAATTCATGACATCCATGTCCTATTATCGGCCGTAACTTCCTAAAGAAGAAAAAGGGTGAATGAAAGCTTATGTTACTTTTATGAAAGTATCACTGATCTCCTTTGGAAAAGAAACTCTGCTTCACTGTTTTTCTACCTTTATTTCTCTGCCATCCTCGTTTTTCCTCTCTGAAGTTCTAAATACCCTTTAACTGAACCTTGTTGGTCTTGCTCTAAAATTTAGCCTCTTTCTAGAGCCCAAGACCAAAAGGGAGTGCTTCATGCTGAGGGGCTCAAGTGAGCTGACTCTACAACTGTGGTTCTCAACTAGGGGCAGATTTACCCCCAAGGGTACATTTGGCAATGTCTGGGGACATTTGGTTGTCATAGCTGGGGGGGAGGTGATGGTATGCTACTGGCATCAAGTGGTTAGAGGCCACAGATGCTACTAAACACCCTGCCATGCACAGGACAGCCCCCCAAACAAACAGTGGTCCAGCCCCAAGCACTACTAGTGCTGAGGTTGAGAAACCCTGCCCTACACCATCCCAAGCCCACCAGTCTGCAGAGCTTGGCTCTGGCCTTGTTCTGTCCAGGCTACAGTACTGCAGGTGTGATTTCTTCAACATCACATTCTCTTAAGAGTCTTCAACCACTATGCCTGAATCCTTGGAATCCTATTGTTCGTTTCCATTGTCTTGGGCCTGCTAAAAGGTGCATACTTTGGAAGGAGACCAGAGTTACTTTATAGGTGTTGGAGAACTTAAATTCTAGGTTAGCATCCTTAGAAAATCTTTCATAGAGCCATGAGGCTTATATTTAGAAGCAAGCAACAGCCTGGCAGATTGGCATGATTTTTACCAACTGCTCAAAGGCATCCGTGGCTTTCAGCTGTGTCTCCCGAAAGAAAATGTCTTTGTTTTTTATTCAAGTCATTTAATAGCTCTTTACAAATATTAGCATATGGCAGACCAATTAGAAGCAAAAAAGTCCGTATTGGTGGTTGTGATGTGGCTGTTATAGAAGTATTTGTGCTGTATGCTTTGGTTAAATCTGTTTTAAAACATGCTTTAAGATTCACCTTACGCAGTTGTACTTTAATTCTAAGCTCAGAGCTATGCTGTCAGTCTCTAGTCACGCCATGTATTATAAAGTATGTTGTGGTTGTAGAGTTAGCCAGTTTAGCATGTTCCTAATCTGAGAATTAGTGGACTATACTAGGAAATGCTATCCCATTTTCCCTTTCCAGCCCCTCTTAGTTAAGATCATAGTATCCTCACTTCTTAAACTAGTCTTTAGAGTAAATAAGGAAAAAAGCCATTTATTTTCTTCTAGCCATGTATTATTGAGAATGACTCATAGTACAACTTTTTTTCAAAGGCCAGAGGATTACTTTGCAAGTGTGTAGAAAGATCTGTCTATTTCTGTTCACCTGGGACCTGGTGGTGACTGAACTCTTTCAGCAAGGGCAATGGCTCAATGTGATTCGGTGCTGGAGCTCAGCTGGGACTCAGTAAATCTGCACGTTCTCTGCTGGTCAGAACATGTTTCCTGGAGAGCATTGCTTTTCTATCTAGAAGTTCGTTACCTCCTGCATGATAGTGGGATATTGAGATGTGGGTTCTAAGATCCACAGACTCATACTTTTGTGAACTTTGGAATGTGGTAGGGTACACTGAACCAAGTCAGAAAATAGTGAAATATTTCCTTGCCTCCTTCAGTTCATCACTAAGAAAGTGTGTAGGCAGAGAAAACTTACTTATGGTTTGAAGAACCACAATTGTTTTTGAAAGGGGACATAGAAAAGACAGTACAAAGGTTGTAAGTGTCCTGTCGCTAATTCCCAGGGCCAGAATCTCACAAGAAGATCCTCTCAAAGACTTAAAAGCCTGGCTTACAAAAATAACCAGAAACCAAACTTGTAAGCAGTTACAATTTCTTCCTTTTGCTTCTTGACCAGCTGAGATACAGAATATCTTGAGGTCTGGTTCAGCTGATGAAAAATTCTGTCTCAGAAACGATGAGTAAGAAACCATACAAGAAAAAGAAGTCCCTCATCTATCTGCATACACGCAATGTGGGAGAAGTGGGGTGGCTAGGAAACTCTGGGCCTGCTGCCCCCTTCGATTCTTTTTTTTTTTCTTTGTGAATTGAATGTACGATACAAATGGTAGGCCTTCATGTGAGCCAGTTACTACATGAATCTTCATTTCCCACAGTGGTTTGTTCATTCATCAGCGTTAGGCTTGGTCCTGGCTCCACCTTTCTCCTCTCCGGGCACTGACCCCACCTTTCCGTGTATTTACTGTAGGCTATTAAATATGATCATGACCCGCCTTGCATTTTCATTCATCACCTGTTTATGCCCAAATTTAAAGGAAGTTTGTCTCATTTTGCCAGAAAAAAATTGTAATAGTCGGCACGCTGGATTTGTAGGGCCAGCAAAATTGCGGCAGTGAAACTAGTTTCACTTCTAAAGCCCTTCATTTCCCACAAGGTTAAGCTCTCGAAACCCCATTTGATCCTTGGTTCCTATTTCGATCCTCCTTTGGAATCTGAAAATCGGTCTCCATGTTGTATGCAGATTAGAAGTTGCCTTGTTTGTTACTCTTCCAACACAGGGTATCAGGGAGAAAGAGGCCTTATCTGTTCCTCCATCCCCCCTGTTTTGACAGACTGCTAAGAATTCCTCAGGACTTCCTTTGGTTGGGGATTTTACTTTCCCAAAAGTCTGATCTGATTTCTTTCAGGGGTAGACAAGCTTGTCCTAGTGCTCTGCTTCAGGTCTTATCAGAAGAAACCCAGGAATAGAAAAGGTAGATGCCTTGACTTTTGTCCCTGTTGTGGGGACTAAAGTGTTTTTTGCCAGAATTGTCAAAAGCTCCGGTTCAAACTCTGTAGAGTTTCATGGAAAAACAAAACAAAACAAAAAAGATGCTTATCGTCCCGGAGAATGTGTAAGTAAGTTCTCCAGCACGGCTTAGGTTTTCCAAAATGGAAAGCAAAGCTTGCAGACAACCTGTTTTCTCTAGAGACACACAATGATTCTGGCCCTCAGTCTGTTTCCCTCCCCTTGTTTACTCTTTGGTCACCGATCGAGTCAGGCTAGAGGGGTAATACGGTGATTAAAAGAAGTAAATTCTCACTGTAAACTTGGATTGATTAACAGAAACAATTAAACCAAACAAAATCATTGCCCCAAATTTCTATCTCCAAGAATTGCTTTGTGCCATTTTGAATTCAGGTAGTTATTCTGTATATACTTAGCTAACTATTCAGAGCTTCTTCAATCTCTAGTAAGCTTGAAGGTGGTGT
The DNA here is from genome assembly GCF_000001405.40 of Homo sapiens. Lineage (NCBI taxonomy): Eukaryota > Metazoa > Chordata > Mammalia > Primates > Hominidae > Homo > Homo sapiens. The sequence goes on from NC_000023.11 coordinate 18,634,883, forward strand.
CTGGGAAGACACAGGGCAGGGTGACATTTAGACTCTGTTCATTCTTAAAAATAGGGATAAGCCAGAATGATGTGACATCTAGTATGTGGTAGATGAAGAATCAGTGGAAATTCTTAATTGCACAGACTTTATAATCCATTATATAAAGTGTAATTCCATACTTTTTACTGTGGCAAGGGTGTGATGTGATTGTTAATCTTTTTAATTTTTGAATCCAAACTGAATTTAAAGTGTTGAATACTTAAATCCTCACAAGTGAATTATGAACCATTTGTAAAGTGTTTCTATAACTCTTTGTATCATGTGTTGGTACATCTTATCAAGTTTTTTCTGGCATGTAATTCCATTCTAAACTTATGTAAAATTTCTATTGTTGCTGTAAATATTACACAAATATCTATTCCGTGATAACCTTCATTATCAGCATGAAATGGTTAATTTTTACTGAGCACAATGTATTTTTGAATGGATCTTCCCAAATGTCTTTAATAAAATGCAGATTTTGCACTGACTGATGTGACTGCCAGGCCGTCCCAATCTTGAGCACTGTGGTCCTTCGTGTTTGAACTGCGAACAGCTCCATTTTAGTTCCTTCTTGGGAAGAAAGAATGCATTCGAATTCAAATGAGGGATGATGGGCCTTTGAGGTTGTAATCAGTTTGAGACAGAAATTAATGTAAAACTAGGCAAATCCTGTAACTTAATGATGTTGATCTTTGTTTTCCTATTTATAAAGCTTTTTTCCCCTTACGGCATTTTGAAAACTTTGGTTTGTTTTATACTTGAGTGTTGTCACCTTTGCACGTCGCTAGACACTCACGTGGTAGTTTGAGGAGGATGGGAAGAGAGGCCAATCTTGTGCTAAGTGCTATGGAGAAAGCAAAGATGCACAGCTTAATAAGGGTTTTTTGATTCTAGAGGAGAGGTGGGCAAGCTTTTCCTGTAAAGGGCCAGATGGTAAATATTGGGGGCTCTGTGGCCCATCAGTTCCCTGTCAACATTACTCAGCTCTGCCTTTGTATTGCAGAGGCTGCATGGATAATATGTAAATCAGTAAGTGTGGCTGTGGTCCCGTAAAACTTTACTTATAGAAACAGGCCATAGTTTACTAACCCGTTTTAGGCCCTCAGTTTCATCATTTAGGGTAACACCAACCGAGTACATGTTCAATCAGGAGGGAAAGAACTTAGCTTTTGTGATAACTTATAGATGAAATATTCCCCAGTTTTCTTTCTCTTTCTAAACAAAGGGTAGGAGCTGAAAGTCAGTGCTCTCCATTCTTAAAAGTCCTCTGTCAACCACCTCTTCACTCTATCTCCTTAAGTGACATGGAAACTTGTGGCCTGTGCTTTCAACTATAATCTTACCAAGACTGAATGAAAGTATTTGGTGCTTATACTTTTTAATGTTCATAGCACTTACTATGGCCAGGCACAATGCCCAAGTGTTTTGCTTTATTATTATTATTATTATTATTATTATTATTATTATTATTATTATTTTCACAACAACCCAGCGAAACAGGTACTATTATTATCCCCTTTTTGTAAATGAGGAAACAGATTTCCATACTTGACATTAACCTGCCCAAGGTCACCCAGTTTGGAAGTGGCAGGGCCAGGATTTGAAGCCGAATATGTTCATTGTAAAGCCCATATACCCTTAAAAGTCACTGCACGTCCACGTATGGTAATGTGGTCACAATCAGTATTGTTTCTCTTTAGTAATTCAGATTTATTCAAGTAACTCCAAGGTTCAAATTTTCAAAAACAGTTTCCAACACAGGTTATATTAAAAACTTTGCCTGAAGTTTACTCTAGGTGCAGAAATAAAGACAACTTAGTCAAGTGAAGGAAAGGGTAACAGACTTAGAAATGGCTATCTACACTGATGGAATAAGTATACTAATTAGAGCAGGTAACAAGTCCCCACGATGTATAACATATTCTTCTCTAAAAGCTCACAACAATTTATGTGCCACCTTCCATCCCCTTTCCCAGCAGATGGTAATTGATGCAATTTGAGAATAGAACACTTCATTGAAACAAGTCACTGGAGGTCCTCTGGGGATGCAGCTTAAAAGCCCAGGATCAGGCCAGGTGTGGTGGCTCACGCCTGTAATCCCAGCACTGTGGGAGACTGAGACGGGCAGATCACCTGAAGTCAGGAGTTCGAGACCAGCCTGGCCAATATAGAGAAACCCCGTCTGTACTAAAAATACAAAAATTAGGTCTGGGCGGTGGCTCACGCCCGTAATCCTAGCACTTTGGGAGGCCAAGGTGGGTGGATCACGAGGTCAGGAGTTCGAGACCAGCCTGGCCAACATGGTGAAACCCCGTCTCTACTAAAAATACAAAAATTGGGTGTGGTGGTACATGCCTGTAATCCCAGCTGCTTAGGAGGCTGAGGCAGGAGAATCACTTGAACCCAAAAGGCAGAGGTTGCAGTGAGCCGAGATCACGCCACTGCACTCCAGCCTGGCAACAGAGCGAGACTCTGTCTCAAAAAAAAAAAAAAAAAAATACAAAAATTAGCCGGGAATGGTGGTGAATGTCTATAATCCCAGCCACTCGGGAGGCTGAGGCAGGAGAATCACTTGAACCCAAAAGGCAGAGGTTGCAGTGAGCCAAGATCGCACCACTGCACTCCCACCTGGACGACAGAGCGAGACGCCATCTCAAAAATAAATAAATAAATAAATCCCTAGGATATAGAGTCCGCTTGCCTGGGTGGAGTCTTGGCTCCATCTCCTACATCTCATGTGACTTGAAGCAAGGCACTTCACTATGCCTCAGTTTCCTTATCTTTAAATGGAGGTAATCACAGTACCTACCTCAGTGTTGTTGTGAAGATTTAATGAGATAATAACCTGCAGAGCACTTGAGAGTCTCAAGAAATATGAGCTCTTATAACATTATTGCTATTGTAAAACATTGCTATTACTTCTGTCCCAATTTGGCAGTTTCAGGAAATTGAGAAGGAATGTCACTGAATCTTTAATGCCAGTTACACAGAGCTCAGTAGGTGTCCGCACAGCCCTTTAGATGCACGTAGCCTATTTGATCTTCGTATCAGCCCTGTAAGGTTGGGCTTAAGAATGACCCAGCATGGAAGTACTCTTGGGACCACAGGGGAAGCAACAGTCCTTGTAAGCTGTTTGTCAGTGGGCCTTAGCAACCAAGCCCCAAGTGGACAGAAAGATGGGGTTCTGTGAGCATCCATTCCAAGGGTCACTTTAGGGGTGCAATCTTCTGGGCTCTGAGAATGGATTCACAGCAGCATCTCTATCTGGAAATACCTTTGCTTTGTCCAAGTAACCTCCTCCCACACAGAGTACCCGAATCAGCTCAGATTTTTTTTCCTTAATATTGGCAACACTTAATGCTACTTCTTTGTTCGTAACATTTCATTTAATTATTTAAAAATCTGCAAATGTTGTGTATATTTTACCGCAATTTTTAAACAAACTCCAGTGTAGACCGTGCTCTAGCATTTCTAAAAATAAAAGTAAATATGTTAAAATAAGGTAAGAGTGAGTTTTTCCTACACTATGTATAATTTTTAATTGAAAGTTTCCCCCACAAAAGAAATGATACTTGGAAGCATAGTTTGTGTGTTTGACAGCAAGATTCTATTAGGCTTCAGATTTCCCTCAATAAAAGTTTTAGTTTTTATACATTCTGTCATGAATTGAATGAAGTAAATAATATGCTGTTGTAAGCAAATTATCTGCAGATAAATGTCTTATGAATCGTATATCTTACTGTTTATTAAATTCTGAAGTATTGAGCAGTTTCCAATGTGAAATCCCAGCTGGCTTCTTTGCAATGATGGACAAGTTAGTTATAATTCATATGGAAATTCAAGGAACCCAGAATAGCCAAAACAATCCCGAAGAGCAAAGTTGGAGGACTCACATGCCCCAATTTCAAAACTTACTACAAAGCTACAATAATGAAGAAAGTGAGGTAATAGAATTTGGAGTCCAGAAATAAACCCTCTCACATTTATGGTCAATTGTTTTTTGACAAGGGTGCCAAGATCATTCAATGGGGGAAAGAATAGTCTTTTCAGCAAATAGTGGTGGGACAACTGGATATCCACATGCAAAAGAATGACGTTGGACTCCTATTTCACACCATATACAAAAATTAACTCAAAATGGAACAAAGATCTAACTGTAAGAGGTAGAACTATAAAACTCATAGAAGAAAACATAGGGGTAAATCTTCATGACCTTGGATTTGGCAGTGGTTTCTCAGATATGACACCAAAGGCACAAGCAAAGAGAAAAATAAATTGGACTTCATCAAATATTTAAAATTTTGTGCTTAAGAGGACTCTATCGAGAGGGTTAAAAAGATCCACAGAATGGGAGAAAATATTTGCAAATCATATCCAATAAGGGAATTAGAATATACAAAGAATTCTTAAACTCAGTAAGTTGTAAGCCGATTTAAAATGGGCAGAGGATCTGAAAAACCTTTATCCAAAGATGTACAAATGGCCAGTAAACACATGAAAAGATGCTCAACATCATTAGTCACTAGGGAAATGCAAATCAAAACCACAGTTGAGATGCAACTTCACACATTATGGGTATAGTCAAAGATGGACAGTAACAAGTGTTGCTGAGGATGTGGAGAAAGTGGAAGCCTCCTACATTGCTGGTGGAAATGTAAAATGATGCAGCCACTTGGGATAATAGTTCCTCCAAAGATTAAACAAGAGTGACTGTGTGTCCCAGCAGTTTTACTCCTAAGTATATACCCAAGATAAATGAAAACACACATCCGCACAAAAACTTATACACAAATGTTCATAGCAGCATTATTCATAATAGCTAAAGAGTGGAAACCCAAATATCCATCAATGGATGAATGGATAAATAACAATGTGCTCTTGACATGATACTGAACAATGATGTTCAGCAATAAAAAGGAGTGACAAGTGACATAGTGATACACATGTTATAACGTGGATGAACTTTAAAACACTATGCTAAGTGAAAGAAGCCAGTCACGAAATACCACATACTATATGATTTCATTTATGTAGAACGTCCAGAAGGCCAATCTACAGAGACAGTCGATTCGTGGTTGCAGAGGGCTTGGGGTGGCCGATGGGTTGGGGAGTGTTGGCTGATGGGTGCAGGATTTCTCTTTGGGGTGATAAACTTTCTAAAATTGATCTAGTGATAATGGTTGCACAACTCTGAATATACCAAAAGTCATCAAATTGTACACTTTAAATGGATACAAATTGTATGTGAACTTAATCTCAATAAAGCCGTGACAAAAGTTTCCAACATGAACTCTTATTTGGAAAGCCTTTCTCCCTGCCTCACTGTTTCCTCCTCTCCTTTTTCCCTGAACTGCACTCTCTCGACTCCTGTGTTTGATGTGCCTTAACTCTTAGGATACTGCCATTTTGTCTGACAGTCCATGTCGTGACCAAAGTTAATTCACCTTTCCAAATAAGGGTCTCTGTTCAGGCATTTCTATCCAAAATAGATTTGTCCTGTGTCCTAAGGCCAGGGATAAGTCCCCCCACCCCCCCCCCCCACCCCCAACACCCTGTGTGATGTGTTTATATTTGAGAGAAGATTGGGCGGGGAAAAGCATTTTCCGAAGTTCAAGCATACAGCATAGGGACTAGAAAGATGCTGGGTTGGATATAAAATAATTGAGCCCCCAAAGCATCAAGAAGGATGTTTGGGGCTTTTAGAAGGCTGCCTGTTCACAGAAAAGGTGAATGTGTTGTCCAGCACTGTATTAGCGCGAGTCTAGTCACTTGCCTTGGCATTTGAAAATGAAAAGTAACTCGGAAATGAGCTGCTAGCAAAGACTACCCTGTGTCTGGGGCCAGAACAGTCTTTAGAGCAGCCTCGTCCTCTGATTCCACCACCTGCTCTCCATATCCCTCTCCTGCCCCTCCCCCGTGTTAACAGCCTCTCCCAGGAAGGGGCCTGGAAACTCAGGCTGCGCTCTAAGTGGCCAATGAGGCCTCCCAATCTAAGGCGCCGCCTCCAGGAACGGAAAGCCAGGCCCATTCCTTCCCAGAGAGCTTTTCAGGAGCAGGCGCAGTTTGCGTATTGCAAGGCAGAGGGTGGAGGGTGAGAAGCTTTCAGGGAAAAAGCTACATGGTCCTTTTTATGATGTGAGTCCTTCCCACTTCCTGCGAAGCATGTAGCCAGCTAATGAGCCTCCTCTGAGTAGCCAGTGGTAGCTCCTGGGCCAGCTGTTCTCGAACTATGTTTGGTTTGCTAGGAAATGGTAGCCCTAGGTAAAGGGCAATTGTACTGTGTTGTGGTCATTTGGGGTCCCTACATATACTGAGATGTGCAGCCTGTCCTGTATGATCACCTAAATGGTGACCACAGACACGGGGAATTTGCTGGAATGGATTGCATAATGGAGCTGTGTGTATTGGGCGCTCTGGTCCCTCCCCAATCCCTGTGTTCATGAGGGTGGAAGCCCAGATCCGCCTTGAAGGTAAGAACTGTGAGCAGAGGAAACTCCCCTACCTTGGGCTTTTGGTCATTTGTCACGTATAGCCTCTCAGGGCACCGGGATTCTCACCCACCGCACTCATCCCTGCCACCCAGTCACCCTTGAGACCCTCAGCTGCCTCCCCAGGGCTCTGAAGTCCTCTTTGGCGATGATTTAGTGGAAACTTAACTAGGAGGAGCTGCTCCCTTCTGCATTCAAAGCCAGGCTTTAGGAAACTGTATGTTTCTGTCTTGAATGTGGTAAAGCAAATGAATTTTCAAATTATCAGGGCTGCTTTGTGTTCCCCTGAGACTGCACCTTTCACAGTATCACTGAGACAAAAAATGAGCAGAAAATTACCCCTGCTACTTAGGCTTTTGTAAGAAAATTCGTTTCGGGGACATTTTCTTTGTTCTGACTTTCTCTGGCCCTGAGTGGGGAATAAGTTCATTTTTATTTCATTGAAATCAGAAAGCTATATCTTAAAAAAAAAAAAATTATCTACCCAGCACTGCAGTTACAATTGCTTTGCGAAATATAGCCCTGTCCATCTCGGTGGTGTGTGAGGGGGTCCCCTACGGCCCGCTCTGTGCCAGTCACCCCCTGGCAGGCGCCGAGCTGAGGCAGGCATCAGGCACACTTGCTGACGCACTCCAGCAGCTCCATCCGGATGGCAATGCGGACGTGCCAGCCCAGCGGGATGAGGCGGATGAAGCGGGAGATGATGGGGGGCCGCAGCAGGTTCTGAACCGTGGAGGTGCGGTCCGAGTTGCCATAGAAGACCTAGAGAGATAGAGGAAATCCTGTCACCATCACATCGGGGAGGGAAAAGGAAGAAGGGTTCCTTTCTGGAGCTAGCCCCAACTTTTAACTATAGAAATGATTAGGAAGTAGTTAAAGCAGTTTGCGGGTGCCCCCCAAAATCTGACCTTGAGTGATTGTCATCACACCTACATGCTTGGGACATCTGGAACTGCACCATCCAATAGGGTGGCCACTAGCCAATATGTCTGTTTACACTTCAATTAATTAAAATTAGATAAAAATTCAGTTCCTCAGTCACATGAGCCACATTTCAAGTGGCCGCCATATTGGACAGTGCAGATGTGAACATTTCCATCACAGAAAGTTCTATTGGAGGGTGCTGCTAGAAAATGCCACTTGACTCATCGCTTTTGAGTTTTTATCCTTTGCATTTTGACATTTTGAAAAGGCCCACATCACACTTACATGTTCCAAAGGTATCCAAAGTAGGGCTCAAGTGAAAACCCGTGCTTGGCTCAGGAGTTGTAAGCCAAAACTTAAATGTGTATTCCTACTTTGATACAAGTGATGAGTACCTTTCCAACTTGGAAAATGTTTTTTTAAAAAGACATAAAAACTTGGCCAGGCGCAGTGGCTCACGCCTGTAATCCCAGCACTTTGGGAGGCGGAGGCGGGCGGATCGTTTGAGGTCAGGAGTTTGAGACCAGCCTGGCCAACACACAGTGAGACCCCGTCTCTACTAAAAATACAAAAAAATTAGCCAGGCGCAGTGGCAGGTGCCTGTAAATCCCAGCTACTCTGGAGGCGGAGGCAGGAGAATTACTTGAACCCGGGAGGCGGAGGTTACAGTGAGCTGAGATCACACCGTTGCACTCCAGCCTGGGCAACAGAGTGAGACTCCATCTCAAAACAAAACAAAAAGACATAAAAACTCGAAGGAAGATTCTGGAAAGGGGAGGGTGGTGCCAGAGTAAAGAGAAAGGGGGTTTGCTTAGTGTTTTTAAGGATGTAACATAAAAACATGCTGTGGGTGTTTGACGCCATTTCCAAAGAAATCATTCTTTGCCCTCTTACCAAAGTCATGGTGCTCTGCCTGATGCCACTAGGACATTTCATCTCCTTCTGGGATTATCTCCTGAAAATATCTGGCTGTTGCATTTGGCCCCATCCATCCACAAAACGGGAAGGGCCTGGTCTGCCATGTTCTTGCCTTTCTCCGCAGTGGCACCGCCCCACACCACCCTCTCTATTGCAGTTTGTCTTTGAGCCTATTCAAGTCAGGAGCCAGGTGAAGAGAGGGGAGGGTGGAACAGGCTCCACCAGATTGCACAAGTGCAGGGGTGAAGTGCCTCTTTGCAAAGAACCTTCAAGGCCTTCAGAAGCACAGGGCTTGAAAAACTTCTCATGTCTTTTGAAGAGGCCAGCTAATAAGAATAAAAATGAAATTAAATGTCCAAGTATCAAGATGGTTTTTCCTCTTGTGTTCAAACTCCTTGGAACAACCCATGAACGTCTTGGCCGTACAAATTGTCATCAGAGACTTACAAAGCCTTCTGAATCTCAGCTGTACATGTCTACTTAACCTGATTAAATGTTGAAATTAGCCTGGGGAACTCCTTACTCTTAGGCAAAAGGATGTTTACCATTTCCAAAGAGCTAGGGAGTTTTTAATTCATTTTTATTCATAGCAAATATATATATATATATATAGTCAGGAGTCTACTGCGTTTAGTCAATGGTGAAGAAGACTTCTGTCTCAATCCACAAAGATTAATAGGATGTAGAGTTGCCCAAAGGTTTAAGTTCGTCTGTGTTTGTGCTGGTGAAGTCCTTTTAACCATTTGGCTAATGGGTAACTTGCTAGGTTCTCAAAAGGCTCCCCTCTGTCAGTCTCAAACAATAGGAGAGGCCACATCTATATAAATGGATGATTCTCTACCCACATCAATAACATCAGACCATACCCGTGAAGCAAAGTGCATTCAATGATCCAGTGAGTTGAAATAGTCCAAATGGTCAGTCTTAAGAGTTCAGGCAACTGCATGCTGATATGGAAACTCAGACAAATTTTTTTTTTGAGCTTAAGAATAGCATTCATTTGCAAACAAACTGTGCTGGGCACCAAAGCAAGCCCAGGAAAGAGAGCACAGCACATTGTGGGGGAAAGCGCAGATGATCCACTGTGCTGTGGAGTCGGTGCTCTGACAGAGGGCAGTGACAGGAGCTCGGGGACAGGAGGGGAAGTCCCAGAGGGTGCGAGCTGAAGTTGGTTTGGGATAAGCCCAACTTACCCGGTTGTTTCCAGTCTGGTCCTTGTAGTAAATCCAGTTCAGGCGCTCATCGGTCCTGTACTGCACGCTGTACTTGGTCATCCACTCATCGATGTCACAGCGCCCCTGGGTGAGGATCCCTGAAATCACTTTGATCTCCTTCAGATCTATCTGTAACCACTGGCTACTGTCCTGGAACTTGGAGAGCCAGGCACACCTGCCGAGAACATACCGAGTCACCGAGAGACTCCCCCTGTGCATGTCTGCAAAAAGCCCGCAGGTGCTGGCTCTCGAGGGGATGCCAGCATCCAAAGAGCCCCCTGCCAAGCTCGGGCAGTCTGGGCTGCAGTCTGAGCCTTGTCTCCTAGGAATGGCCAGCTTCCGTTATACTTAACTTGCATCTCATTCTCCCTCTCCCTGCATCTCCACCTCCCAAGAAAAGATTTCCAGATTCGACTAATTTGTCAAAGAAATGCCTCAGAGTGTGGCTGAAATTGCCTTTGGGAGTGGTTGAACATGTCTGTCTGCAAAACACGCAGGTGCATGGCTGTTAGACCACCAGCCCCTGCCCTCTGCTTGAGACTCCCAGGGTGAACCTTTCTGCGCATTTCACTCTCTTCACACCTATTTGTGTTTCCCTCGGTTGGTGACATTCCTGCCTCGTGCAGAGCACTGACCCATGTGGATCTAGAAGGGCTTTGACAAGTGTCAAGCCAGATAACCGTTGAAGCAACTAAGTTGTTTTTTTAGCTACATTCCTCATAAATCGTGGAAACCTATAGTAGTTCCCCCCGCCACCTCCTTTTTTCCTTTTAGTGTGTATTTTAATTAGCTTTGTAGGACTTAAGCCCTGGGCCACCTTCTCTTCCTTTTCCAGACTTATTCCTTGGGTGGCTCCTGACTTTTCACTTCTATCCCACACCTTTTCTAAACCCCAAATCCAGAGAGTTCAGTTGCCAGCTAGAGGACTTCTGTATGCCTCTCAGCATCTCAGATGAAACACGTCCCAATGTGAGCCCCTAAGTGCCCCCACCCCACCCTGCTTTCAGACCCCACGTCTCTGAGTTAACCCCATCCTTGCATGTGTCCATGCCGGCCACCTGAGAACCATCCTGGGCCCCTCCTCTCCACCTCCAGTGCCCAATCTATCTATTGGCTCCATCTCCAAGTGCCTCAAATTCTTCTACTTCTGTCGGTCTCCACCGCCACCACTCTAGCCCGTGTCCCCCTCTTTCTTCCCACACCTCAACTACTCTCCCTGGATTGCTCTGGCCCCACAGGAACCAGAGAACTTTTCTTAAAACACAAATGTGCTTGCGATACTCTTCGACTTAAAATATTTATCCGGCAGAGTCTGCTAATTATCACCCGATACTCCCTTCCCATCCTCATTTGGTAATAGAACCCCTGAGTTTCATCTGGGCAAATGGCCATCTGGCTAAGATGGCATTTCCTAGTCTCCCTTGCAACTAGATGGGGCCCCCTAACCAAACTCTGGTCAATGGGATGTGGGCAGAAGTGGCCAATAGAATATGTTTGTGTTCTTAAAGGCAAGTCATGCGCACTCTGCTGCTCTTTTGTTTCTCCCCACTAACTAGACGGTGGATGTGATGGCAGAAGACAGAGACACCATTCTGGACCCCAAGATAGACGCTTCATGTTAAGGACGACAGAACAACAAGGTAGAGTCTGGGCCCCGCATGCCATCAAGCTGCCATAACGACCCTAGACTACTGAATGAAACTTTTTTTTTTCCTTTCTGAGACAGAGTCTTGCTCTGTCGCCCAGGCTGGTGTGCAGTGGCACACAATCTCGGCTCACTGCAACCTCCGCCTCCCAGGTTCAAGTGATTCTCCTGCCTCAGCCTCCTAAGTAGCTGGGATTATAGCCACCTGCCACCATGCCCGGCTAATTTTTGTATTTTTAGTAGAGATGAGGTTTCACCATGTTGGCTAAGCTGGTCTTGAACTCCTGACCTCAGGTAATCTGCCCCCCCTCGGCCTCCCAAAGTGCTAGGATTACAGGCGTAAGCCACTGTGCCTGGCTGATGAATGGAACTTTTAAGTGAGCAAGAAACACACTTCTACATTAAGTCACTGTACTTTGGTGCTCTTTGTTACAACAGCATGAACATGTATGCTAACTAATACGCACTCAGGGTCCTCCCATTATCCCTACAGTACGGACCACAGTCATTAACGTGGCTTCTAAGGTCCTGCACCATCTGACCTCCGCTTGCCTCTCCACCTTGTCTCACTTGTGCTTCAGGCTTGCTGCCCTGCTTATGTTCCCCATCCACACCCTGGAGGTATCATCCCGACTCAGGGCTTTTGCACCTGCTGTACCCCACGCCTCTTCCCCTCCCTCACCTGGCCAACTTCAAGCCACAGGTCAAATATGTTTTCCTTAGAAAGCCTTCCCTGGCTGCATGGATGAGGTCTTTCTTCCTTCATCTCTCCCCCAGCACTCATAAGTACATTCTGTGTCATTTGTTTATTAGAGAGGCCTATATTTTTTTTCATTTTTGAGACAGGGTCTCACTCTGTCGCCCAGGCTGTAGTGCAGTGGTGTGATCTCGGCTCACTGTAACCTCCGCTTCCCAGGTTCAAGCAATTCTCCTGCCTCAGCCTCCTGAGTAGCTGGGATTACAGGCACGTGCCACCACGCCAGTTAATTTTTTGTATTTTTAGTAGAGACGGGGTTTCACTGTGTTGGCCACGCTGGTAGAGAGGCCTATTTTTTTTTAAAAGCACATGAAAAAAAATCCCCGGGCCCTGCTTACCCAAAGCCTTGACTGTTGAGCCGGGCCTTGTTTGCAGTCCACGAAGAATACCAGCCCACATACTGCTCCGGGTTAGAGCAGGTGATCTGGTCCGGTGTGACCTCCCCTGACTCGAAACCCAGAGGCTTGTGATATGGGCATTCTGGGAAAGGAAAAAGAATTCACATTCACACATATCTCAATACTCAACAAGCACCAGGTGACTGAAATAACAAAACAAACCCATCTGCTTTGCGCTTCGGAGACGGAGAAGGCTTTACCTGTCTCTGTGGTTCACAATGGGTACAGCTGTGTCTTCAACGGTTCACTACTCACGCAAGAAAGGAATGAAGGATGAAGTAAAGGAATTGCCATAGAGACTCAACAGCCTTTGTAAAAGCAGAGGGAAGTGGCTCTATGGCAACTTCACAAGGGGTGTGTGGAATTTTGAGAAATACTTCACCTCCTCCACCAACTTAGAGATCTAAAAACCAAGAGGTGCACAGTGAAATACCATATTTAAATGCCATACATCTTTATTTCCCCCATTAACACAGATTTAGCCATCCTGCCTCATGACGTCAGGTCTCTTGTTGTCCTTGGGCAGCAGATCATGCCAATTATAGGGACAAAACCACAGTGAGACGCAAGAAGGGCGATGACATATTGAGATATAGAGAATGACTTCCTACTTGTAAATTGCAGTTTTCTCACCAGTCTAATGAAAAAAAAAATGGGTGAAATGTGCTTGGGGGACTGTTGAGTGAGAAACAGCTAAAAGGAACTGCTTTTTCCCAGTGGTAGTACCCAAAGGTGGTTCTTCTGTGTTGATTGTCTCCCCCTTCCTCTCGTCTGTATGTCCCCTCACAGTAAAAACGGTGTTGAGGCTGGGCACGGTGACTCATGCCTGTAATCCCAGCTACTCGGGAGGCTGAGGCAGGAGAATCGCTTGAACCCGGGAGGCAGAGGTTTCAGTGAGCCGAGGTGGTGCCTGCAGTGGCAGGCACAGTGTCGAGTTACCTGGTCAGAGGCTGCCAATTTTCAACCCAGTATTCATTCATTCTCCCCTTCTTCTCCTTTTTTTTTTCTTTTGAGACAGGGTCTCGCCCTGTCCTAGGCTGCAGTGCGGTGCTGCTATGTCAGCCCACTGCAACCTCTGCCTCCTGGGCTCAAGCGATCCTGCCACCTCAGCCTTCTGAGTAGCTGGGACCACAGGTGCACACCACCACACCCAGCTAATTTTTGTATTTTTTGTAGAGACAGGATTTTGCCATGTTCCCCAGGCTGGTCTTGAACTCCTGGGCTCAAGGGATCCACCTGCCTCGGCCTCCCAAGGCACTAGGGATTACAGGTGTGAGCCATCACACCCAGCCTCCCCTTCTTTTTGACTAAAGAGCTCTCCTTTTATTGGGAGCAGCAATGTAGCCAGCTGAATAAAGGGCCTTTCCCAGCCTCCTTTGCAGTTAGAAGTGCCCAGGTGACATAACTTCTGACCAGTGAGACATAAAGACTGCCTGCTGGGATTTCTGGTCAGGTTTTGCTTGCCCCTTCTTTTTTCCTGTTGCCTAGATCACATCTGATAGTTGGTGTGACAGTAACCATCTTGCACCATGTGGGTAAGGCCGAGAGAACTGCAGAGGCTGAGTGCAGTGGCTCATGCCTGTAATCCCAGTGCTTTGGGAGGATCACTTGAGCCCAGGAGTTCAAGACCAGCCTGGGGCAACATAGGGAGACCCCATCTCGTGGCTCACGTCTATAGTCCCAGCTACCGGGGAGGCTGAGGGAGGAGGATTGCTTGAGCCTAGGAGTCTGTGGCTGCAGTGAGCCATGATCACACCACTGCATTCCAGCCTGGGTGATAGACACTGTCTCAAAAAAAAAAAAAAAAAAGAAAACTACAGAGACCTTAGCCTTGATAACCTTAAGTATTATAACTCCCTACCCCTAATTTTTTTTACCATGTGAGTTAAAACTCCTAAATCAATAAGCCAGTATTTAGGGGGTCTTGTGCTTATAACCAAACCCAGTTCCTAACTGAATTTCTACAGAAAACAAATGGCAAATATATTTTCCTTTTTTGGTTAGAGACCTGGTCTCGCTGTGTCGCACAGGCTGGAGTGCTGTGGCGCAGTCATAGCTCTCTGCAACTCTAACTCCTGGGCTCAAGTGATCCTCCCACCTCATTCTCCTAGTTTTCTGATGATGAATGATAAACTGCAATTAAGGCAAATCATAGTATTTTCTCCAGAATTTTTCAAAAGCCAGTAAAGTTGAATGAAACATGCTTGCAGAGACGGCCATGCCCTGTCCCCAGAGGCTAAAAACAGGCCAGCTTCAGACCTCTGGCCGGGGAGGCTTAACTTCCTTTCTGCCCCAATGCACGAAAGGAATAGGCCTGATCTCACTAGTATCTGCAGCTCTGTGGGTCTGAGGGTGAGGGCACAGAATTTGTAGTTTATTGAGTACTCAAGTACTCAAGAATGCAGTTTCCAGGACTCCACCCCAGAGCAATTGCATTTTTAACAAGCCAACTTTTGAAAGTGCACCTTGAAAACCTTGGCCTGCCAGGGAAGACATTCTTTCTGTGGGCTGGGGATCCCGAGGACTGAGTGCCTGCGGACTCGAGGGCTCCTCCCCCACCCGCGACACCCCTCCAGCTGGGAAGACAAGCCCGAGCGATCAGGGGGAGGGGCACAAGGCCAGGTGGCAGGGATTTTTCATGGGCAAAATTCTAACCTTGGGTGTCTCTGAGGCCCCTCCACTTTGAGCATTTGATGACTGAACCTCCTTTTTGTTTTCCACCCCCACCCGCCGCCGCCGCCCCGCTCAGGGCTACTAGCTCTGAGAGAGTAGGCAGAGGGGAAGGGAAAAAGCCAGTGCCACCTCTCCCAGTCACCTTATTCTTGGCACTTTGCTCTTCTTCATCTGTTTCCCCTTCACATCTCTTTTGCCATTTCTTCCCAAATAGCTCATCTAACACTCCAGAGCGGTCTGTAGCCCTGCAGGGGTACCTGGCCAGGGCCAATGGCCTTGACAGCCTGGGAGGGCCTGTCCAGGCAGCAGAGAATGTGTGGCTCACTCTGCGATCTAAAGACCCGTGTGTCCAGACGTGGATGCTGTACTTACTCCCCAGGGAAGGTGACGCTCTCACTGTCACCTTGGCTTCAGCTGGTGTCTGGGAGCCGATGCCTGCCTCCCGGGCCCCAAGCTTCATTCCACTGCCCTCTGAATATTTTCCAGGAGAATACTTCTGCTGTGGTGACCCAAAGAAGCCTCACACTCCGTGCGTCCCAAACCGAGCCCTTCATCGTCCAATCTCCAGTCCTGCTCCCTATCCAGTACTCCAGGTCCGAGGCACTTCCATGTGCCCGACACTCCAGGTCCGAGGCACTGATGCTTTCAGCTGCCCAACCCAGCAATCCGGTAAGCAGAGACTCTAGACCGGTGGGGCTCAGCCTGGGCTGTACCTCGGAATTGCCCGAGGAGCTGTAGAAATGCAGATGTTCAGGCCACACCCCCAGGGATTCTGACATCATTGGCCTGGGCATGGGGACAAAGCTGCAGGTGATTGTAATGGGCAGTCAAGGTCAAGCAGGCCTGCGTCCAGCCAATGACACCTGGGGTAGGGGCCCACCCTCTCAGCGTGTGCGCAGGCCAGTTGCTTAACCTCTCTGGGTCTCAGTCTCCTCATCTGTGAAATGGGGGCATGATGTAGTACCTGTCTTCATAAAATTGCTGTAAGATTGAGTGAAACTATTTGGAGATTGTAGAGTTCGTAGAGCACAGCGTCTTGCCAAAAAGCAGCAGGTGCATGACATTGGTGGAGGTGAATTTGTGAGACTACGTTGATAACCTTCTTGAATTTTGCATGTTTTTCTGGCAAAGACTCAATAGGGAGGAAATCCATTGCCCCTCTATCCTACTCTGTTCTGTCCCCATTACCCTCCCCGTCCCCCCACCACCGCACCCCCCGCCACACCCTCCAGAGAATGAGGCCAGCTTCATGTGACTAATGAATGGTTTCGGCTGTCCTTGCCCCAGGCAGGAGCAAGTGTGTGTGTGTGTGTGTGTGTGTGTGTGTGTGTGTGTGTGTGTGAGAGAGAGAGAGAGAGAGAGAGACAGAGAGACACAGAGAGAGACAGAGAGGGATGTGAGAGAGAAACTTGTCGACAGCATCCCTTAAGCTTATGGACCTGGAAGATCTAGGCCTCACCAGGAATTAGCGCATTGCCCAAGAGAAGGAGGTCACAGCCCCAGCTAAAGTAGCAGGGATGTGGTGAGGGCCTGAGCGCAGCAGAGAGGGACCTGATTCCCCTGAGGGGCTGGACTGGGATGGGCTTGGGAGCCCTAAGCTCTGGGCACGCTCAGAAAACTTGGGAAGGTCCCTCGGACTGAGTATGGCTCAGAGGGAGAGGAGCCACCCATGAGACGTCTGCCTTCCAATGGGGCTGTGGCCAGCCTGCCCTCGCAAGCTCGTGGGGGGTTCATGTAGTCTAAATAGGGAGAAAAGACCTTCAAAAATCCTGTCTGCACACTCCTCACAGGCCATTACAATGGGGCACTCCGGCTGGATTTCTTCTAACGTGGAAAAATAGAAAATGTGACATTTCCCACACTGTGTGTGTCCTGAAGAAGAGCACACTCCAGTTCTCTTATTGTGATTTTTCCTGACTTCTTCTTCCCCTTTCCTCTTCCTTCTGTGGGCCTGGTTGAGCTCTTTTCAGGTCCACATGTGGCCTGCAGCCCTTCCCTGAGGCCATCCCCTCCCGTCCACACCCCTCCGCCTGGCCCCCCATGCCTCAGCCTTCAGATCTCTGCCCGCCCTGAGCTGGCTGAGGGGCCCCAGGTGCTACCTCCCCAGCACCCTTCACACCTGTCACGCACCCCTCCTCCTCAGGCATACTTCACTGCCATCTCCCCTCGCCTGCCTCCCTCCCCATTCTCCCCCTAGCTGAGCAGAATGCCCACAGGTGCTGGGCACTCTCTAGGTATTGACTGGACAGATGGATGGAGAGATGAATGAACACACACCATCGCCCCATCTTGGGTGGCCACTGGGGACAAGCATAGGAAATGGCATTTCGAAACAGGCAGCAGAGGCCTCAGGGAAGAAGTAGACACTGACTGCGACCTCTGGCCTAATCAAAAGAAACCATAAATTGAGTAGATGCTAGAAGGCAACATAAATAGTGTTGTGAAAGAATTAAGGGGATCCAAGGCTGGGTGCAGTGGCTCACGCCTGTAATCCCAGCACTTTGGGAGGCCGAGGCGGGAGGATCACTTGAGGTCAGGAGTTCGAGACCAGCCTGGCCAACACGGTGAAACCCCATCTCTACTAAAAATACAAAAATTAGCCGAGCGCAGTGGTTGGCACCTGTAATCCCAGCTACTTGGGAGGCTGAAACAGGAGAATCGCTTGAACCCAGGAGGCAGAGCTTGCAGTGAGCCAAGATCGTGCCACTGCACTCCAGCTTGGGCAACAGAGCCAGACTACATTTCAAAAAAAAAAACTAAGGGGATCCTTATCAGACACACACAGAATATGACCTTCCCAAGTTTTCCACCCAGTGTCACTTTGCTGTTGCAGCTATTAGACCTGTTTCTATACTCATTTCACCCTTAGGGAAAAGCCTACATCTTCTGTGGCTCAAATGGCTCTTCTGAGCCATGATGTGATCATGAGATAGATAAAGGCATATTTGCAATATGTTACCAGCCCAAGGCTGTGTATATTTCATATTCTAGCCTTTTTACTTTAGTGGCTACTTTCTGAGTTTGTAGGCAGGCTTATAAAGAATGCAGATCTAAAGAAACACAGAATTCAGGGACTTTCTTAACACAAGATTCCAGACAGATGTGAATAGTGTTATGCATAGATATTAGACTTGAATATATGTGACAATATAGTAGAGTACAGAAGAAAATATGTAGAATAATATTTCTGGAAGAATGGATCATAAGCTCAAGCATCATATAGAATAGAAAATCTAGAATCAAAAGGAACCATTAGCAAACCAGTAGATTTCTTATACTTTTGATAATTTCCCTACCCTATTTTTTGCTCTCAGAGTGCCGGGGTAATCTTGGCTCAACGGTGGAAGAGACAGAGCTTTTAGTATTTTTAATAGCATTAAAGTGAAGATTAGGAGGCCAGAATGCATGTGGCCTTCTGCTCCGTGGGGGGCCCGGGCATTAGCCAGAGTGCACCTGCTAGCGCTCCTGGCAGCTCTGAGTGACCCCGCTGTCCTTCTGTGCTTTCCAGGGTTCTCTTTCTTCGTGAGACACGTTATGAGGGAAGCCCTGATTCACAGGGCCCAGGTAAACCAAGCTGCGCTCCTGACATACCATGAGAATGCGGCACTGACGGGCAAGTGACTTCTGCAAGCCTGCGGCTGGTCCCAATGCCCTGAATCACCTCTCTCATGGAAGAACCAATTAACACCAATGAATCAACCATTAACGCTGAGGTTGAGTTTTCCTTTCTGAAAATATCTGTGTTGTTAAGATCAAAAACCAGGGCCAGGTGCAGTGGCTCACGCCTGTAATCCCAGCACTTTGGGAGGCCGAGCAGGTGCATTGCCTGAGCTCAGGAGTTCGAGACCAGCCTGGGCAACACGGTGAAACCCCGTCTCTACTAAAATACAAAAAATTAGCTGGGCGTGGTGGTGTGCACCTGTAGTCCCAGCTACTCGGGAGGCTGAGGCAGGAGAATTGTTTGAACCTGGGAGGTGGGGGTTGCAGTGAGCCGAGATCACGCTACTGTACTCCAGCCTGGGAGACAGAGTGAGATTCCGTCTCAAAAAAAAAATAAAAAAATAAAAAAAGAACAAAACCCAAAAAATAGTGGAGAGAGGAGAACACTTAAGCTAAAAGAATTTCTAATTTTAGAACTTCAAGCTCATGACAGCTGTGTAGGGGAGACAGCTTTGGGGACCAGGGTCAATATCACATCCCTCAAACACATGACTCTTCTCTCTCTCTTTTTTTTTTTTTTTTGGTGGGGGGGACAGGGTCTCTGGCTGTTGCCCAGGCTGGAGTGCAGTGATACGACTATGGCTCACTGCAGCCTCAACCTCCAGGGCTCAAGCGATCTTCCCACCTTGGCCTCCCGAGTAGCTGGGACTGCAGGCATATGCCACCGTGCCCCCCCCATCTAGAGATGGGGTTTCGTCATGTTGCCCAGGCTGCACATGGCCCTTTCTTGAAGTATCAAACTAGATTGGGTCGATGAAGCCAATCCACATAAACAATGTCTTTTCAATTTCTTCTTAGACAGAACTTACTTGGAATGGAATTCCAGGAGGTCTCATGTCTCTAGTGAAAAGAACATTCGTTACCACTGAATGGTAAATTTCTCTAAGGTGGAGACAATGCCTTCATTTCTGTCTCCTTGTCAGTGCCTGACACATCATAGGCACATGTTGAAAGATGGGTGAATTGAGTTATAAATGGATTATTAATGAGGGTGCGTCAGTATTGACTGAGCCAATCATACCAACATTTAATGGCTGCGTGAGCTCATGCCATGGAGCCTGAGGGGATGTCTGATAGGAAAAGCCCACCGGTTTCCTCACGATTGGGACCCCATAGTTCCCTTGGAAAACAAACTTAGTTCAGAAATGACTTCCCCTTCAGAAAATAGGAAAATCACGCAGTAGAAACCATTGTACCCTACCCTCCCACACACACATTGCAATTTGCTTTTTTAATGCATATTTAATGAAATAATGAAAAGAGCCTCACACACAGACACACAAACCTGTCTCTTGTGAAGCTATTATTAGGCAATTGTGTAAAGTAAATGAAGTGGCACAATACCATCATAACCCTGGAGAGGCAGCAAGGCCGGTTTCATGCAAAACAAGCTCTGAGCATGGAAAGGATTTAAGCATTGCAAATATTTGCAGCGACTGCCCAAGCCTCTGAAAATTGGATCTGCTCCCTCCCTCCTCAGTGTGTGAGCTCTTAGGAGGCTGGTAGGAAAGAAACCAACCTTTATTCAACAGTGTGCTAGTACCCCACAGGCTGCTTTAATGCCTCATCTTATTTATTCCTTGTTGACAACCCCGTAGAGCAGAGGTCAACAAACTATGACCCATGGGCCACATCTGGCCCTCTGCTTGTTTTGTAAATAAAGTTTTATTGGAACCCAGCCATGCTTGAGCATTTACATATTGTTTATGGCTGCTTTCCAAGACAAGAGCAGAATGGACTAGTTGTGACAGATTATTTGGTCCACAAAGCCACAAATATTTCCTCTCTCCTCCTTTACAAAGTTTGCTGGCCCCTGTCTTAGACACAGGCTAAATCAGCTGCAGAACAAATTGGCCTGGAAATTTCAGAGGCTCCACAAAACACAGGTTTATTTTTCACTCAGGCAACTGGTCTACCGTGGGTAGGCAGGGAGTTCTGCTCCACGTGATCAGCCTGAGACCAGGTTGCAGAAAAAGCCACTATCTCAACAGGTGGCTTCACAGCAGGAAAGGGAGAGCTGAAGAGTTGAGTGCCAGCCCTTCAGTGCCATTTTCAAAGTGGCCTGCTCACCTTGGCTGTAGCTGTTTGGATGGCACCACCTGATTAATTACAAGGGGGCTGGGCAATGGGAGGGAAGCACATGGCTGTTTGGTGAGCAAGCAGTATCCAGGCATGGTGCTATCATCACCTCCATTGGACAGACAAGGAAAAAAGTGGCAGTCCCAGAGTTCAGATGTGACACAGCCAGGATTCCAGCCCTCATCTTCCTGGCTCTAGAGCCTGTGCTCTTTTCAAAATTCCAGGCTGCCTAGCATTAATTTCTTTTCTTTTCTTTTCTTTTCCTTTTTTTTTTTTTTTTTTTTTTTTGAGACAGCCTCTCGCTCTGTCACCCAGGCCAGAGTGCAGTGGTACGATCACTGCTTGCTGCAACTCCGCCTCCCGGGTTCAAGCAATCCTCCCACCTCAGCCTCCTGAATAGCTGGGACCACAGGTGCAAGCCACCACACCCGGATAATTTTTGTATTCTTAGTAAAGACAAGGTTTCACCATGTTGCCCAGGAGAGTCTCAAACTCCTGAGCTCAAGCAGTCCACCCGCCTCAGTCTCCCAAAGTGCTGGGATTACAGGCGTGGGCCACTGTGCCCGTCCTCCCATTAATTTATTTTCAATCAGTCTCATTCATCGATTTCATTGAAAGTTAGATCCCATCGTACTATCCCAGCCTGGAGACATGGAGATCTAGGGAGCTGTTTCTGAACACTGACATCACGCCATGTGTTGAAGCAGGGGCCATTGTGAGATTCGAAGCTCAGAGGCCAACTGGAGAAAACCCGCATTAACATAGGCTTACTAATAGTAATAAATAGTAATAAATACACACAGCTACCACTCATCTTTCATTCTAAAGATGGGGGTAGCGTTCAGGGGGTTAATTCAGCTGAGTGGGAAAAAGGAAGAGAAATGGGGTGTTCCCAATGACTGTTCCATCCCAAGGACAGGGGATACTCACCTGGTATACAGTCCAAGGAGGTGGCACCTGCAGACCACAGAGCATTGGGTCCTCCTTGGCAATCGCACTTGCATGCTTTTTGGTACCAGGGGTCCTCGCCTTCATCCTGCAGCCAACCAGAGAGGCAGGGCAGAAAAGTCACGGTCAAAGGCAACTGTGGTTGCCCCCACGGAGTGATCACACTCAGTCCTTATGCATCGTCTATAGCAGCTTTGCTACAATGGCCAAATTGAGCTATTAATCCAGCCTCAATACACACAGCTACCACTCATCTTCCATTCTAAATAAGTAAAATGTCTGCCACCCTGGGCGACCAACTAATAATCTCACAGATACACCCATCTAGAGGGCACCGTTCACCCCATTATAGTTATCTTCAGGAGTGTGGGGAGCCCCAATCCAAGTTTAGACTCTTCACATCCCCTGGAAGTTCCTATGGGGAGATAGATTCAAGATTGTGCCATCTGATTGAAGACCTGTTTTACTTGCATTCTCTCATTCAAACACCAATCGTGGAGCTTGCCTAGGTCAAATGTGCTACAGTCACCATCACCAAAAAAAATACTTTTTTTTTTTTTTTTTTTTTGAGACAGAGTCTCGCTTTGTCACCCAGGCTGGAGTGCAGTGGTGTGATCTCAGCTCACTGCAGCCTCTGCCTCCTGGGTTCAAGCGATTCTCTTGCCTCAGCCTCCCAAGTAGCTAGGATTACAGGTATGCACCACTATACCTGGCTAATTTTTGTATTTTTAAAGTGGAGACAGGGTTTCACCATGTTGGCGAGGCTGGTCTCGAACTCCTGACCTCAAGTGATCTGCTTGCCTCGGCCTCCCAAAGTGTTGGGATTACAGGCATGAGCCACCATGCCCAGCCAAAATATATTTCAAAATACATTTAAAAACAAAGTGATAGTCCTCTATGTTATTTTTGGCTAGGAAAATTTTCAAAAGTACTATGCATGTACATTACAGCCTTCTTACTGTTACATACCTCGGTAGACGATAATCCCAATGTGGCTAAAGCAAAAGGATGAGACAGAAAAAATCTAATTAATGAAAGAGAAATCCAACAGCATCACTCGTTACATGGAAAAGTGAAATAGAAATAGTCACATGAAAGCTACCAACACCCCTTCTGGAAGAAGTCATGGTGAGTAAATATCTGCCAGGAAAAACATCCGCAGATGCTAAGAAGCTAGGGACAGTAAAATTAAACAGAAAGAACAAGATCATCATTATAGGGCCGGTGCAGCGGCTCACACCTGTAATCCCAGCACTTTGGGAGGCCGAGGCGGGCCTAACACTTAGGCCAGGAGTTCGAGACCAGTCTGGGCACTATGACAAAACCCCGCCTCTACAAAAAATACAAAAATTAGCTGGGCATGGTGGCACGCGCCTGTAATCCCAGCTACTCAGGAGGCTGAGGCAGGAGAATCGTTTGAACCTGGGAGGCGGAGGTTGCAGTGAGCCAAGATCGCTCCACTGCACTCCAGCCTGGGCGACAGAGTAAGACTCTGTCTCAAAAACAAACCAAAAAAAGATAATCATTATTTTTGTTCGTTATAGAATTTTGGAAACTACATTAATGTAGCAAAGTGGACAGGGCAGGGAGAGGAAAACACCTGTATTTTTTACCACCAAAGCCAACACTGTTAACATTTTAGTATAAATATTTCCCGTCATTTCCTGTCATTTTTCTATGTGTATTTTTAAATATATTTGAGAACTTGCTATCTAAACAGTGTTGTATCCTGCTTTCCCTTTCATTTAACCCTAGCAGTGTGAAGTTTTTCTGTGTTTTTTTTCTTTCTTTCTTTCTTTTTTGAGATGGAGTTTCACTCTTGTTGCCCAGGCTGGAGTACAATGGCGCGATCTCGGCTCACTGCAACCTCCGCCTCCTGGGTTCAAGCAGTTCTCCTGCCTCAGCCTCCCAAGTAGCTGGGATTACAGGTGCATACCACCACACCTGGCTAATTTTTTGTATTTTTAGTAGAGACAGGGTTTTGCTATGTTGGCCAGGCTGGTCTCGAACTCCTGACCTCAGGTGATACTCCTGCCTTGGCCTCCCAAAGTGCTGGGGTTACAGGCATGAGCCACCATGCCCGGCCCAAGGTTTCTCTTTTATTAAATCTTCATCATCATCATCATCATCATCATCATCATCATCATCCCTTGTGTCTGCCCAATGTGCTATTCAGGAGTTGATTCCCAGTTCCCTCACTGTGCCACA
The DNA here is from genome assembly GCF_000001405.40 of Homo sapiens. NCBI lineage: Eukaryota > Metazoa > Chordata > Mammalia > Primates > Hominidae > Homo > Homo sapiens. Next base: position 18,658,879 of record NC_000023.11, read on the forward strand.
ATTAGATGATTTAAGATTAAGACATTGTTTAGAAATTATTTTATAGGTTTGTCTATAATGTACAGGAAATATCAAACCACAATCAAAGTATAAGTACCATATACATAATGTGGGAAAATTGAAAGTGTGCAAAATTTAACATAAAACTGACATATAAGCTCTCTTTATAGAAGCATGAATAAAGAGAATGAATTCACACTTTAGCAGGTAAAGAGTTTGCATATATTAGCAGAAACTGATGGTTTAAAGCTTCACAGTCCAATGTAGTCATGACTAGTCCCATGTGGTATTGGAATTTAAATTAATTAAAATTGGCCGGGCGGGGTAGCTCATGCCTGTAATCCTAGCACTTTGGGAAGCTGAGACAGGCCGATCACTTGAGGTCAGGAGTTCGAGACCAGCCTGGCCAGCATGCTGAAACCCTGTCTCTACTAAAAATACAAAAATCAGCTGGGCTTTGTGGCAGGCACCTGTAATCCCAGCCACCTGGGAGGCTGAGGCAGGAGAATCACTTGAAACCCGGGTTGCAGTGAGCCGATATTGCACCACTGCACTCCAGTCTGGGCAACAGAGTGAGACTCTGTCTCAAAAAATAAAATAAATTAATTAAAATTATCAAAATAAAAAGTTCAATTCTTCAGTCAAGCCAGCCACATTTCAAGTGCTTCAGAGCCACATGAAACTAGTGGCTACCGTACTGGCTAAGAAGATACAGAACGTTTCTATCATCGCAGAAGGTTGCATTGGACACTGCTGGTTTAAAGCACTGATGGGGTGCAGGAAACGCTACCATCAAATATGGCACCTGGACACACAAGGAAACTGAGAAAACTGCAGAAGCAGGAAGGTCTCTCTGACCTGCTCCTGCCCCCTCCCTCCTGAAGCTGGCCATAGAAACAAAAACAGCCCTTGACCCTTTCTCTCCTGAAATGGGCCATCGAATTCCTTTCACCTCTTCTTCCCTGAAGCAGGCCATCAAACCTAGGAAGGTCAGTCTAATCTTCTCCCCTGAAGACCCTCATGTGACAGGTGTCCTGCCCTATACCCGGAGGGAAGGAATATCACACAGGGGCACCAACACGAATCTGAACAAACAGGCCTTGTTATGCTTTTCTCATTTATTACCATTAGATCATACCCTTTGATCCTCCAATCATATTTCCACACAACTGTCCACAAAAATGCACAGGTCTTCCTGTTTCGTTGGGTCTTCATCTCTGAAAGCTCCTGTGCCATGTAAAACTTATTAAATAAGTATGGATGGTTTTCCCTCATTAATCTGTCTTTTGTCGTAGGGATCTCAGCCATGAACCTTGAGATAAGTGAGGAAAAGTGCTTACTTTTTCTCCCCTACACCACCAAAACTCCATTTCCCAGACTTGTTTTTTTTTTTTTCTTTTGAGACTGGCTCACTGCAACCTCTGCCTTCCGGGTTCAAGCGATTCTCCTGCCTCAGCCTCCCGAGTAGCTGGGATTACAGCCACCATGCCTGGCTAATGTTTGTATTTTTAGTAGAGACTGGGTTTTGCCATATTGCTCAGGCTGGTTTTGAACTCCTGACCTTAGGTGATCCACCTGCCTTGTCCTCCCAAAGTGCTGGGATTACAGGTGTGAGCCACCACACCCGGCCTTCCCAGACATTTTGAACAAAACAAATACCTTTCTTTCTTTTCTGATGATAAAAAAATTTCCGACTAAACCTGAGTGTAAAAAATGGAAATAAAAGTCCCTCCTTTAACCACTTTGCTATTTAAAAAGTGAATCTGATGCTCACAAAAAGCTTTTAGAAACCACACAAAGCCTTTATCATCACAATTATAAAAGCTTGAATTTCAATAATACACATTTCCCTGTTCTGCAACCACTTTTTTTGTGTCCACTGTAGGCTTGGCGCTATACTAGGACTGGGCCTTCTGAAATGGAAGCCTCACTCTCTGCTCACAAGGGGCTTGAGGACCCAGGAGAAGACAGGCCACTGGACCATGCCCATGGTGAGTACTTCGATGGGCTATGCAGGGGCTGCAGTGGGAGTGAAGCGCACATGTCTCTTAGCCTAGGAAGATTCAGGGCCACCCTCACCTGCAGCCACCACACTGCTGTCTCTCCTGGGCCCTTGTTCCACTGGTTACTCACCCGCTATGGGCAGAATTGACCTTCTCAAGTAGCAATGAAGGTTAGGGAGCGCCATCTTTGTAGCAGGCCACCAGAGTCCCTGCTATGATGTGAATGTTAGTGTCCCCCCAAAATTCATATGTTGAAACCCAGTCACCAATGTGGTAGTAGTAAGATGTGGGGCCTTTGGGAGGTGATTAGGCTTTGCCCTCATACATGGGATTAGTATCTGTGTAAAAGAGACTCCAGGGAGCTAGTGAAACAGGAAAGGTCCCCTTGTCCCCATCTCAGGGCATGCAAGGGAGGTGTGGTTCGCTTCTTCAGTGCCCCGCTGCTCAAACCTCTGGGGGAGCATACAGACGGGCAGGCTGTGGGGCTCCAAACCCACGGCAGTGTCTAGGGGCGAATGTTTACAGCTGAGGCCCCAGCAGGCGTGTGTTACAGAGTGCTCTTTTAGTTTGCCGTCTGTAGGCGGCTTGTGTTAGTCAGCCCCATTAGACTCGTCTCCCTGCCTTCTCACAGGGACAGAAAGCTTTCTGTATCTCAGGGTTCTTGCCTTGGGGTATCGGAAGAATCAGATCACACGTGGGCTTGCAGAATGAGTGCAAGGTTTTATTGAGTGGAAGGAGCTCTCAGCAGATAGGGGAGCCAGAAGGGAGATGCTTTTCTCCTGGAGTCGGGCTTGGTAGGTGGCCCCACTCTTCTCCGACAGCCTGGCCAAACTCCACCTCGTTCCGCCGGTTGATGGCCTGGGGCTGCCGGCGTCTATCGTGCGCTCTTCCGCCGGCGCACTCCTCTCAACGCCTTCTGCACGTCCAGCCACTTGTGTCTTCTTCCGCCAATGTGCTCCTCTCGACATCTAGCCGCTTGTGTGTCTGCCTGCTAGGGTCTTGGAGTTTTGATAGGCACAGGATGGGGGCGTGGTGGGCCAGGGTGGTCTTGGGAAATGCAGCATTTGGGCACGAAGGCAGGAGTGCCTGTCCTCACCTAGGTCCGTGGGCACAGGCCTGGGGGTGGAGCCCGAGGCAGGGACCACGCGCTGCCCCCCTCCAGTATCACTAGCTTGCCCCTTCCGCCATGGGAGGGCACAGCAAGAAGGTGCCAGGGATGAAGCAGGAAGCAGGCTCTCACCAGACCCAAATCTGCTGGCACCTTGATCGTGGACTTCCCAGCCTCCAGTATTGTACGAAATAAATTTCTGTGGTTTATAAGCCACCTAGTTTATGGTATTTTATTATAGCTTCTCAAACAGACAAAGACAGTCCCTCAATGTCAGACTCTGTGCTGGCTGAGGAAGTTAACAACGACTTTTTAAAAAAATTATTATTATACTTTAAGTTCTAGGGTACATGTGCACAACGTGCAGGCTTGTTGCATATGTATACATGTGCCATGTTGGTGTGCTGCACCTGTTAACGCGTCATTTACATTAGGTATATCTCCTAATGCTATCCCTCCCCGCTCCCCCACCCCACGACAGGCCCCAGTGTGTGATGTTCCTCGCTCTGTCTCCAAGTGTTTTCATTGTTCAGTTCCCACCTATGAGTGAGAACATGCGGTGTTTGGTTTTCTGTCCTTGCGATAGTTTGCTCAGAATGATGGTTTCCAGCTTCATCCATGTCCCTACATGAACTCATCCTTTTTTTTTTTTTTTTGAGATGGAGTCTCGCTCTGTCGCCCAGGCTGGAGTGCAGTGGCGCGATCTTGGCTCACTGCAAGCTCCGCCTCCCGGGTTCACACCATTCTCCTGCCTCAGCCTCTTAAGTAGCTGGGACTACAGGCGCCCGCCACCACACCCGGCTAATTTTTTGTATTTTTAGTAGAGACGGGGTTTCACTGTGTTAGCCAGGATGGTCTCGATCTCCTGACCTCATGATCCGCCCACCTCGGCCTCCCAAAGTGCTAGGATTACAGGCGTGAGCCACTGCACCCGACCTCATCCTTTTTAATAGCTGCATAGTATTCCATGGTGTATATGTGCCACATTTTCTTAATCCAGTCTATCACTGATGGACGTTTGGGTTGGTTCCAAGAACAATGACTTTTTTTTTTTTTTTTTTTTTTTTTGAGACGGAGTTTCACTCGTTGCCCAGGCTGGAGTGCAATGGCGCAATCTCGGCTCACAACAACTTCGGCCTCCTGGGTTCAAGCGATTCTCCTGCCTCAGCTTCCTGAGTAACTGGGATTACCGGCATGCGCCACCATGCCTGGCTAATTTTGTATTTTTAGTAGAGATGGGGTTTCACCATGTTGGTCAGGCTGGTCTGGAACTCTCGACCTCAGGTGATCCACCTGCCTTGGCCTCCCAAAGTGCTGGGATTACAGGCGTGAGCCACTGTGCCTGGCTTTTTTTTTTTTTTTTTTTTTTTTTGAGACAGGGTCTTACTCTTGTCGCCCAGGCTGGAGTACAGTGGCAGTCATAGCTCACTGCAGCCTTGAACTCCAGGGCTCAAGCCATCCTCTCACCTCAGCCTCCCATGGTAGCTGGGACTACAAGCCCGTGCCACCACACCCAATATTTTTAAACCTATTTTTATAGAGATGGAGGTCTCACTATGTTGCCCAGGCTGGTCTTGAGCTCCTGGGCTCAAGCAATCCTCTGGCCTTGGCCTCCTGAAGTGCTGGGATTACAGTCGTGAGCCACTGCACCCAGCCAACTTCTTATTTTCAAATCCAATGGACTCTTCCCAACACTGACCTTCCATCTTCACACCGCAATGTTGGGTGCTGTCAGTCCCATCTTCCTTTAGCTTCCACCACTCTAGGTACACCTTCTCAGTCTCCTTTGAGAGCTCTGCTTCCTCCACCCACCCAGTAAACATTGCTAAATCCAAGGTTCAGATATCCAGTAAGCACTGAATGGCCTACAGGATATCTTCCCGTAGATGTCTCTTGCTAGCTCAAAGTGGACCAACCTAGTGTTGACAAGGCTGTGGAGAAACCTGAACTGTGTCATATGTTGCTGGTGGGGGTGCAAGGTGGTCTAACCTCTTTGGAAAACTATTTGGCAATTTATACAAAGGCTGAACATATATGCGCCCTATGACCCAGCAATTCCACTCCTAAGTAGCTACCCACCAGATATGCATACATATATACTCCAAAACCAAAAACATGTGCTAGATGATCCATAGCGGCAGTATTTGTAATACCCCCAAACTGGAAATGCTCATATGTCCATCAAAAGCAGAGCATCTACATCGGGGTATGTTTACACAATGGAACACTATACTGCAATGCAAATAGATAGTCTAGAACTACATGCCACAGGGTGGATGCATCTCATGATGCTGAGTGAGAAGTCCAATGCTGAAGCAGATACACCACATGGATCCATTAAAAAACGTACAAAAGGGGCCGGGCGCGGTGGCTCACGCCTGTAATCCCAGCACTTTGGGAGGCCGAGGCAGGCAGATCACCTGAGGTCAGGAGTTCAAGACCAGCCTGGCCAACATGGTGAAACCCTGGCTCTACTAAAGATACAAAAATTAGCCGGCCATGGTGGTGCACACCTGTAGTCCCAGCTACTCAGGAGGCTGAGGCGGGATAATCACTTGAGCTGGGGAGGCGGAGGTTGCAGTGAGTCAAGATCACGCCACTGTACTCCCAGCCTGGGCAACAGAGTAAGACTCCATCTCAAAAACAACAACAACAAACTCATCTGCTTCCTCAGACTGTTCTCCTTTCTCTAGTTCTTTATTATTATTGTTGTTATTATTAGTAGTATTATTATTATTATTTTGAGACAGGTTCTTGCTCTGTCACCCACACTGGAGTGCAGTGGTGCTATCTCACCTCACTGCAGCCTCGACCTCCTGGGCTCAAGCAGTCTTCCCACCTCAGCCTCCTGAGTAGCTGGGACTACAGGCCTGCGCTGCCACGCTCAGCTAATTGTGTTAATTTTTTTGTAGAGACGGGGTCTATGCTATGTTACCCAGGCTGGTCTCAAATTCCTGGGCTCAAGGGATCCTCCCACCTCGCCCTCCCAAAGTGCTGAGATTACAGGCGTGAGCCCCTGCACCTGGCCTCTTTTCTCTATTTCTTATCTCCTGAGTGGCTTCGCCATCCATCTACCACCCCATCCAGAAGGCTCCTCCAAGCCTCCTCTTTTTCCTAAATCCCTACCATCCTATGGCCACCAGGGGCTTTCTCTCCTCTCCATCCCACTGCCTGCTTTGAGGCCCCACCCTCTCTCCCAGGTACTCTACCTGCTAAAGAGAGACTTGTCTCTTTCATCCTCCACGCTGCTGAGGCAGTGAGGTGCAAACCTGATGCCGCCACTCTCCTGCGCAAAACGCTTTGGCGGGTCCCTGTTGCCAGGGGCTGAGTCCCACCTCTGAGATGTATTATGATCTCTCCATTTCCACACCCCTATGATGCATATAATAATAAAGTGTCCTTCAAGGGGTCATGGAGATAGATCTACCTCCTGCCCACCTCTCGGGATTTATGTTTCTCACTCTGTACTGCTCGCCAAGCCACAAATGTGCCAGACTGTCTCTTGCCTCCGTCCATAGAATTTCTTTGCCTCAAATGCGTCCCCCCACCCCTACTTCTCCGCCTGCTCAGCCCATTCCCTATAAAGAGGACGTTTCCTGGCCGGACGCAGTGGCTCATGGCTGTAATTCTAACACTTTGGGAGGCTGAGGTGGGAGGACCCCTTGAGCTCAGAAGTTTGAGACCAGCCTGGGCAGCATGGCGAGACCCTGTCTCTGCTAAAAATAAATAAACAAACAAATAAATAAATAAAAATTAGCCAGGTGTGGTGGCACACACCTGTGATCCGAGCTACTTGGAAGACTGAGGTGGGAGGATCATGAGAGTTGGAGGCTGCAGTGAGGTATGATTGCATCACTGCACCTCAGTCTGGGTGACAGAGTGAGACCCTGTCTCAAAAAAAAAAAAAAAAAAAAAAAAGAGGGTTTTTCCTGTCCCTCAGCTCACCATTTGCTCTGGCCTTTTCAGTCCACCTTTTTCTTGCCCACAGATTATAGAAACCCATACAAAAAATGACTGATAATGACTCACCTCAAAGCATTCATTCATTCAACTAATATTCATTGAGCATCTACTACATTCCAGTCCCAGCTTTAGGTGCTGGGGATAGAGTAGCAAACAAAACAGGAAAAGCACTTGCCATCATAAAGCTCATAGGCTAGTGTGTGTGTTGGGTGGGAGTGGGTGGGGAGAATACATTAATGAACTAATGAAGAAAGAGAATAGATAGTATGGAAAATTACGGTGACTGCTGTGGAGAAAACACAAGGAAGTAGGGAACAGGGACTGGTCCTTTTGGGCTTAGGGAAGCCCTCACTGAGAAGGTGATGTTGGAGCAAAGATTCGAAGGAGGCGAGACACCTGTGGGCAAAGCATTCTGGGCAGAGGGAACAGCATGTGCCAAGCCCTCGAGGTGAGCGTGTGCTTGGCGTGTTCCAGGAAGAGCAAGGAGCTCCTGAGGCTGGAGCTAGAGGAGAGAGAGTCTTAGGAGATGACGAGGTTGGGGGTGTCCGGGAGCCAGTTCCTGCAGGGCCTCGTGGGCCATGTGAGGCTTTGTGGAACTTGAGGATAGACGAGGACATTACTGACCACAGTTTCAAAGGCTCCCTCTGGTACAATGTTGTGGACCGGGCTGGCCACGGCAAGTGTGGCAACAGGGTCCGGTTCCGAGGTGAGTGCAGTCATCCGAGGGAGAGAAGATGCTGGCTTGGCCCAGGGTGGTGGCAGTGGAAGTGTTAAGTGGCTGGATTCTGACTACACTGGGGAAGTAGTGCCCACAGGATCTGCGGGCAGATTACGCGTGGCAGGGGTGGGGGTGTGAAAGAAACGGAAGTCTGAGGCTGGGGCAACTGGGAGGATAGAGCTGCCATTTGCGGGGCGGGCGGAAGGGGAAGAAGGTTTCAGCGAAGACAAGGGATTTGGGGAGGATGGGGAGGAGGATGATCTGTTTGGGACATAATGAATTTGAGACGCCTAGGGGACACCCCAGTGTTGAAATCGAGCTGGCAGCCAGACAGATGCTTCTGGAACTCAAGGGGGAGCCCAGACAGGCTGGATGGTGCCCTGTGCTCTGCGGAGTTAACGACTACATGAACTCCTAACCTCAGGCCTGTAGCTGTTCATCAAGAGATGCAAAGGAAATCAGCAATTAGGGTCTAGTTGGCTGGGGGCTGCTAGTCCAGGAGATGCTCTGTCCCATCCCCACCCTCAAGAGAAGCTGGGACTGGCTGTGAGGCAGTTTCTGAAGGGCCCTGTCAGTTAGGTCAACATCAATTGTGCCAGGCCCGTGGCTCACGCCTGTAATCCCAGCACTTTGGGAGACCGAGGCGGGCAAACCACTTGAGGTCAGGAGTTCCAGACCAGCCTGGCCAAGGTGGTGAAACCCTGTCTCTACAAAAAACACAAAAATTAGCTGGGCATGGTGGTGCGTGCCTGTCATCCCAGCTACTAGGGAGGCTGAGGGAGGAGAATCGATTGAACCCAGGCGGGCGGAAGGTTGCAGTGAGCCAAGATCACGCCACTGCACTCCACCCTGAGCAACACAGCGAGACTCTGTCTCAAAAAAAAAAAAAAAAACAGTGCCAGATCCTCTTTTTGGGAGACCAAAGGCAAGGGGTGTTGGTGGTCACTGACAGTGTGGCTTTCATAACCAAATCCACTTGGCTCAAAGGCCATGTATGTCACTGAAGAGAGTCTGGTCTGTTGAGCTGTCACTGAGCAAACCTAGAGTCCAAGGAAGAGAGGCCTGCTTTCAGAGCCAATTCCTGGGTGCAATCCAATTTTGGACCCATTTCTTGCATTTCTTTTCTTCCCAGACTCCCCTCCCGCAGAAAGCATTTGTCTGTAGACAGCCTGGGGTTCTGAGGTACCATATCCTTATGGAAGTGAGCAGAGAGAGAAGGAACGACAGGCGTTTTACAGAAAAAGCTGTCACCAAAGGAGAAGCAACATGGCTGCTGCAGTCCCACACAATGATTTAATCACCAACAAACTGGAGAACAAAAGCATTTTTGGCGACAACATATTGTAATGGCAAAAACCGCAGTTACTCTTGCACCAACCTAATAGTATCATACCAGAAAATAGCATTGTTGGAAGGGGAACAAGAGAAATATCTCAGCCTCTAAAGGAAAAATAGTGAAATATTTCGATTATGTGGTTGCATATTTTTCTCCCTGTTTAGATGGCTTCTGTGATTCCGCCACATGTTACATGAGACATCCGCCAGTCACCAATCTTAGATTTATGCAATGTGGGCTTAGATTTATGCAATATGGGCTCATTCTGCCCCTTGGTCCAAAAGGGCCACTCTGCTGTGAGGAAACCCTTGTTGTCACAGCAGGAAATTTCAAGGCGTGTCTATTTCTTGAAATGTACCTTGCAACCCATGAGGAAAGGCGCGCTTTAGATACACACAGGAAAACCTAGTTTAGTCTCTTGGATTGGGTATCACCAACCATAGAGCGTTCCTTCCCATGGAAACAGATGAAGCCGAGAAGAAAAGCATAAAATTATGAATGATTAAAAATGGTCTGTAACCAGCTTCCAATCTGCTTGAGAAACAGGAGGAACGCACGCAGCAGGCTGCAATAATGTCCCTCTCGTGAAAGAGAAAGAAGGAAATTGCTTCTGGTGTGAAAGTGTTACTATTTTAGGCGACAGGCATATTCATGGGTAAATCTGTTATCTGCACATGCTTCAAACACAGATGAACCTCAACCACATATGCTAAGCGAAAGACAAAAGACCACATGCTGTGTGACTCCATTGAAATGAACTGTCCAGAACTGGCAAATCTTTAGAGACAGAAAGTCGATCCGTGGTTGCCCAGGGGCTGGGGGAGGGGGGAGACAGGGAGAATGGGGAGCGAGGGCTTAATGTTTGGGTGATGAAAATGTTCTAAAATTAGATTATGTGCTCCACAAATCTGTAAATATACTTAAAACGATCGAACAATAGACTTTCAATGGGTGAATTTAAGAGTATATAAATTACATCTCAATAAAACTGCTTTAAAAAAACCCCTGCAATCTCTGATGGTAACACAGTCACCTATAAGTTGAGGCTGAAGGACTTTTTTTGTTTTTATATAATAAACATGACCAAGTAATGAAGTAAGATATTTTAATACGATGGATGTTCTAAAAATCCTTATTGGCATTGAATCCAATATGTGCGGTGTAAGAGAAATAGAAGCCTGACTCAATTATAAGACATAGGAAGCCAGGTGCGGTGGCTCATGCCTGTAATCCCAGCACTTTGGGAGGCCGAGGCAGGCAGATCACCTGAGGTCGGGAGTTCGAGACCAGCCTGGCCAACATGGAGAAACCCCGTCTCTACTAAAATTACAAAAATGATCCGGGCGTGGTGGCACACGTCTGTAATCCCAGCCACTCGGGAGCCTGAGGCAGGAGAATCGCTTGAACCCGGGAGATGGAGGTTGTGGTGAGCCGAGATCACGCCACTGCACTCCAGCCTGGGCAACAAGAGTGAAATTCTCAAAAAAAAAAAAAAAAAGACATAGGAAATGCCTTACTGTGAGGCTGTGTGCTCTCCGAAATGAACCTTCATCCAACGCCTAAGTGAAGGCAATTTCTTTACCTTATTTCACTGTAATGAGGAGACACTGCCACTGAAGGACAGAAGCAGTGGAGGGTAAATTGGACAAACAGCCTTTGTCTTCAGGTTCCCAGCTGTACAATGGGATGCATCTTTCCCATGTCTATGGGCCTTATGCATCTCCATCTGGATAATATGCTGATTAAGTTCAGTGATTGTGTCCTCTGTCCCCTGGAGCATCCCTCTGGCCCAGGGTAGGGCACACAGTAGGTTGCCAAGCCACACTGGCTATTTTTGGCTGGCTGCTTTCCTTTCAAGTGCTGTTAAAGGCCTGCGTTAAGCAAGTAAGATAATTTAAGCTCCCCAAACCTTCCCACTGGCCCACGTTGCAGGGCACCTGGAGAGACGATGTTCTCTGCTCTTCGTGGACATTTCTGGAGCTCCCCAGCCATGCACAAAGATTGGTAAACTTTAGAACACGAAAGAGTGCTATCCTTCATGCCTCCTGACAGCCTGTCTTTTATTGCTGATATCCACTAACTGGGCAGGTCTAATTTTAAAATGCTTTGGTAAACATTTCTAGGACTTCTTCGCATCGCGGGGGTGGGGAGGTCACAGAACAGGGTTGTTAGACTCAGCACTGTGGAAGAAACAAGGATGCCCTGCATGTCAAGTCCTTTTTTTTTTTTTTTTTTTTGAGACTGAGTCTCGCTCAGTCACCCAGGCTGGAGTGCAATGGCATGATCTCAGCTCACTGCAACCTCCCTCTCCAGCAATCAGACGATTCTCCCGCTTCAGCCTCCCCCGAGTAGCTGGGATTAGAGGCACCTGCCATCATGCCCAGATACTTTTTGTATTTTTGTAGAGACGGGGTTTCACCAGGTTGGGCAGGCTGGTCTCAAACTCCTGACCTCAGGTGATAGACCCGCCTCAGCCTCCCAAAGTGCTGGGATTACAGTCATGAGCCACCGCGCCCCGCCGTCATACACAATGTTTGCCCCCTAGCAGATAGTCAGGGATGAGCTCTTAAAAGAAGGGACCAAGGAATGAATGAATGAATCTCCATGCCAATCACAAAGAAGAGAAATCCGAGAGTGAGCCCTGGGAGTGTCTGACAACCAGGAGTATTTAGATCTAAGCCTTGAAAGAGTCTGCTTAGATTTTCTTGCTGAGGAAAGAGGAGGGGGCAAGGAGTAAAAGGAAAAACAACAAAACCCCAAAGCATCTTAAAGTAGTCAGAGTTACTGGGACAAGTTGCAGACTATTAATTGCAAGGGGAAAAAATCCTAACAGACAACTGGTTTACATGATCCCTACTTAGAAATATACCTTGGGGTTTGCAGAATGACCTTGGAATTATATTGTCACCAGTCTTTCCAAATACTGAGAAATGTGACTAAGTAACAAAAGTCATCAGCCTGGGAAACATGGTGAAAACCCCTCTCTACAAGAAATACAATAAATTAGCCGGATGTGGTGGTGCGTGCCTGTAGTCCCAGCTACTAGGGAGGCTGAGGCAGGAGGATGGCTTGAGCCTGGGAGGTTGAGGCTACAGTGAGCCGTGAAACCAAGAATTCTGATTCTACTTGTGTGAGTTTCGCTGTGTCTGTCTACCAGGTCATTTGCAGAGCACAGAGACCTCCTTCTCCCTGCTTTTTAATTTATTTTCTATAACACACAAATACACGATGTCCACAAAGAAGACAGGCAACCAATTTCTAACATCTGGATGAACCTGAGGAGAAATTCTGAGCAGATGGGTACTTGAGAATTGAGAGAGGCATGAAAGAATATTATTTCAAAGATTGAGAGGGAATTGGAACTGGATGACATTTTACAGATTTGCCCTTATTTTTTCCTAATTGAAGCATATCACTTCTGCTAGGGTCATATTTAGAAATTTTAAAATGAGTGAGTGTACTGAGTCTCCGAGGTTTCCTGACTCTCAGTTGGATTATGTTTTTTATTAGATTCCAGTGGTACTGGGTATGTTACGTTAATCCATATTTAAACTAGGTTGACCTTACACCCCAATTTGCCCTGGATGGTCCTGGGTTACACCTGTCGTCCCAACAGAATTATTAATAGCATCGTCCTCCACCGTCAATAGCATTCCGGTTTGGAATATTAAATTCTACAATCACTCCCACTTTGACTCCTAAAAGTTTTCCAGAATATGCCATACTTTCTCATTAATTGTTGCAACTTATGGCTATTTTATAGATTTCTGAGACCCATCCTGTTTTCTGTTGGATTTTAAGCATCCTTTGAACTTTAGAAGGCTCCTCACAGAACTGGAAAGCCATCCACACAAAGACAACTGTTGTTCATTAATAACACATGTTAGTTAATTAACGTGTTGCTAATTAATAATATTTATATTATTCAGGCTATATTCCTATTTATCAACGATATTAATTAAATTATGTATTAAGTATGCAATGAATGTCAATGGTTGAATAGCACATACCTTCATAGCCAAAGAGAAGTAATAACAAAAAGCCTTCTATCTTGCGTGACATCTTCCCCTCGTCCTCGGCCAAAGCTCTACCTTACTGAACTGGAGAGCTGGCCCAGGAGCAGGGGATTAAGTTGAGCCCTGGCCTCATTAAGCATCTTAATCCATTTAGTTCTTAGGTCTTTGGCTGAGCCCCATCAAGTTAACCCACAGAGTTACCTGCCTCAACAAGGAAGTCTCATGGAAGATACTAGCATCAACTGAGATTCAGTTCGCGAGGAAGATACTTTTCGTTCTTTTTTTTTTTTTTTTTTTTTTTTTTGAGATGGAGTTTCGCTCTTGTCACCCAGGCTGGAGTGCAATGGCGCCATCTCGGCTCACTGCAACCTCTGCCTCCCGGGTTCAATCTAGTCTCCTGCCTCAGCCTTCCGAGTAGCTGGGATTATAGGCTCACGCCACCACGCCCAGCTAATTTTTGTATTTTTAGTAGAGATGGGGTTTCGTCATGTCAGTCAGGCTGGTCTCGGACTCCTGACCTCAGGTGATCCACCCACCTCGGCCTCCCAAAGTGCTGGGATTACAGGCGTCAGCCACTGCGCCCGGCCCATACTGTTCATTCTATCTTAATGTAAGGGAAGCAATGGAGGGAGAGAACTACAACCAGAAGTCTCAGGTTTTCGTCCTTTCTTCGCCATCATTTTTTAGGGGGTGACCTTGAACAATTTCCTGCCACATAAGCACTAACATTCTCGAATTGTATGAAAATGTCATGGATTCCCCTCTTTGAAAGCAACTAGGCATCATGTGCACACCTATTCACTCAGGAAAATGCTAAATTTGGTGGTGGTGGGAGGACAGTTAACACAAAGCTGTGCATTGCTGTGTTACTTTTAACAACAACAAATTGGAAACAATCTAAATGGCCAAGGTTAGGGGGCTGGTTAAGTAAATCAAGAGATGAGTGCAGCCTGGTAGGTTTAAGAGCACAGACTGCCAACCCAGACTGGGTGCCAAATCGCAGCACTAGCACTTGTTACATTGTGACCTCAGGGCAAGTTATTAATATCTCTGCGCCTAAACTTTCTCATCTGTAAGATGATGATAATAATGCCTACTTTCGAGAGTTATTTTGAGGCTTACAAGAGATCATATGTATAAAATACTTAGCACAGTGCTAGACATAATTAGCTATTATTTTTACATCACCATTCAGAATAAAGTTGATGGGAGGAAAAGGGGAGTTGTTTAATAGGTATAGAGTTGAGTTTTGCAAGATGAAAAAGTTCCCGAGATCTGTTTCACAACAATGTGAATATACTTAACACTACTGAACTGTACACTTAAAAATGATTATGGTGGGCTGGAGGTGGTGGCTCACACCTGTAATCCCAGCACTTTGGGAGGCCAAGGCAGGCAGATCACTTGAGGTCAGGAGTTCGAGACCAGCCTGGGCAACATGGCGAAACCTCGTCTCTACCAAAAATACAAAAATTAGTCGGGCGTGGTGGCGTGCACCTATAATCTCAGCTACTCGGGAGGCTGAGGCAGGAGAATCGCTTGAACCCAGGAGGCCGAGGTTTCAGTGAGCCGAGATTGTACCACTGCACTCCAGCCTGGGTGACAGAGCCAGACTCTGTCTCAAAAAAAAAAAAAAATGGTTAAGGTGGTTTTAAAAAAGGCCGGGCACGGTGGCTCAAGCCTGTAATCCTAGCACTTTGGGAGGCCGAGGCGGGCGGATCACGAGGTCAGGAGATCGAGACCATCCTGGCTAACACGGTGAAACCCCGTCTCAACTAAAAATACAAAAAATTAGCCGGGCGAGGTGGCAGGCGCCTGTAGTCCCAGCTACTCGGGAGGCTGAGGCAGGAGAATGGTGTGAACCCGGGAGGCAGAGGTTGCAGTGAGCTGAGATCACGACACTGCACTCCAGCCTGGGCGACAGAGTGAGACTCCGCCTCCAAAAAAAAAAAAAAGAATAAAGTTGATGAAGTGATTGTAATAACAGGGAAAGAGTTACACTCAAGTTAGAAAAAGACGCAAATTTCTACACTGTTAAGGATGCATAACTAGGTTGAAAATGCAGAGAAAAATACTGAGTGCCCCTTCCCATTTTATATTTTTTGCTACCACCATCTCACCATGGCCCACACCCTCATTCCTCTTGTCAAAGATAAAAAAGCCAATATTTAAACAAATAATAAACTCCCCAAAGGAAACTGTAATGAAATAGTAAAGAGGAACAGAAAGAAACTAGAGAAACGTTTGCTCATTCAACCAGTATTTATTGAATGTCTACAAGCCTGACATTTATTTTATACTGTGTATGAACTCTATTCCACAAATTCTACTGCTGCATTAAAAGGGACTGTGGGGTTTTTTTTTTTTCGTGCTCTGCACATCAGAGTTTAATGAAAAATAGAACTTTTAATCAGAGTCATAATCATGACCGACCTTTAATAATTCACCTGCAGTCAAAGCGCTGCTGTATTGCCTGCCACATTTTAGTTGGAGGTTGGGTGGCCGGCCCTTGCTGGCTTGCAGGCAAAGGGCAGCCAGGTGCATTCCCCGAGCGCCCGATTTTCCGAGGCGTACTGGGAGGAGAGGTGGGGTAGGGCCCGGCCGGATCGGGGGCGCCGGATCGGGTCTAGGACTTCGCCCGGCCCCTGCCCTCCACTACTTCTCATGTCGGACTATGGCGGCAGTGACCTTGTGGGATAGGAGAGGGTATCTGTCATTTCACTTCTGCGAGAAAAACATGCCAAAAAATTAAAAAGAAAAAAAGGACAAAGAAAAACACTTCGTTGTCGCTTTTTGGTTTTTTTTGTTTGTTTAACCCAAACCCTTTTTTTTTTTTAACCCAAACAACGAAACCCTATAAAAGCAAAAACAGCCGCCTTACGGCTATGGTTCCACTGGGGCTCGAACCCAGGACCTTCTGCGTGTAAAGCAGACGTGATAACCACTACACTATGGAACCTCTACGAGGAAGAATATTGTTGGGACTTTATTCATAGACTCACAGCAGTTCCGGTCCCTCCGCCGGAGCCCCGCCTCTCCACCGTGACCCCGCCCCCGAGGCGAGGAGTTTGCGGCGGCTTCGAGTCTCGGGCTCCGGCGTTTGGGCGGCTTGTCTTCCCTGCCCGCCACAGTCGCGGCCCCTGGGACCAGGGCGAGGCCGGAACCCCGGCCGAGAGCACCTCCCTGCTATCATCTGTCCCCAAACTTTCCCTCAATCGAGGCGCCGGCGGGGCGGCCCGGCGGCCGGAAGTGCACCCTGCTCGGGCTTTGCGCCCCCGGCAGCTTCCTCCGCCCGCGAGGGCCCCGCGCCTTCCCATTTTCCCAACCGGCAAACTGAGCCTCGGCCACCCGGCCCACTTGCCGGTCGGAAGTCAGGACGTCGCCGCTTGCGGCGGCGTGGAAGGCTTCGCCTCCGGAGCAAGGAGGACGGGCCGCTGGTTAGCGGGCCCTTTGCCCGAGGGTGTGGACCTCTACCCGCTCCCCTGCCCCTTCCCGCAGCCTTCTTCCCCTCCCGAGGACAGGCCTAGGGGGTGCAAATGCCAGGGCTTCCGTTAGGTCTCCTTAGTCTAGGGCTGCAGGGGTTGGGGGACGAAGACGTGTAGACGGGGCCACCCGTCTATGGCTTCCAGGGTGGCAGCGGCCCTGGCCACGTGATTGAGGGGCCCAGTGCAAAATGAAGATGCCAGGCCCCTTGTTAAGTTTTTGAGAATTTCACACGGTAACAGCAGAGTATTCAACCTGGTGCGGGGTCCCTGACTTGCTTGCAGGACTGTAGTCTGGGTAACGGGCTGGGACCCTCCATCACAAAGGGTGATTCTTGTTTTTCATCGTCAGTGTCATTTGCCTTCTTCAGGGCTTCCAGGTGGATCTTCGTCACCACCCTAGGATTGCTCACCATTCTCAAGCTTGAAAACCCACCTGCAATCATTTGGGCGGGGGGGGGGGGGCATCTTTAAGCGCCCAGGTGAACTTGGTCTGCAGGCAGCAGCTGTCCTTTTCTCTGGATCTTCTGCTGAGGTCGGTAGGTTGATAAGTGATACTGATTTTGTGGCAGGAACTCCCTTCAGCCAACTCCTGTCTTCCTGGGAAGGCCTCTGGAAGAAACCAGGTGGGTGCAGGGAACACTAAGGTGGGGATCTGGATGTTCGTCTTGATTTGGCCATTCATGAGCTGGGTGCTCGAGCTAGTCAGTTCACCTCTGGTCTCAGTCTCCTCCTTTGTAAATACAAGGGTTGGACTAAACACGTCCCCTTTCACCTCTGGGTCTCAATGTTATGCCCATCTTCCACGTAGGAAAACGGAGGCAGTTATCTGCCATGTAATCCCCCCCACACACACACCCCCGCCCCCCGCCCAGAAGTAGAGGCAGGCCAGCTAGTGGCGTGGGTTTTTCTAGTACCCGTTTCCCGATGTCCTCAGTTAGCTCCCTGTCATATTCATCATGGGGCCCCCTTCTAGTCTGCTTTTTTGGTGAGACGTTTTCAGAGGCCTCTCGAGCGCTTGATGCCTAGATTGTGGGCCACGAGATGACCAGAGTGGCCAGCCACCGGCCGGAGGATACGTTCCTGAGAGCTCCACGTTTCCCACTAGTCAGTGAGCCTCAGGACTCCTGGGAAGCCTGATAATAAGTGTATCCCACCTGTTTCCAAACCCCTAGCGGTCGAAAACAAGACTGCCAGGAACTGGCCCTAAAGTTACACCCACTGGTTGTGTTTTGGATGGTGTCTCTAGGAAATGCTTTGCTCTCCAGCCCCCCACATCCCGATTTTTCTGTCTGCCCCTGGGTATAAAGGTATGTTTGCCAAGTTCCCACACTTAACCTCTGTGCAGAAAAGAAGCTGGTGTCCCTCTGTTGCATGCTTAACCTCTGTGCAGAAAAGAAGCTGGTGTCCCTCTGTTGCATGCGACACAGGTATCTGCCTTTGGTGAAAAACTCTTGTTCCTTTTCTCCATTCCAGGAGGGAAACTGTGTTCTGTTCTCCCCGCCGCCCCTCGCAAGGTGTCATCACAATCTTTTTTTTTTTTTTTTTTTTTAAGACGGAGTCTCGCTCTGTTGCCCAGGCCGGAGTGCAGTGGCACGATCTCAGCTCACTGCAACCTCTGCCTCCCGTTCGAGCAATTCTCCTGCCTCAGCCACCCAAGTAGCTGGGATTACAGGCGCCCCCCCACCATACCTGGCCTACTTTTTGTATTTTTAGTAGAAATGGGGTTTCACCATGTTGGCCAGGTTGATCTCAAACTCCTGGCCTCAAGTGATCCGCCCACCTCGGCCTCCTGAAGTGTTGGGATTGCAGGCGTAAGCCACCGCGCCCGGCCCCACCCAGCTCAAATTCTGTGGTCATTTTTATCACTTGCTTGTTTGCCCTTTCATTTCTTCCTTGTGCTTGTTGGTAAAACCACAATCTCTTACATCTGACTGTCTCCCTACCCTGCCCCTGAACATGGCCCAAGAAGAACACATCCAAGCTGACTGGTTTCACACTAAATTCATGACTGCTTAGCTCAAGTGAACCCTTTCTGCAGTCCAGAATACGTGTCCACTTCTAAGGACGGTTTCATGTCTTATCTCCGTAAACCTCCTGTACCCCCAACCCTAATCTCGGTTACAGCTGATGATCTAGCTTCCTATTGCGGTGAAAAAATGGAAGCAATCAGAAGAGAACTTCTGGAAGTCCCCTGCCAGCCACCGTCTGCTCTCGTGCTCTTCCTCTGGATCAGGATGGGTTGGGACTGGCTAACTCTGTCGTAGGAGGCTGTCCCGTGTATTGTAGGATGTTTTGCAGCATCCCTGGCCTCTATTCACTGGATGCGTGTAGCACACATCCTCCCCCACCACCCAGTTGTGATGACCCAAAATGTCCCCTGGGGGACAAAATCTTGGGAGTTCTTTGGCAATATCTGGAGACGCTTTTGTTGGTTATGACTGGGAGAGGGGTACTATAGGCACCCAGGAGGGAGAGGCCGGGGCGCTGCCAAACATCCTGTGGTGCCAGCTACTCTGGGGGAGTGAGGCGGGCAGAATCCCTTGAGCTCAGGAGGTCGAGGCTGTCGTGAGCCATGATTGCACCGCTGCACTCCAGCCTGGGTGACAGAGTGAGAACCTGGCAAAAAAAAAAAAAAAAAAAAAGCCGGGTGCGATGGCTCACGCTTATAATCCCAGCACTTCGGGAAGCTGAGGCGGGCGGATTGCTTGAGCTCAGGAGTTCAAGACCAGGCTGGCCAACATGGCAAAACCCCATCTCTATAAAAAAATACAAAAAACTTAGCCAGGCATGGTGGCGCACACCTGTAGTCCCAGTTACTCTGGAGGACTGAGGCAGGGAGGATCCCTTGAGCCTGGGGAGGTCGAGGCTGCAACAAGCTGAGATCGCATCACTGCACTCCAGCCTGGGCGACAGAGTGAGACCCCGTCTCAAAAACGAAAACAAAAGCAAAAAAACAGGAAAAAAGCTCTTAATTCCACTTCCACCTGTGCCACTTCCATGTCTCTGCTCTCCTTTATAATACAGTTCTTAGATTGGTCTGGTGCTCTCTCCAGTTCTGTCCCCCCACTGGGACTTGTTCCAGCACTCCACCAAAATTCCTCTGATCCAGTGATTTCCACATTGCTACACAGAATAGCTCTTCCTTTTCATCAGATTTGATCTACTAGCAGCATTGAAAACAACCCATCACTCTGTTTTGAGGTACCTTCCCCTCGGCTTTTAGGATGCGGACCTCTCGCGATGTTTATTTCCTCTCACTGCATACTCCTTTTTGGTCACTTTTGCTGGAGCCTCATCTCTTTGACCTTTAAACACAGCCGTACCTCAGAGGTCTCGGTGCTTGGACTTCTCTATTTGTTCTCACCACCCCAGCGACCTCATTCAATCTAATGGCTTTCAATACCCTTGAGAACCTAGAAGATTCCAGTGTGTATCTCTAGTCTAGACTTTTCTCTCAAACTCCAGACCTACATGTTCAACATCTCCATTTAGATGTCTGTTAGGTTAGGCATCTCACATGTCTGTGTCCACGCTTCTGATCTCTGCCCCTAAATCCGCTTCTCTCTTGATCTGTTTTTCTTTTTTGGAGACAGTTTTGCTCTGTCACCCAGGCTGGAGTGCAGCAGCGCCATCTTAGCTCACTGCAACCTCCACCTCCTGGGTTCAAACAATTCTCGTGCCTCAGCCTCCCGAGTACTTGGGATCACAGGCGTGCGCCACCACATCCGGCTGATTTTTTTCTGTATTTTTAGTAGAGATGGGCTTTTGCTGTTTTGGCCAGGCTGTTCTTAAACTCCTGGCCTCAAGTGATTCACCCACCTCGGTCTCTCAAAGTGTTGGGATTACAGGCGTGAGCCACCGTGCCTGGCCTCTGTTTTCTTTATCGCAGATAATGGCAGCTTCATCTTTCCAGCTATTTAGGCCTAAAACTAAGAATCATACTTGATTCTTCTTTTTCTTACACCCCCAGTGTAATCTTACTAGCAAAGCTTATTGGCACCACCTGCAAGATCTATCTATGCTAGCTTTCTGTCATCTCCCCAGCTACACTCTAATCAAAGCCACTATCACATTTTGCCTGGATCATAGCCAGTAGCCTCAGATCTTGGCCTTTCAGCTTCTGCCCTTTCCCCCCTACAGACTATTCTCCACACAGTAGCCAGAGTGGTCCTTTCAAGATTCAGATTAGCTCTCATCATTCTGTGCAAAACCCTTCAATGGCTCCCTACCTCAACTAGAAAAGCTGAAGCCTTACAGTGGCCTACAAGGCTTGTGCCTCTCTGGTTATAAATCCTCTTACTGGCCAAGCACAGTTGATCATGCTTGTAATCCCAGCACTTTGGAGGCCAAGGTGGGCAGACACTTGAGGCCAGGAGTTTGAGACCAGTCTGGCCAGCATGATGAAATCCCGTCTCTACTAAATATACAAAAATTAGCCAGGTATGGTGGCATGCACGTGTAATCCCAGCTACTTGGGAGGCTAAGATGGGAGGATCGCTTGAGCCTGGGAGGCGGAGGTTGCAGTGAGCCGTGACTGTGCCATTACACCCCAGCCTGGGTCACAGAGCAAGACCCTGTCCTCAAAAAAAAAAAAAAAAAAAATCCTATAACTTTGCCTTTGCTTTGACTGCACTCCAGCCACACCGGCCTGCTTGCTGCCCTTCAGTTACACTAGGCCTCTCCTGCCTCGGGGCCTTTGCTGCTGCTGCTGCTGCTGCTGCTGCTCTCAGCCTCGAATAGTTTTTCCTTAGATCACGCTGTTGCTTGTTCTCTCACCTTGCTCGGGTCATACCCAGATATCTTCTCAGTGAGGCCTTTCCTGACTGTCTACTGAAAATTGCTATTATTCTTTTCCATTCATGCTAGAGACTCACTGCCCCCCTTTCCTGCTTATTTTTCTCTGCAGCACTAAATTTCTTCTCTTTTTTTTTTTTTTTTTGATACGGCATCTCGCTCTGTCGCCCAGGCTGGAGTGCAATGGCGTGATCTCGGTTCACTGCAACCTCCGCCTCCTGGGTTCAAATGATTCTCCTGCCTCAGCATCCCGAGTAGCTGGGACTATAGGCACCTGCCACCACGCCCAGCTAATTTATATATATAAATATTTTTAAATTTTATTATTATTATACTTTAAGTTTCAGGGTACATGTGCACAACGTGCAGGTTTGTTACATATGTATACGTGTGCCATGTTGGTGTGATGCACCCATTAACTCGTCGTTTAGCATTGGGTATATCTCCTAATGCTATCCCTCCCCCTCCCCCCACCCCACAAGAGTTCCCGGTGTGTGATGTTCCCCTTCCTGTGTCCATGTGTTCTCATTGTTCAATTCCCACTTATGAGTGAAAACATGCAGTGTTTGGTTTTTTGTCCTTGCGATAGTTTGCTGAGAATGATGGTTTCCAGTTTCATCCATGTCCCTACAAAGGACATGAACTCATCATTTTTTATGGCTGCATAGTATTCTATGGTGTATATGTGCCACATTTTCTTAATCCAGTCTATCGTTGTTGGACATTTGGGTTGGTTCCAAGTCTTTGCTATTGTGAATAGTGCCACAATAAACATACGTGTGCATGTGTCTTTATAGCAGCATGATTTGTAATCCTTTGGGTATATACCCAGTAATGGGATGGCTGGGTCAAATGGTAATAGAGATGGGATTTCACCATGTTGGCCAGGATGGTCTTGATCTCTTGACCTCGTGATCCGCCCACCTTGGCCTCCCAAAGTGCTGGGATTACAGGCGTGAGTCACTGCGCCTGGCCTGCAGCACTAAATTTCTACATATTTACTAATTTATTTTGTTGATTGTCCCCACCATCCTCGACTGGAATGAAAGATCCATGAGGGCATGGATTTGGCTTCATTCTCTGTTGTATTACGCAGAGTCTAAATAGTTTCCAGCATATAGTAAGTGCTCAGTGAATATGTCTTGAAAACAATGTGTCAGTGTTGAGGGTGACTCAAGCCAGGGCAATGAGTTCCAGTAAGAGCTAATCCTGGATTTTTGCTTGACTTCTTGAGCAGAGACGTTTCCTAATTCACCCTGGACTTGAACGTGAGATGATGTAGAGGCTGGCACTTCTGCTGCCATCTTACTATTGCGTTATATTAGGGCTCTTGGTTGCATACAACAGAATCCTCTTGTTCAAAATATTCACTTTTCTTCCCCATGTAGGATTTTGACACCATGGTCCCCCGATAGACTTGCCCAGGTGGCTTTGCTTTGCCCAGTTGAATGTGAGCAGAAGTGATGAGTATCACTTCCAAGCAAAAGTGTAAGAGCCAGTGTGGTGGCTGCTTCTGTCCTTCCCCTTTGCTGCAAGAAGAACAGCAATGCCCCATAGACAGGTTGGCCTGAGTTTCAGAGGGAAGGCTCCATGTTACATAACTGCAGCCCATCTGCACTGTCCGCGGAACTGGAGTGCAAAACAAACCTTTATCATTGTAAGCCACTAACGTTTGGGGTTGTTACGAAAGCATAACACCACCTAAGCGGCTTCAACACTCCCACAAGTTTAAGAGGAAAAGGAGTTTATTAAAGGACACCAGATGGCTCACAGGATCTCCAAGAAGGCCTCGGTGACTCCAAAGCCAGGAATGATGTCCAAATCTCACTGAGGGACTGCACCAGCGCAGGTGCGCACTGCTGCCTCCTCTGAGTACATATTTAGTAAGTCACACCAGTGTTGGAGCCCAGAATCTTGACCACTGCTGTCTCTGGAAACTGGACACCTCTGCCACTAACCTTGGCAGTAGATGGCCTTTGGGAGCCCTCCACGTCTTCAGGTTGCCCTCTTCTGGATTGAAGTCGCTGGCAGAGCTGAGTTTACCTGCCTGTGCTCTTGCTATCAAAGAGGCTGGAAAAGCAAATTTCTTGTTTCTACTTTGGCGAGTTAGGAGTCAAACAGGAGGAATTACCAAGACATAGGGAGGAGGTTCAGAAGTTAGTGAATGACCATGAAGCATGAAAGACGTCCACGACCTGCTGGAGACCTGAGGATGGAGCGGACACCAAGGGATCCCAGCTGAGCAATAGAGCAGCTGGGTGCCATGACTTACGCCCCGGCCCCAGTCATGCATATACCATTGACTCTTCAGTTATTTGAGGAAACCATTCCTAGCTTTGCTTAAGCCAGCTGGAATGGGCTTACTGACACTTGCAATGGAAAGAGTCCTAATGATCTGTGTCTCAAATGGATGAGCGTTGGCACAGTGGCTAACGGTGGTGCCCTGGCTCGGATGCCTGAAAGTTTTGGTTGTTCTCAGTCCCCAGTAAGTGGGGATGAGGCTGACAGTTATGGGAATGGCCGCTTCTGGTAGGGTAGGTGTATTAATCTGTTCTCACGCTGCTAATAAAGACAAACCCCAGACTGGGCAATTTATAAAGGAAAGAGGTTTAGTGGACTCACAGTTCCAGTGGCTGAGGAGGCCTCACAATCATGGCGGAGGATGAAGGAGGAGCAAAGGGACGTCTTACATGCTGGCAGGCAAGAGAGAAATGAGAGCCAGGCAAAAGGGGAAGCCAAAACCATCAGATCTCATGAGACTTATTCACTCTCATGAGAACAGCATGGGAAAGACCTGCCCCATGATTCGATTGCCTCCCCTCCGGGTCCCTCCCACGACACGTGGGAATTGTGGGAGCTACAATTCAAGATGAGATTTGGGTTGCAGCACAGCCAAACCGTATCACCTGGGTTGTGGTTTCCCTGTCTGCTGGGGAGCCAGTAGTTCTCATGTACAGCAGGGCGCTTGCTCACGTGTGGCACAGTAACCAGGCCAGGTACAATTATACAGTGGGCAACATGTCTGTGTCAGATAGTGCTAGTTGCTTATCTACTAGCAGATATTGAGGAAAAGAGGAATATCCGTTCCTCTTTTCCTCAATAAGACAAGTAAAAACGCACAGTTGTACAGTGCTTGCTGTGTATTAGGGACTATTCTAAGTGCTTCACTCGTATTAACTCATTGAATCCTCATGAGAACCCTGTACTATTATCATAGTTTGCAGGTGAGGAAATCGAGGCACAGAGTAAGTTGGTAACTTGACCAAGTCACACAGTGACATAAAGAAGCAAGGTTCTAAGCCCAGACCATCTGGCTCCGTGGGCTGTGCTTAGCCTCTGCACTATAGTGCCTGATTTTGTTTGCTTTGGTGATGTGTCTGGCTAAAACAGCTTCATTTCCTTGAAAGGAGGTAGACCCATTTGGTATCCCCCCTTTTGCCCATAGTTCATCTCTTTCTGCCTGGAACGTGAGTGTGGTGCTAGAAGGAGGGCATCACTTTCTGTCGTGATTACTATTTTGCACCCATGAGTTGACAATTGGGAAGAAGAAAGCTGCATGGCTTGGCCTAAAGAAGGAAGGTGCCTGGGTCCCAGCCCCAGATTCCCTACTCCAGATTCCTTGTGAAATGAATAATAAAATCCCTCATTTTTAATGCTACTGTTTAGTAGAAGTTTCAGTTATATG
The DNA here is from genome assembly GCF_000001405.40 of Homo sapiens. Lineage (NCBI taxonomy): Eukaryota > Metazoa > Chordata > Mammalia > Primates > Hominidae > Homo > Homo sapiens. The sequence continues at coordinate 18,683,987 of NC_000023.11, forward strand.
AGGAAAAATACAGATCCTACTGATTGAACCTTTGCACATAGCTCACCCGTAGCTCTCTCCTGTACCATTTTGACAATGTCTTTAATTTGTCCCCCAGCTACCAAGGGCTTGCCCTGTGTTCCAGTCCCTTGATGGAAGTTGTTCATTATCACATGCCTGCAATATGTCTGGGAACACAGTGTTGGGTAGTGCGGGAGCTTTTTTAAAAAAAGTATATGACATGGCCTCATCTCAAGAAGTCTGAAGAACATGAGTTAACCCAAAGGACTCATTTGTTCCAGTATGTTAATGGAAGATAGTGGCTTGATGTGGTTTTCCTAATGTAGGATGTTACTAGATCTGAATTTGGGCCCGGTCTCCTTTCTCTTAAAGAAGAAACTTGACAAAAGAGAAGGCTGATGAGGGATAGGCAGGGTGATAAGCAAAAACCTGTCTAATAGGAAAGAAGGCCTCACATGGTATACCTCTCCAGACCAGCTATCTATAACCTTCACAATCACCCACGATCACTTTCAGTGAGATTACATTTCCTAGAGATGGCCACTCGAGAGAGAAACAGATGAGCTTAGAATGTTTTGTCTCCCCCTCTCTTACTTAACCTATCTTGGGATGTGTCTAGTATCTTTTTCTCTCTCTCTTTTTTTTTTTTTTTTAATTTGAGGCAGAGTCTCACTCTGTCGCCCAGGCTGGAGTGCAGTGGCACAATCTTGGCTCACTGCAACCTCCACCTCCCGGGTTCAAGCGATTCTCCTGCCTCAGCTTCCCAAGTAGCTGGGATTCCAGGTATCCGCCACCACGCCTTGCTGATTTTTGTATTATTAGTAGGGATGGATTTTCACCATGCTGCCCAGGCTGATCTTGAACTCCTGACATCAGGTGATCTGCCTGCCTTGGCCTCCCAAAGTGCTGGGATTACAGGCCTGAGCCACCACACCCGGCAGAGATGTGCCTAGTTTCTAAAGTCACTCCCCTGTGACTAGGTAACTGAACACAGAACAATTTGACTACTACTGCCCACTCCTCTAGAGTCCCATTTAAAAGGCAACACCTGATAGCAGCCAGTGCTAATTGGTGATGGAAATGGAATGGGTTACTCCCTCGACTCCCACAACACTTACTGCCTGATTTGTTTCCACATGGATTCAACTGGGCACGCAATAAGACTTGCCTCTAAGCTTTCTGCACAGTCTGAGGGAAAGATTTCAAGTGTGGTGCAGGTGTTAAACTCCAGTCATATTGTGTATTTTTACTAATGATTTCAAGAATTGGGGATCTTTTGGATACAATTTGGGTAGAGTCCTAAGGCCATCTACAGTAATAAAAGCAAAACCAATTAGTAGGTTGTTTAATTCATTTAGAGGCTATCTGCATGCTAGCAGTTTTCCTCTGCTAAATCCTGTTAAGATGCAGTGGGTTCTGCCAGGCACGGTGGCTCACGCCTGTAATCCCAGCACTTTGGGAGGCCGAGGAGGGTGGATCACGAGGTCAGGAGATCGAGACCATCCTGGCTAACACGGTGAAACCCCATCTCTACTAAAAATACAAAAAATTAGCCGGCCGCGGTGGCGGGTGCCTGTAGTCCCAGCTACTTGAGGGGCTGAGGCAGGAGGATGGCGTGAACCCGGGAGGCGGGGCTTGCAGTGAGCCGAGATCTCGCCACTGCACTCCAGCCTGGGTGAAAGAGCGAGACTCCATCTCAAAAAAAAAAAAAAAAAAAGAAAAAAAAGCAGTGGGTTCTATTTTGTGCAGACGGAGTAGGCTGCCATGACAACTGTCTGTGAATATTATTTCAATATTAGTCATACATTTCTAGCGTCTGCTTCTGGGCTCAGCGTTCTTCTAAAGCCTGGATACAAATTTATTCTTAATGGACCTCTCCTGGACGTGTTTACAAAAAGAACAAAAACAAAACACTTTCAACTGGCTGACTTTTTTTTTCTTTCAGAAGAGAAATTTGAATGAATTCACACAACTGAAAATTGATTGTGAATCTTATTGTCATTTTTTCTTTTAAAAAGGTGATTGTGATGTGAACTTATATGGTGCTGGATTATAGATTTTACTGAATAGAAGCACTACACCAGGATTTGGAAAGTTCCCCTGTAGGCATGTAGTCCTTACAGTAAAATTATTATTTTTTTCTTCTAACAGTATCAGAAAGAATCTTGTAGTTGCCTGTGGCAGAAGATCCGACCCAAACTGAGCAAAACCAGTTTCAAACGAATCTGGTTTGAAACTTCCGAAGGTAAGATTTGATCCAGAGACTAAGGATGGAGGGCTCCGGCTCCATTTCCCTGCCTTTTGGTTGGCCCTTCCCCATGTATCAATTTCACCCCCTGGACTGGCTCTTCTCATGGTGAAACCTTGCTCAGAGCACCACACTAGGGGGAGATAAGTGAGTCTGTCCCAGCACTCTCTCCAGGTACCCCGAGATTCACTCATAATATCTTTCTTTAGCTATACGCCCACCCCAAACACTCCTTTTTGCCAGGAGAAGAGGATATGCTGTCTTAGGCCTGAATTATGTGCTTGTTCCTGAAAAGTTGCTGTTGCTTGGGGAGTGGGCTCGGATAATTGGCTTAAGTCAACCAGGGCCCGCGCTTAGAGTTGGGGGCTGCGTCAGTCCCATGCAAATCACTTGGCTAAAAAACAGGAAGCGGGGGTGATTTCGAAAAGGAAAATTGTGATTCTATTACAAGGAAGTTAGGGGACTATTTGCTAGCCACCTGGTTAGGGAACAGAATGCTGGCCTAATGATAATAATAATAGCTAACATTTATTGAATACTATGAGCCAGGCACCAAGCTGCTTTATAGTTGTATTGGTTAGAGAATGTGTTTGGCTGCCTGAAATAAGGTAAATAGAACACCAGGGGCTTAACACAGAGCGCTTGGTTTTCGTCCCACATGATACGAAGCCAGGAGATATACAGTGTCACATTGTCATCCAGGTCTCAAGCTCGTCCCTCCATCCTGCATCCATCCTGCATCATGGTTTCGCTATTCTCAGTGTGAGGCTTTCTTCCTAGTGTGCATGAGATGGCTGCTCCTCCTCCAGGCATTGTGTCCTGGTTCCAGGCAGAATAGGGGGAAGGACAAAAGAGAAGAGGCTTATGCCAGCTGAGTCTTTTCCTTTTTATCAGGAAAATAGCTTTTCTGGAAGCCTCAGCCCATAGATTTCTGCTTGTATCTCAAGGGCTAGAACTGTGTCACATGACTACCCATAGTTGCAAGGGAGCCTAGCAAATCAAGTTTTGTTGCCCGAACACTGCCACCTAGAACAAAACGGGGGTTTTATTAGTAAGGAACAGGGGGAGAATGGACAGTAATGATCAGTGGCTGCTACAATGTGTGTTAACCCATTCATTCGTTACGTCAACCCAGTGTGATTGGTGCTATCTGTAGCCTCGTTTTATAGTTGAAGCAATAGGCACAGAGAGGTTATGTAATTTGCCCAAGCTCACACAGAGCTGTTAAGTGGTTGAGCAAGAACTTGAACCCAAGCAAGCTGACTCTAGAATCTAATTCTATTATGTCCCTAGACACATCCTGACCCACTGGCCAGACCACATTTCTTCTCTAGGATGTATATCCACTTGGGAAATGCAGGCCTCTCCTGGAAATGGTAGCTAATACTTGTTTAGCACTTTATAGTTTACAAAGAGATTGCCACTTAAATTATTCTCTTTAAATATTCTTCTTTTTTTTTTTTTTTTTTTTTGAGACAGAGTCTCACTCTGTTGCCCAGGCTGGAGTGCAGTGGCACGATCTCAGCTCACTGCAACCTCCACCTCCCAGGTTCAAGTGATTCTCGTGCCTCAGCCTCCGGAGTAGCCGGGACTATAGGCGCACACCACCATGCCTGGCTAATTTTTGTATTTTTAGTAGAGACGGGGCTTTACCATGTTGTCCAGGCTGGTCTCGAACTTCAGACCTCAAGTGATCCACCTGCCTTGGCCTCCCAAAGAGCTGGGATTACAGGTGTGAGCTACAGCGCCCGGCCTATTCTCATTTTTAAAATGAGGAAACTGAGGTTTAGAGGAGTTATGTAAGTTGCCTAAGATCCCCAGGTTGAAAGTGGCAGAGCTGATATTTCCTCAAAATTATAAAAACTTACTCCAGTTTCCCTTTCTTAATCTTCCTGTTCTTCTCTGCACAGAGGAGTTCATTTCTAGTTTTTTTAAATGGCAATATTTCACTTTAGGCCCTATATTAACTTCATAACCTTCTCACGAAAACCAAACCAGAGAAATCTTGGCTCTCTCGCCTACTTGTTTTCACATAGGCCACCAGGAGGAATGTGCCACATCAGTGGGAACTGTGACAGAAGTAAGTAATGGAGGCCTGGAAAGGGAGGTGGTTTTTCTCTCACATCATATAAAATCCAGAGCTTCCGTCAGAAAATGAAAGTGTTAGTTACAAATAGCTCTTATTGACCTGTTAAAGAGTTATTAAACATGTAGACATTGCTTCTCATTAGTTACATCAGATTAATTTGTTACTTTTCTTTAAAACTATTTCATAAATTGAACTTGTCACTGAGTAAGAATTGACAGCCCACTTCACTGGGATAAATTAGAGAAGTTTCACTACATTACTGACACGTCAGTTTGCTTATGATTATTATTTCTCTCGTTCTTTCCAAGTCTTTGAAATCTTTAGCTTTTGGCATTGCTTTATTTACATATCACAACATTCTTTTGTTTTGGTCTTACTACTGAGTAAACCATAAAAATTAATTGTAGAATTAATACATTTTAGGGAGACATGAGAATTCAATCAAATACATTTAAGAAATACATTGGTTCAGTTCAGAAAGGCAGGACAACTCGAAGCAAGGGGGAGGAGGGGCGTGGCTTCCGGGTTATAGGTAGATTGAAAAATGTTCTAGTTGACAGTTGGTTGAGTTTATCCAAAGACCTGGGATCAGTAGAAAGGAGATGTCTGGGTTAAGGGACTGTGGAGACCAAAGTTCTTATTGTGCAGATAGATGAAGCCTTCAGGTAGCAGGCTTCAGAGAGGACAGATTGTAAATGTTTCTTATCCGTCCTAAGGTCTGTGTTTATATTAATACCGGAGAGGTATAATGAGGCATGTTGGACCTCTGCTTCTCGTCATGGCCTGAAGCAGTCTTTCAGGTTAAATTTTAAAGTGCCCTGGCCTAGGAAGAAGTCCATTCCAATGGTTGGGCGGGGATTAAAATTTTTCTTTTGGTTTACACTCCAAAAGCTATGAATGAGGCCAGGTGTGGTGGCTCACGCCTGTAATTCCAGTGCTTTGGGAGCCCAAGAATTTGAGACCAGCCTGGGCAAGATGGTGAAACGCCATCTCTGTAAAAAATAAAAAATTAGCCGAGTGTGGTGGCGGGCACCTGTAGTCCCAGCTACTTGGGAGGTTGAGTGAGGAGGATGACTTGAGCCCGGGAGGTGGAGGCTACAGTGAGCTATGATCGCGCCACTGCACTCCAGCCTGGGCGCGATCATAGCTCACTCTCGACAGAGTGAGACCCTGTCTCAAACAAATAAAAATAAATAAATAAAAAGAGTACTGTGTTATAGAGCAGTGCCCCTCAAAGTATGCTTCACTGTCACCTGGGAGCTTATTAGAAATGCAGCTTCACAGCCCCACCCCAGACCTACTAAATCAGATTGGGATTCAGCAGTGATTGGGCCCGGGAATCTGTGTTTTGACAAGATCCCTAGGTGACTTGTAAGTGCATTAAAGTTTGAGAAGTGCTGTTTTAGAGTTTTACGCAAATGAGTTGTAAGACTGACAGATTGTGCACCCTTTAAATTTTGGTGAAAATAAGAGCTTCGGCTTTAGTAAATTAGACCTATATTGAATCCTGGATTCTCCTTTGAAAGTCTCCCAATCCTAGTCTCCAGTTAGCTACTCCGGGTCACGAGCCTTAGCTCAACTGTATGCTTGACTCCATCCCCCATCAACACCTTCACCTAATTAATCCACATTCAACCTTCCACTGTCAGGTCAAAGATGACTTCCTCAGAGAAGGCTTTGCTCGACCCCCCACCTCACTCTCATAAAATGAATACTTGTCCTTTGCAATTTCACATTTATGATTATTTGATTCATGTTTACTTCTCCTACTAGCCTATAAGCTTTAGGAGGGAAGAGACCTTACCAGTTTTGCTAACTGGTATATCCCCAGGGTGTAGAACAGTACCCGGCACATAATAGATGCTCAACAAATATTTATTTAATGAATATATGAATGAAACCAAGCCAGGAATAAGTGCACAAAAGAAAATGCTCTGAAAATGTTTTCCAAAGGCTTCTCCGTGAACTTTTAGGCATTTGAGGCAGTAATAGTGAGGGTTTTGAAAAGAAAGCCCTGGATATTTTCTAGGACTTGTTTTTTTTTTTTTTTTTTTTGGCGGGGGGCAGGCGTGGAACAGAGTCTTACTCTGTCACCCAGGCTGGAGTGCAGTGGCACTGTCTCAGCTCACTGCAACCTCCACCTCCCGAGTTCAAGTGATTTTCCTGCCTCAGCCTCCTGAGTAGCTGGGATTACAGGTGCCCGCCACCATGCCCAGCTAATTTTTGTTTTTAGTAGAGACAGGGTTTCACCATGTTGGCCAGGCTGGTCTTGAACTTCTGACCTCAGGTGATCTACCCGCCTTGGCCTCCCAAAGTGCTGGGATTACAGGCATGAGCCATCGTGCCTGGCCCAGGCCTTGTTTTATCAACATTCCTCCAAGAAACAAACTTTTCTTTGTTTACCATGTTCATGAACACAAAAATAGTTGATAAGGAGGCAATGGTGACAAAAAGAAAGCTGGAATCTGCCTTTCAATAAGCAAGAAATAGTCCTCTCATCCAGGTCATGTCGTCCACATTCCATTGGCAGGTATTGTCATATCTGCATCCTACATTGTGAGGTCACCAAGGCAACCTATTAATCATTCTAGAATCTACCTCTTGAAGATTACAAATGAGACTGGGAAACCCTCTTCAATAAGACCTGTGTGATGATAGATTGTGTCCTGAGCCCGCAGGTCAGGCTGAAAGAGTCAACAACCAGCAAAGTGAAGATCTAGGAGTCTGTTCCCCTTGAACCTGTGTGGACCTGATCAAACCTCGAGGGAAAGGTAAGAGAAGAGCACTTAGTGGACCAGGTGAATGGAGTATGATCCGGGTAGGCATGGGACAATGATCGAAAGTTAACCTGTGGCCTCTGTCTGTTTAGTTGTTTAGCCCAACTCTTGTGGTCTTTATGTTTTATGTATGAAGTTTGTTAAAAGCTTTAATATATATGTATAGGGTGAAACTGGGTCACCTTGATGTGCTGGTCACTGAGTCACAGGACTGTGACTTTGGGGAGGCCACCTAACTTCTCTGGGCGTGGTTTCCTCTCCTATAAAATGAAGATGTCTGAGGACCTTTCTAGACAAGTCCGAAGGATCAGAGTATCTTACCACATTTCAGCCTCACCTGTTACAGAGCTCTGGGCAGAGAACCTCATGATGGTCTTGCAAGGTGACTCCATTCTCTGTCTAGATCAGTTTTGCCCAATTCCCAGTGCTTTAACATGAGAGGGAGTTGCATCAGTGTGTAGTCTTTGTTTTACTTTTGTTCTTGGAATGGCAGATTGTAGCTCCTGTAGAAGGAAAAGAAGAAGAAATAAGGAATTAGCATTGCTCTACATTGACTCATGCTAGATGTCAATCTGAGATACATGTAAAACGTAAGCACATACAAGATAAAGAAACAGATTGTGGCAATATTTAAAAATATCCTAGCTTTCTAAATTAGAAGCAGTTCTGATAAGCCTATTTGGAATTCATGCAAAACATCCATAACTCTGACAGTCTGAATTGTACATGGCAAAGGTAAATTGCTTCCAGGCAGTAATTCTAGGTGCAGGTTTAGATGGACTATACGGTAATCAAGTCTCCATTGCTTTACAGATAGCCCTCACTCCTTGGCCTCTTACTTTCCAGATTGCTTCTTTGTTAGCCTCCCTGTTGGCTCCTTCCTCTTTTCATTCTCTTTAATGTCTCTATTCCCCAGTGTTCTGCTTTTGCCTCTATAGCTTTACTCTATAAGCTCTCCCTGGCTATTTTATCTTCTCTAATCACTTCAGCTATTGTCAGCAACCTGATGACCTATTTAATCTGACTCTCTGGTCCTGATTTATTTCCTGAGCTCCAAACCCAGGCTTCTCCTGCCTGTGGGATATTTCAACAGTGAGGTCTCACAAGTACTGAAATTTAGCACACTGCTGACTGAACTCACGATTTTTCTCCACCATAAACTCGCTTGTCCCCCTTCATGTCCGACTCTTGTACCCTTTAATACCCTATTGCAATGAATATCATCATCTCTTAGACTGTAAATTATAAGAAGGCAGAAACCATGTCTATCTTGTCCACCCCTTGTAACCACAGCACCTAGCATAGTGCCTGGCACATGGTAGACACCCAGTAAATATTGTCAAGTGAATGATGAATCTATTTATTCTTCCAAACTAAAAACCCTGGAATCCTCCTCGATGTCTCTGTCTCCCTCACTCTCCATGCCCAGTCTGAGACCTGTGGGGTTTGTTACATAAAACCCTTTTACATTTGGCTCCTTCTTCCCCTTCATCCCCGCTGCCATGACTTTAATTCAGCCCTTACCATCTATCTCCTGGATTATTGCAGGAGCCTCCTCATTGGTCTTCCTGTTACCTGCTTTTCCCCATTCATCACCATCTGATCCCCAGAGTGATCTTGCAGCTTGAATCTAATCAGCTTACCCTCAGGCTCCCCTTGACTTAAACAGAGTTTGCAATCTGGCAGCTTTAAGCGGAATCCACGCAGTCTGTACGGCATTTTGAGAAAATGAGAATGACTGTATTTTGTTGATTCTAAGATGCATTTTTTTTTCACATTTTAGCAGCTCTGATATTGGGATGTGTCTTGAAATGGACAGTGACATAGTTTGATCAGTGGTGTTCTCTCTTATTGGTACATAAAACAGCAGTGTACCCTGTAATCAGTGGCTTCATAAATTTGCTGAAAAATACTCATGCTAACATTTAAAAATAAGGAGATCGTACATAAAACTATCTTCAGCTTCTCTTGGAAAATTACATCAGGCAACACTGGGCTGCGATTTCTGGATAGCAGCCGAAGATGGAGCTACCAGTAAGTAGCAGCTACCTCATTTAGACAAAAACTCGCTACAGTGTCTCATGGTTTCCACCCAGGCTGCTTTAGTCATTTGTATTATCTGCCCCAGCCCATTAAGCATTTGAAAGGACAATCCCTGACTGATAAGTTGAAGTCCAGATTCTTTGTTGTGATTTATAAGAACACAGGTGGCACCAACCTACCTCCCCCAGGTTAATGCTCCCAACCTTTGCTGTGTACTCTATGTATCCCCTAATCTCAAATATAACAGACTCCCATGTTCCCTGGAATGTCTTTCTCTATCTTTTATGCCCTACGAAACATTTCCTGGTGTTCCCAGGTCGAGCTCATTTCTTTCTGGACTCCAGTAGTAAGTATGTGGGCGTATCTCTGCAAAAACCGCAGTTACTTTTGCACTAACCTAAAGTACAGTTCTGTGATTTATTTTTTATTTTTATTTTTTCGAGACGGAGTTTTTCTCTTGTTGCCCAGGCTGGAGTGTAATGGCGCAACCTTGGCTCACCGCAACCTCCGCCTCCCGGGTTCAAGGGATTCTCCTGCCTTAGCCTCCCAAGTAGCTGGGATTACAGGTGCCTGCCACCACGCCTGGCTAATTTTTTGTGTTTTTAGTAGAGACACGTTTTCACCGTTTTGGTCAGGCTGCTCTTGAACTCCTGACCTCAGGTGATCCACCCGCTTCGGCCTCCCAAAGTGCTGAGATGGCAGGCGTGAGCCACCACGCCCAGCCAGTTCTGTGAATTTTAACACATGGATAGATTAGCATAACCACCATCATCATCAGGATATAGAACATGCCCCCCAAAACTCCCTCCTGCTAGCCCTTTGTAGTCACTCCCCTCCCTCACCCATAAACCCCTGGTAACCACTGATCAGTTCCCTGTCACTATAGTTTTGTCTTTTTGAGAATGCGATATAACTGTCTGTATCCCTTTCAGCATGGCCTCTTCCACTCAGCATAATGCCTTTGAGACCCATCCAGGTTGTGTGTATCAGCTTCATTTGTTTTTATTGCTAAGTAGCATTTCATTGTATGGATGTCCCACAGTTTGTGGGACACTCACGGAAGGACATTTAAGCTGTTTTCAATGTTTGACCGTATGAACCTGCATACACGTTTTTGCATGAATAGAAAATTTTATTTCTCTAGGATAGCTACCCAGGAGTAGGATTGCTGTCGTATGGTAAGTGTATGTTCAACTTTATAAGAAAGTACCAAACTCTTTTTCAGAGTGACTGTACCACTTTGCATTCCTGCCAGCAAAGTGTTAGAGTTCGAGTTGCTCCACATTCTAGCCAGCACTGGATATTGTATTAAAAAAAAAAATTTTAGCTGGGCACAGTGGCTCACGCCTATAATACAAATACTTTGGGAGGCTGAGGCAGGCGGATACCTAGAGACCAGTCTGAACAACGTGGCAAAACCCACTCCCTACAAAAAATACAAAAATTAGCCGGGCATGGTGGCATGTACCTGTGATCCCAACTACTTGGGAGGCTGAGGTGGAAGGATAGCTTGAGCCCAGAAAGTTGAAGTTGCAGTGAGCTGTGATTGTGTCACTGTGCTCCAGCCTGGTGACAGAGTGAGACCCTGTCTCAACCCCCCCACCCAAATTTAGCCATATTCATAGACATATAGTGGTATCTCATGGTTTTAATTTTAATTTCTGCTTCCTTGAATCTGGCCTGGAGGAACTGGAGGGAACAAAAGGTAAACTCACTGTCAGTTCAGTGGTACTTCAAACTCTGATCTGTTTCCTTCATCTGCCGTCTGTTATTTACTTTTCAGAGTCCTCATGTTACTTGTTTATTGCTGTGGGACAGATTACCAAAAAATCTAGTGGCTTAAAACAACACATGTTTATGATCTTACAGTTTCTGTGGGGCAGAAACCCAGGCGTGGCTTACCTGGGCCCTCTACGTCAGCATCTGTCGTGAGCTGCTGCACACAATGTGTTGACTGGGCTGCTGTCATCTGAAGGTTTGACTGGGGAGGGATCCACTTCCAAGCCCGTATGGTTGTTGACAAGAGTCAGTTCCTCATGGTCTGTTTGACTGAGGGCCTTAGTTCCTTGCTGGCTTTTGGCTAGAGACTTCCCCCAGTCCTTTGCCACTTGGGCTTCTCCCACATGGCAGCTTACTTCATTGAAAGCACAAAAGCTGTGAAGATAATAGGGTCTGCTAGCAAGACAGAAAATCACAGTCTTTTATAACCTAGTCATAGAAGTGACATCCCAATACCATTGCCATGCTCAATTGATTAGAAGCAAGTTTCTGGGTCCAGCCTATGCTGAAGAGAAGGGATGAACACAGTGGTGTGAATTGACCAGGAGGAAGGGATCATTGGGGGCAGCTTAGAGTCTGTCTGCCACAGTCCTCAAATAGCTGTTTCATGGATTCTGTCCAGGTTTTATAGCTTTGTCCCATGAGAGAGAAAGAGTAGAGTGGGTAAAATGTCCCTTTTCCATCTTACCCAGACCAGAACCTTCTGTGAAGCTTTTTGATTTGATTTATGAACATTCAGGGTTAATTTAAGGAATTTCTTTAAACTCAAGCCATCGAGGACCAAGCTAGGGTTAGATTAAGCAGTGGTCCGAATTAAAATTCTGATATCTATTAATCTATTTATTAAATCACAACCAAGGAAAGCTCAACTTTTGTATCTAAGATGGAGCCTTTCGAAAGCTGAATTTCCCCACCTTAAAACGTGATGGCTGTTTTAGCCTGTCATTGTGGCTGCTCACCAGGTGACCCCAATAGAAACATCTGGCAAGCACTGACTTTTATGAATTTCTTCCATCTGATAGTGACTCATAACCCACTTTTAATTTCTTTTAATGACTTCCTAATGACTTGCCAGATCTGGCCTCTCTTTTCTCCTAGTTAATGTGATTTTTCAGTACCCAGAATTCACCCTTGAAAATATGCTTGATCCTTTCTCTATTTAAGTGAAAAATTACTTGGTATTCCTTTCTTCTCTTCACAAGGGAGCAGGATCTTTAAATTAGAGTCCTTCGATTTTTTTTTTCTTTTGAGACAAGGTCTTCCTCTGTTGCCTAGGCTGGAGTATAGTGGCTCTATCATGGCTTACTGCAGCCTCGATCTTGCAGGCTCAAGTGATCCTCCTGCCTCAGCCTCCCAAGTAGCTGTGAGAACAGGCATGTCCCACCACACCCAGCTAATTTTTTTTTTTTTTTTAGTAGAGAGGTCTTGCTATGTTGCCCAGGCTGGTCTCCAGCTCATCAGCTCAAGCAATCCTCCTTGCTCAGCCTCCCAAAGTGCTGGGATTACAGGTATGAGCCACTGCCCCCAGCCTTTTTGAACTTTTTTCATCATGGACCCCTCACAGTAAGTTTCGTGAGAATGGACCAAGCATATTTATTTATTTACAGCTAATACTGCTGAACTCATTTATTGTGTACATGATCAAATATACATGGAAATAGAAAAGTTAACAAGAATAAGAAAATAGATAAAAATATGAGTTCTGATGTTTTGCTTTCTGCTCTCCAGCAGATCTCTGTGCATGTGCTGTGGGGAAGCTACCCCAGTTTTGGAGACTACTAGGGGTTAGGAAGTGGTGATTGGGTGTGATTGCTTGCCAGTGGCCCCAGCATCAGGAGGCTAGCTCAGAGTCAGAAGAGCTGGGAGGCCAGCCCTGTCTGAGCTTCCCCCCTTTGGTGCTACGGGGCTTCGAGGTATCAGGAGCCACAAGCAGACACCTTAAGTACCCACCATCAAATAGATCTGCACATGCCGCTGTTTTCTTAGTCTCCTCTCCAGTCCAGCTGCTTCACCTCAATTCTAGCATACTCCTCAGGGTATGTCATGATCAATAATGGGAGCTGCCCATTAGAACTACTTTGCCTTGGCAGAAATTGGAACTGTGGCCAGCTCCAGGAAGCTTGTGAAATAGGAGAGGCTTGCCTACAAATCCCTCTCTCCCTTGAGAGGTAGCCAGGCTTCTCCATTCCCCTCTGTCTTTCCATAGTTTGCTATTGCCATGGACTAACTAAATGTCCTGGGTTGGGATCCCTCAGAAGCAGAGCCTGAGATAAACATTTGAGAGCAAGTTTATTTGGAAGGCAGGAGCAAAGAAAGTACAGCAGTGGGGAAGTGAGAAAGGAAGGGAAGGCAATCAAGAGAGATTAAGTCCAGCCTGAAGAGGTGGAGAGGGCAGCCATTTTTCAATCTTAACATCCGGGCACCTTTATGTAATTGCAGCATTATCATTAGGAAAGAAGTTCATTTTGATTTCTAGTTCCCCTCTCCCATTTCACACCCTAGTTAAGTACTGTAGAATATGCATAGCTATGAGAACCCCCTCTTCCCACCTCTTTTCCTCTGGCTGATGCCTAGTCAGTCATCAGGTCTCGGCCCGTGCATCACTTCTAGGAAGCCTTCCGTCATCCCCCTTTCTGAGATAGGGCTCTTTCTCTGCGCCCCTGGAGTGTCTCGTACCTGTTTTATTAGATATTTTATCATACCATATTGCTTTCATTTATTCATGTAATAGATATTTATTATGTGCCTGGCACTGTTTTAAGAACCTAGTATGTATATTTCAATATCCAATCATGTGTATTTTTTTTTCTCTGCCATTTGTGTCTCTGTCCCTCAGTAGCACCTGCTACATAGGAGGTGCTTGCCACATAGGAGGTTTAAAACTGTTAACATCACTCTGCCCATCATTTTTTCTTTTTTCAGGCTGGGAGAACACATCCCTGGTCAGCTGTAGGAAAGCCAGAGAGCATTTGAGAAGAGGCTGAAGCTTGAATTTTGCAAACACACAAGGTGCTGACTGAGGCAGTAGAGTGTAATGATTATAATAAGCAGGGGTTCTAGAGCCAAAGTGCCCGGGTTCAACTCCCAGTTCCACCCCTCATTTGCTGTTTGACTTTAGGCCACAATTCCTAATGGGTGAAGAGGGATCGTAATAGTATATACCTCAGAGGATGGTGTGTGGATTAAATAAGATTAACATATGTAAAATTTAAAAGTACCTAGAACATGGTCAGTGCTCAATAGATATTATCATTATTGTGATTTATTCACTTACATCAGTGTTGGTTCATTTAACAGTTGGAGGCTGACCATAAGACCCCTTTGGTGCTCACAGTAACATTTCAGTGTTCTTTCTACAATGGAAAAATACAATGAAGTTATTCATTCAAAGCAAATTCTGAGTTTTCAACAAATCACATAAAGGGCACAGCCAATCCAATTCGTGGTCCAGGAGCTGGCCATTAAAATAACAACCTAAATCATGAGTTTTTTTTCCCTGCTTTCCTTTCTTTCTGTGGTTAAACAAATATTTGGTGAGTACCTCTTTTGCATTCAGTAATGAGTAGGTTTAAAACTGAGGGTGTGGCCAGTCGCAGTGGCTCACACCTGTAATCCCAGCACTTTGGGAGGTCAAGGCAGATCACCTGAGGCTAGGAGTTTGACACTAGCATGGCCAACATGGTGAAACCTCGTCTGTACTAAAAATACAAAAATTAGCTGGGTGTGGTGGTGTACACCTGTAATCCCAGCTCCTCGGGAGGCTGAGGCAGGAGAATCGCTTAAGCCTGGCAGGCAGAGGTTGCAGTGAGCCCAGAATGCACCACTACACAGCCTGGGTGACAGAGTGAGACTCTGTCTTAAAAATAAGAAAACACACACACAACTGGGGATGCCAAGAGGAATGAAACAGATCCTTTCCCTTTAGGATTTCACATGTAAAAGGGCAAATTACAGCACACTTTGAGCAGCTCTATAATTGGACGCACACATGGCTTTGAGAGCCAGAAGACAGAGTGACTAATTCCCCTTTGGTGATTCAGGAAAGGCTTCACACAGAGGAGGTGACATTGGAACAACTGTATCTAGACATAGCCATAATTTAATGGCTGAGGATTGAATAGGCATTTGGTTGGGAGAGCCAGCTGTATAGCTACATTGTCCACTATTTTTTTTGGAGCCTGAGTAATTATGCTATCATTTACAATTTGTGTAGCAGCCTCATCAGGTCCTACTCTTGGCGTCCCCACCATGGAAACCTGAGTGGTCGTATTGCCTCATAATGAGGCCCTCTGGTGATGTTAATATACTAATAGGACAGAAGCCCAGAGCCACCTTGCCAGTTATTTTTCAAGTAACTCCATCCGATTAAATGGCAAACTAGGTAACCACTTTACTAGATCTCCCGTGGCTCTCAATTGCAGAAAGGAATCGAGCTAAAGAGCAGCTTGGGTGGGGTTATGAAATGTTTATGGCTGGAGTCCTGTAAATTTTAGCTGGCAAAGCCTAAGACCAGTAAGCTTGAAAACACGTATGCTGTGTCACCAGCTAGGAAGAGTTTGCCAGGGAAACTGCTGGCAGCGCGGCCGCGATCAGTATAAGACTCTGTGAACAAGAAGACCACCACTAGATTGCCTCGAACATAGCAGAACTGTGGCTGCTGGCATCCATTACTGCCATGGGCACTTTGAATTTTCAAGTATGTCTTTCTCCTCCCCTAAACTCAGCAAGATTACAGGCCAACTTTCCTTTCCCTTTCTGCTGATGAAGGGAGGTCATTCTCCCTTCACAGGTAGGTTCTCCAATAAGGAGCTACTGAACAGCTGGTGGAGTATAAATGTCTTATGACCCAGTGGCTGCTCCCTCAAACCCACACCTTTCTAGAACCAAGGAAAAATGTTTAGTTTTTCCACTTCTCTTAATTGTACCAGGTTAATGTAACGTTTTCTAAAAATTATCCTCAGTTTACCTAAAGAGTGCTTTTCTGCTCTTATTTACTGAAATTCTCTTTTCTATTTTGTATTGATGGCAGATTATGCACACAATAGCGTGGTCCTGCCCATGCGGAGCCTGGTCCCTTTGGAAGCAGTCACGTGGCCGCTGACTTTGCAGCCCATTACTTGAGTGCATCTCCAGGCCAGGAACAGAGCAGGGCTGGGGCAGAGAGCTGTGCTCACGGCCAGTGCATTGTCTCCCAGATTCGTGGCTCTGGGCTTGCCTTCCCGGCTGAAAGGCAAAGCAGCCTGGCCCTGTTCTAGTTATTTCTTTGTGTATATATGTTTGTTTATTTATTTAAGCAAGAGCTCTCTCTGCAGAGTGGGGTGTGTGTGTGTGTGTGTGTGTGTGTGTGTGTGTGTGTGTGTTTGTGTGGGGTGCTTCAGAGAGGGCTGAAATTGTACCTCTTTTCTTTCAGCCCTCTGCATTTCCCCAGAGAGAAGGTTTTTTTCTCGTCTTCATTTCCTTTGAAACACCTGGGGTGAGGAAAAACCTCTACATTGGCCAAGCAGAAGAAACAGGTAATATGTTTGTTTATTCTTAGGCATTTGGGGCAAGCAGAAGTCTACATCATAAACATATATCGTGTGGCAATGGAACAGGGAATGTGTACTCCTTGGAGTATATCTTACTGCTTTGCAATTTCTCGGAATGATTGTTCTCAAAAATGCTGGTTGTAAATCAGTTGCCATCAGTTGAAGAAGACGTACAGATGACTTGGCAATCTGAAGGATTGTGGCCTATTTCAAATGAACTTGATATTTGGAAAATCTCCACAGTCACTTGGATTGAGAGCCAGAAAATGAGGGAAGGGGTCCTTTGAGAAACCCTTCTAGGTCCCCTCAGGGAGTATTCTCCAAACTCCACTGCACACCTTCATATTTAGAAATCTTCCTTTAGTTCCCTTGGCGTCTTGTCGTCTTAGAGGTTTCTAGCTATCTGTAAGAATGGAACCAGAATTCCTTACAGTGTTCAAAATTCTCTTTAGTGATTTAGTTCGTATGCGAACTGATCAGATTGGATCCTGAAACCAAGGCATAGCCTTTTAGTGGGCAGACATTTTTGTTCTTTAATGATTAAACAGAGCGAGTCTTCAGTTCTGCCACTAATCAGCTACGCCAGGGAGTGTGTTATTTGAGTCTCAGTTTTGTTCATCTGTAACATGGTGATGACGATACTACCTTGAAAGTTTGCTGTGACAGTGAACTGAAATAATAGAAATATAAAGCACCCACTATGCTGGGTAAATAGTAGTCCCTTAATAAATAGTAGTGATTTTAGCTACTATTATGATTACTGGTATAGCATTCTTTCCGATCTTAGACCTCTCAAGGGAAAAGAGCCCATTGCTTTGCGACTCTTAAATTATACCAGAACCTGTAGGTACCCAAAGGGTTTAGTCTTTGGGAAGCCCCAGACAAAGCATTCTGAAGAAAGAGACTTGAACAAACACAGTGGGTTCCCACCCATGCATGGCCCCTCCTAACTCATCAGCTAAAAACAGTTGGTCTTTGTTCAAGCTAGTTTTTTCCCACCACTCAGTCCTCAGTACAAGTCAGTAAGATATGCATTATTATCACTGTTTTCTTATGAGGAAACTGAGGTACAGGGGAATTAATGACTAAGAGTTCAAACTCCTGTTGTCTGACTTCTAAACCCAAGGCTCCACTGGGCCAGCATTAGGCAGTTAGGAACAATAGTTCTTGAGATGCTTTACTTCAAAAGGGCCCCTTGCTAGGCTCTTTGGGAAATAGTGGTCAGCTCTTTCTGAGAGATTCACAATGTATGTTCATATATTAAAGGCTCTGAGAAGTCCTGCAGTAAAGAAACCTGTCCAGCTCTACATCCCCTGAACTTATTATGTAATAGTGGGACCTTTATTTTGGCCTTAGTCCTAGAATAATAAACCACATAGAACTATTCTTCCACAAACACACTTTGGAAAACCTGGCACCAGGCCACGCTGTTTCCTGATTACAATCATGTCTGATATACCAGCAGACACTTTCAAACACCTTCTGGTGGTCAGTATAGTTTCCTCCCTTTTCTTATCCTCTCATGTGGCGAGACCCAGGAAGAATCACCAGCTTGGTCTTACAGACCTCCCCTTACTCATTTAAGACCCCAGACATAAGTAATTGCTCCACTGTTCTACTGGAAAGGTAGTGATGGAAGGGAACTCTCTGGCACGGGCTGCCAGGGACTCCTCTGCCTCACCCTATGCCTCTGCATTATATTTAGGCCACAGACATCAGGCTATAAAACCTCTGTGGCAATGAATACCAAGCAGAATGCAATAGGGTGAGCCTGATGAGGCATCTGTTCCTCATGCTAGCACAATCTACGGGGGAAGAATTACACCTGCCTGCTTCACTCCCACTGTGGTGGTCGGGGGTGGGGGTAGAGGGTGTTGGTATCAGTTGAATGACTATGGGTTCCAGGTTTTCAGGACTAGAGCTAAAGCCAATTTCTTGCTAAAGCCAACATCTCTAGGAAAAGCTGAATTCTAGCATAGGAAACTACGAAACTGACATCTAGAATGCCAGAGAGGGTCGTGTCAGGGTGGCTGAGCCAAGGTGTGGAAGTTGGATAGAGATGAGCTTAGAAATCAGACCACCTTAAGAATGAACAAGAACAACTCGGGGAGGCTGGGCTAGTGGTTGGAGGGTGCTTGGTGGCGAACGTTAGTTTGTCCCCACGGCCTGTCTTTTGTACTTTCCTTGTATTTTCAGCATTGGAAGTGAAAGATTAGCATGAAAAAAATGGAAAATTATCAGTTCCACCCAGTCACCCCCAACACACACACAGTAAAAACCTTTTAGCGGAAGGCTTTCCTTTTGCAAATTATAAGTGAGTGCCAATGATGAGTCATTATTTCATGTTTACTCTTTAAAACCATCCTTGGTATATATTAGAAGGGACAGCAGCAATGGGCAAGTTTCAAGCTGTTTTTTTGCCAAGATCCACCCAGCGGCTCATGTTACCCACTAGGACATTCTTGGGCGTTTGTGAACCCTGTGGAAGCCCCCCACCTCTTTGAGCCTGAGAACCCTTTTCAGGCCTCAGGGAATCACTTCTTCAGAGACTTCTTCAATGCACTTAAACGCTAACAGAGGGTGGGAAATGGAAGCAGCTTAGATTTTACCAAGTCATGGAAAATCCCCAATCATTTTTATCAGCTTTACGTCAGAGATGTCCTCAAAGGCTCACGCACTGCTTACAAACTCACTTCCCTCTCTCCTGGAAGTCTAGGTGGGGCAGTACATGGGAGGGGTAAGTGGCATCTTGCTTTAACCAGCTCATATTTTGGTGAGAATGAAAAAGAACTGACTTTTTTTGTAACCTATTACCTGAGAGAAAAACAGTTAAAAATAAACTGATAATAATTATTTAATAATGTAAAAATTATTATAGCCAATTTTTTCTAATGGATAATCAAAAAATTCTAGAACATCATGTCTTTCCATCATGATTTTAAAACTTTCTTTAAAAATTATGTATAAGTACTACCCCTTTCTGATTTAATAAAATGCTTTTGTATAATTGAATAGCACCTACCTGTGCACAAAATGATGGATTAATAATGACTTTTAGCAACTAAATTTTTAAAGAACTCTGGCCTAGGAATATTGATTCCTTTGTTCATTCATTCATTCATTTAGCATTATCCAACATCTGCAATGTGAAAGGCACCATGTAGGTGCCAGAGATTCAAGGGCTACTTTGGAAGTTGCCCGTGGGGCTAATAGTCTAACAGAAATATACTCAAGTTTGATGCTTTTTAGTTCTTACTGAATCTTTTATATGCAGTTGTGTTTGTTGTGGATTAACTGAGGGGTGACTGAAAACCAAATGCCTCTGGAGAGATATTGAGACAGTGCTTTTTTTTTTCTGGAAAAAGAAAATCGAAATTGAAATATGTCAATCAGTCCAATCAGTGTTTATGGCCTACTAAATGCTCAATTCTTTTTTTCCCCTGTTTTCTTTTTTAAATTAAAAAACATACCTTTTTTTTTTTTTTTTTTTAAAGTCAGGATTTCACTCTGTCACCCAGGCTGGAGTGCAGTGGTGTGATCACGGCTCGCTGCATCCTTGACCTCCCAGGCTCAGGTGATCCTCCCACCTCAGCCTCCTGAGGAGCTGGGACTACAGATGTGCACCACCATGCCTGGCTAATTTTTTGTATTTTTTGGTAGAGATGGGGTCTCCCTATGTTGCCCAGGCTGGTCTCGAACTCCTGGGCTCAAAGGATCCATCTGCCTCAGCCTCCCAAAGTGCTAGGATTACGAATGAGAGCCACTGTGCCCAGCCCCAATTCTTATGTCTTCATAAAAAGGGGTGGAAAAAATAGCATGAGGATGGAGCGAAGCCCAAGCGAGATTTGGATACTGTTGGAAAATAGTGTTTCTTCAACTGAGATATGGGGATTCCTTGCATCAAAGTTCTCGGCATGGTGCACTTTAAATGTGTATTCCAAGGCACTGGACTTTTGAATCTGAGTATTGTTAGTAAAGCCTGGGAATCTGCATCCCCCCACCCCCAATAAGTCTTGTGAGCACTCGAGTTGGAGAGCACTGATCTAGGCACCTGGAGAATGTCACCAGGACTAGATGAATTCCTAGATGAACAGTGCCCCAATTTCAAAAATGAGAAAAGAATATATGCTAGAAGCCACAGACTTGATATGACCTCTGGAAAAATTCAGCTTGAAATAGATGGAGCCAAAGCATTTCTAGGAAAATGTGATCATCACTATGCAGCACCGTGGGTTTTCTAAAATACCGTCTCTATTACAGATTGTCAAACTTTGTTGTGTATTAGAATCTGGAAAACTGAAAAAAATCTTGATGCCTCATCCTCCACCCAGTACCAATTATGTCAAATTATCTGGGGGTGGGACTTGGGCATCAGTATTTTTTAAACCCCAAGAGATTCTGACTTAATGAGGTGCAGGCTGAGTACTGGGAGTTTGAAAAGCTCCCCAGGTGACACTCATATGCAACGAAGTATGACAAGCACAGGTCTATATGACATGGGACAAGTTGCTTAACTTCCTTGCACTTTGTGTAAATACTAGGTAATTTTAAAGGTCTCTCTCACCTTTAAACTTCTATGATTTTGTATTAAAAATGTTGCCAAATTGATTTCCTTCCTTTCTTCCTCCCCTGCCCTTCCTTCCTTTTCTCCTCCTCCTTCCCTCTCTCTTCTTTTGCTGGAATAAGCTGGAATGTCAAAGTATCAAAATATATACATATCATCATTTTATTAAAATATTTAGTAAAATTCTCCAGGATGTCTCACAGATAAATGAGAGTTATGATAGGTGAGTTTACCAGCTAACTGAACAAATGTGCTCAGCGAGTATGAAGGTAACGGATCTGTGGTGAACCTGGAGGATGGTTTGGAGTGGGATGCCACAGGGCTCATCCTGCCCTTGGATCTGATCTTGTTAATGTTCTTTAGCCATGATGTAGATAAGGAAGACACGAAAGAAATGCCTATCGAATTTGGAAATAAAGCCAAGCACGGTGGCTGATGCCTGTCATCCCAGCACTTTGGGAGGCTGAGGTGGGCACGTTGCTTGAGGCCAGGAGTTTGAGACCAACTTGGGCAACATGGTGAGACCCCATGTCTACAAAAAAGTACAAAAATTAGCTGGGCATGGTGGCGCATGCCTGTAGTTCCAGCTGCTCAGGAGGCTGAGGTAGGAGAATCACTTGAGCCCGGGAGGTGGAGGCTGCAGTGAGTCATGGTTGCGCCACTGCACTCCAGCCTGGGTGACAGAGCGAGACCTTGTCTCAAAAAATAAATAAAAATTTGGAAGTAACCCAAAGTTTAGGAAGGCTAATTCATTCAATACATAAAATAATCAGGTTCACCTCTGGTCAGAAAATCTGTTTACTAAGCTTATTGTTATTTTCAAAACATGGCCATAGTTCAAATATTTTGCTTATTTTAGTTTTCCCTTTCTTCAGTCGAGTTGAAATTTTGAAGCTTTTGGTGTAGTACCAATGGAAAGATAGATATGTCAGTTGTTTGCTGACTTTGTGCCTGTCAAGAAATGCAAATAGGGCTGGGCAAGATGGCTCACACCTGTGATCCCAGCACTTTGGGAGGACAAGGTCGGAGGATCACTTGAGCCCAGGAGTTTGAGACCAGCCTCGGCAACATAGGGAGACCCTGTCTCTACAAAAAAATAAAATTAGCCGGGTGTCACGGCACATGCTTGGGAGGTTAAGGCTGCAGCGAGCCGTGATTGTGCCACTACACTCCATCCTGGGTGACAGAGTGAGACCCTGTCTGAAAAAAAAAAAAAAAAAAAAGGAATGCAAATATATTAGATCAGGTTGGTTTGGAGCATCACAAAATAAAGGAAACATCACCCTAAAAAGTGACGTGACAGTATACTATGGAAAGGAATTTTGTTGAAAACTCCCGTGAAGTGATTATGGGAGTCAGGGAGCTCATGAGAAGGACTATAGAACACAAAGTTAGACTCCAGAGGGGCCTCAGCAGTGCCCAGAGAGCTTGTTTAAAAGGGCACTCTTGGCCAGGCACGGTGGCTCACGCCTGTCATCCCAGCACTTTGGGAGGCCGAGGCAGGTGGATCACCTGAGGTCAGGAGTTCGAGACCATCCTGGCCAACACAGCAAAACCCCGTCTCTACTAAAAATACAAAAAATTAGCCAGGTGTGGTGGCGCATGCCTGTAGTCCCAGCTACTAGGGAGGCTGAGGCGGGAGGATCACCTGAGCCTGGGAGGTTGAGGCTGCAGTGAGCTGTGATCACACCACTGCACTCCAGCCTGGGTAATAGAGCGAGACTCCGTCTCAAAAAATAAAATAAATAAAAGGACACTCTCACAGATTACAATTCCTAAATTTGGGGGGAGGTTTCAAACCTCCTTTTTTTTTTTTTTTTTTTTTTTTTTTTGAGATGGAGTCTCGCTTTGTCGCCCAGGCTAGAGTACAGTGGTGCGATCTCAGCTCACTGCAACCTCCGCCTCCTGGGTTCAAGCGATTCTGCTGCCTCAGCCTCCTGAGTAGCTGGGATTACAGACATGTGCCACCATGCTTGGCTAATTTTTGTACTTTTAGTAGAGACGGGGTTTCACCATGTTGGCCAGGCTGGTCTCGAACTCCTGACCTCGTAATCCGCCCGCCTCGGCCTCCCAAAGTGCTGGGATTGCAGGCGTGAGCCACTGCGACCGGCTGCCTCCTTTTTTTTAAAACAAATGTTCCCAACTTATTCCGCGAAATACTGTCAAAGAACTCACTTTGAATTTCAGCATAGCTGTTAAATATGTTGTTTTTGTCTCATAGTCAACTTCCAATTTGTGTTTTTAAAAGCCTAGATAGGTTGAATTACTTTGAGCTGAAAACCAAAACAGTTAATTATGTCAGCTCCTCCACATCCCATTCCCCATATTTAAATTAGAAAATCGTACACTCTCATATTTCGATTTTTCTTTTCATTTTGAATGCTCTATTTTATACAGAGCTGGATGTGACCTAGACATGGAGAAACTCATTTATGTCTAGCAGAGAAGCAGCCTATAGCTGCTCTGTAGCTGCTGCTGTGTTTTGGAAAATAAGCCAGGATTAGATTATGTCTGATCACTTTCCACATCACATGATGAACAGCGATTCAGAAGAAGCGTAAAATGAATCCTGCTGAGCAGCCCCTCAGCTACCATGTGGTTAACTGGCGGTTTCCTTCCCTCCCTCCTGTGTATTCCTCATTAGAATCTATGACTGAAGAGGATCGGCTAAGAGTGGTTCCTCGCAGCTTAAAGGGAGGCACTTTTCACACTCTGTCTTAAAATCAGAAGTTGAATTCATGAACACATATGATTTAGATAGAAGTCATGGGATGCAGCAGTTCTTCAACGAAAACCAGGAGATCTGACACATGTGAGTACTGGGAATGTGCCTGTGGTTATGAATGAAAAGGGGAAAATGAGCTGCCCTCACCCTCTTCTCCTTTCTCATTTACTCCCACGATGCTCAAGCTGCCCTGTGTGATTTGCACAAGGCATCGTTAGAGTAGCATAGGAAACTACATTTAGGAAGATGTAGCTTTGAATTTATGAAGTACCATAAAGTATTGTCTTAGAGATATTTTGTGTTTGATTTAATTTCATTCGATAATGTACCAATATAAAATCTCAATTTAAAACTCAGTGGCAGGGAACAAGAAAGGCAGTGTAATTTATATGTGTTTCTTCAATACTTTTATAAATAGCTATATCCCTACTTTTGTGACATTTAGTAGCATCATTGAATTTTTATTGGATTTTATAACTCAATGATCACATTATTTCTATATCTATTCAACACAGAACTTCATGAGATTTGCATCACGTTTTAAAAATAATCTAGGAGAATTGGGAGAATGCTAGATCATCTGTTTCCAAAAAAAAGGTGTATTGTTTCTAAATAGATGGCATGCCTTTCTGTACCCCCATATAATTAGAAGCTTAAATATTCACTTTGTTTATTTTGTACTGAGGTTCTTTCTCATGGCTATTGGCATCTAGTTGAAACAAACTTGAGCATTTAAGGGATAGAGTTTCCAACAAGCAAATTAAAATAAAAACAAGTAAATAAGCTGGGACAATTAATATGAGTAATTTGCTCTTAAACTCCACTTCTTTGATGTCTAGGTTATAGGTAATTCCCCCAACTTCTATTCCACGTCTTGCCTTTGGAAGTTTATTCAGGCTTAAGGTGGAGGGTTTAGGATGCAGAGTGTGCTATACTAATTAGCGTGGGATGTTTTACTTTGGGAATCAAATGTTATTCTCCTACCCAGCTGACTTGTGCTGATGATGTAGGAAACTCATCTCTGAAAGTAGGAAGGGACATAGGAGGTGTACTGACTCTTTCAAATCTTTAAGCATGTCATGAAATAAATCTTTCAAAAGCTCCATCTGAACTCTACTGCTGTAGTAGACGTTTATTAGCAGAGAGTAAAGAGAAATTATCTTTTTATATCTAGGATTACTCACAGTTCTTTAAATTTAGCCAAATTTCCTAGGTTAAAAAAAAAAAAGCCAAGTCCAACTTGTAAAAACAAATCCTCTCTCTTTTTGAAATACTTTTCAACTTTTAAAACATTGCATGTAAGTGGAAATATTAGCTTAGATTTTTGGATTGCTTTTTCTTTCAAATACCTGTGATTTATTGAGGTGAAATTCACGTAACATAAAATTAGCCATTGTCAAGTGAACAACTCAGCAGCAGTTGGTATGTTCACAGTGTCGTGCAACCACAACCCCTATGTACTTCTGAGACATTTCCAACACTCCAAAGTAAAACCCCTTATCCATTAAGCACTTTCTCCTCTCAGCCCCTGGCAACCACAAATCTATATTCAGTCTCTATGGATTTATCTATTCTGGACATTTCATGTAAATGGAGTCATATATTATGTGACCTTTTGTGTCTGGCTTTGTCCATGTTGTAGCATGTATCAGTACTATATTCCTTTTTATTGTGGAATAATATTTCATTGTATGAATATGCCACATTGTATTTATCCATTCATCAATTGATAGACATTTGGATTGTTTCAGCTTTGTTTTTTGTTTTTTGTTTTTTTTGAGACAGTCTTGCTCTGTCACCCAGGCTGGAGTGCAGTGGGGCGATCTCGGCTCGCTGCAACCTCCGCCTCCCAGGTTCAAGCGATTCTCCTGCCTCAGCCTCTGGAGTAGCTGGGATTACAGGCACACACCACCACACCTAGCTAATTTTTGTATTTTTGGTAGAGACAGGGTTTCACCATGTTGGCCAGGCTGGTCTCGAACTCCTGACCTCAGGTGATCTGCCCGCCTCGGCCTCCCAAAGCGCTAGGATTACAGGCGTGAGCCACTGTGCCCGACCTGTTTCAGCTTTTTGACTGTTATGAACAATGCTGCTGTGAACATATGTTTTCCGTTCTCTTGGGTATATACCTAGAAGTGGAATTGCTGGGTCATACGGTAGCTTTATGTTTAACATTTTGAGAAATTTCCAAGCTGTTTTCCCAAGTGACTGCACCATTCTACATTCCTACCAGCAGTGTATAAAGGTTTCAATTTCTCCACATTTTCAGCGATAGTTGTTATTGTCTGTCCTTTTGATTTTAGTCATCCTAGTGGGTATGAAGTGGTATCACACCATGGTTTTCATTTGTATTTCAGTAGTGACTAATGACATTGAGCATCTTTTCATGTGTTTATTGGCTATTTGTATATCTGCTTTGGAGAAATGTCTATTCAGATCATTTACCCATTTTTAATTGAATTATTTATTTTTATATTGTTGTAAGATAAATTTATATATTCTAGATACAAGTTTCCTATCAAATATGTGACTTGCAAATATTTTCTCTCATTTGTTGAATTCTCTTCATCCTTTCTTAATGGTGTTCTTTGAAGCACAAAAGTTTTTACTTTTGATGAAGTTCACTTTATTTTTTCTTTGGTTGCTTGTGATTTTGGTGTCATATCTAAGAATCCATTCCCGAGTCCAAAAAGATTTTTGCTCACGTCTTACTTTAAGAGTTTTGTAACAACTCAACAAGAAAAAAAAGATAACTCCATTAAAAAGTGGGCAAAGGTCATGAACAGACATTTTTTCAAAAGAAGGCATACAAATGGCTAACAAACACACGAAAAAAATGCTCAACATCACTAATCATCAGGTAAATGCAAATTGAAACCATAATGAGATACCACCTTACATACCGGTCAGAATGGCTATTACTAAAAAGTCAAAAAATAAGAGATGTAGGCAAGGATGTAGGGAAAAGGGAATGTTTATCACTGCTGGTGGGAATGTAAATTAGTACAACCTCTGTGGAAAACATTATGGAGATTTCTCAAAGAACTAAAAATAGAGCTACCAAACTACCATTTCATCCAGCAATCCCACCACGGAGTCTACCCAAAGGAAGTCATTATATCAAATAGATATCTACACTCTTATGTTTACCGCAGCACTATTTACAATAGCAAAGATATGGAATCACCGTAAGTGTTTTTCAATGGATGATTGGGTAAAGAAAATGTGTGGTGTATGTATATGTAAGTGTGTGTGTGTGTATATATGTGTGTGTGTGTATGTGTGTGTATATATACGTATATATGTATGTATGTGTGTGCATATATATATGTATATATATGTGTGTGTGTGTGTATATATATATATATGCATGCCATGGAATACTACTCAGCCATAAAAAAGAATGAAATCATGTCTTTTGCAGCAACATGGATGGAACAAGAAGCCATTATCCTAAGTGAAATTACTCAAAAAACAGAAAGTCAAATACCCCATGTTCTCACTTAAAAGTGGGAGCTAAATAATGTATACATATGGGCATCCAGAATACAATAATAGACACTGGAGACTCAGAAAGCTGGGAGGGTGGGAGGGGGGTGAGGTATGAGAAATTACCTAATGAGTACAATGTATGCTACTTGGGTAATGGTTACGCTAAAAGCCCAGACTTCATTATACATGTAACAAAATTACACTTATACCCCCTAAATATATATGTTTTTAAAGGCCAAAAAAAGTTTTGTACTTTTAGCTCTTACTTTTAGGCATTTGAACCATTTTGAGTTGCTGATTTTCACGTATGGTGTGAGGTAGGAGTACAAATTCATTTTTTGCATGTGGATATCCAGTTGTCTCAGCACTGTTTGTTGAAAAGATTGTTCTTTCCCCATTGAATCCTCTTAGCACCATTGTCAAAAATCAATTGACCATAAATGTTTATTTCTGGGCTCTCAATTCTATTCCAGTGATCTGTATGTCTTTCTTATGCCAGTACCAGTGTCTGGATTACTATAGCTTTTTTTTTTTTTTTTTGAGACGGAGTCTTACTCTTGTAGCCCAGGCTGGAGTGCAATGGCACAATCTCAGCTCACTGCAACCTCCGCCTCCCAGGTTCAAGTGACTCTCCTGCCTCAGCCTCCGGAGTAGCTGGGATTACAGGCACAAACCACCACATCTGGCTAATTTTTGTATTTTTGGTAGAGACGGGGTTTCACCATGTTGGCCAGGCTGGTCTGAACTCCTGACCTTGTGATCCGCCCGCCTTGGCCTCCCAAAGTGCTGGGATTACAGGCATAAGCCACCACGCCAGGCCTACTATAGCTTTTTTTAATAAAGTTTTGAAATTGGGAAGTATGAATTCTTCAACTTTGTTTCTCTTTTTCAAGATTATTTTGGCTATTCTGGGTCCCTTACATTTCCATATGAATTTTAGAATCAATGTGTCAGTGTCTCAAAAGAAGCCAAGTGGAATGTTGAGAGGGGTTGTGTTGAATCTGTAGATCAATTTGGGGAGTATTGCTATATTAACAATTAAATAATCTGATCCATGAACATGGGATGTCTTTCCATCTATTTAGATCTTTAATTTCTTTCACCAGTGTCTTGTAGTGTTCAGAGTATAAGTTTTACACTTCTTTCCTTAAATTTAACCTAGGTTTTTTATTCTTTTTGATGATATTATACATGGATTTTTGTTAATTTCATTTTTGGATTGTTTATTGCAAATGTTTAAAAATTGATTTTTGTATATTGGTCTTATATCCCAAAACTTTACTGAACTCATTAGCTCTAATAGGTTTTTAGTGGATATTTTAGGAATTTTTATTTACAAACCAGGTCATCTGCAAATATAGTTTTACTTGTTTCTTTCCAATGCCTTTTGTTTCATTTTCTTGCCTCCACTACAATGTCAAATAGAAATGCAAGAGTAGCCATCCTTGTCTTGTTCCTGATCTTAAGGGAGAAACATTCAGTGTTTCACCAGTAAGTCTTATATCAGCTGTGTCTTTTTCATAGATGCTCTTTCTCAGGTTGAGAAAACACACTCCTATTCCTAGTTTATTGATTTTTTTATTATTACAAAGTGGTGTTTAATTTTGTCAAATGCTTTCTCTGCATGTATTGAGATGATCTTGTGGTTTTTGTCCTTTATTTTATGATATGGCATATAATGTTAATTAAATGGCACATTATGTTAATTGATGTTAAGCCAACTTCGCATTCCTAGGATAAATCCCCTTGATCATGGTGTATAATGCTTTTTATATGCTGCTGAATTCAGTTTGCTGGTATTTTGTAGAGGAATCTTGCAACTATATTCATAAGAGATACTGATCTATAGTTTTCTTGTGATATCTTTGTCTGATTTAACTGTCAGGGTAATATTGGCCTCATAGAATGAGTTGGAAAGTGTTCCCTTCTCCTCCATTTTTTGGAAGAGTTCATGAAGAATTGGTATTAATTCTTTAAATATTTGGTAGAATTCATCAGTGAAGCTATCTGGGCATGAGGTTTTCTTTGTGCGTAGTTTTTTTGATTACTTATTCTGTCTCTTGTTATATGACTATTTAGATTTTCTATTCCTTCTTGAGTCATTTGTGGTAGTTCTAGGAATTTGCCCATTTCATCTACATTATCTAATTTGTTGACATATACTTGTTCAGAGTATTCCCTTAAAATTCTTTTTTTTTTTTTTTTTTCTTTACTGCTCCATTGCTCCTTATGGAGCAGGGCAAACCCATATGGAGTGCGTCCAGAAGAGCCATTTAAAATTCTTTTTCTTCTTTTATCTCTTGTTGGATATGCCAATCAAGGTTTATTATGAGTTCATAATAATAAATCTGCTGAAAGCTGATGCAGTGATGTTTACTTATATTTATTCATAGACAAACATTGTGTGCATAAAATTTTCTCTCATTCAGATATTTGGAAAAAATATAGAAAAGCAGTTGAAAATAATGAATACTCCCTCATCATTCCACTACCCAGAGATAATGACAACATTCTGATAATTTCCTTCAATGTATTTTTTGTATATTATAGATTTCTGATCATCCTAAATGTTAGTTTTTTGTAGCCTCACTTTCAGCACTAAAATGTTATGTAAACATTTCTCAAGTTGTTATAAATGCTTTGCAAACATCATTTTAGTCATTGCTAAGTATTTTATTTGGTGAATAGGCCATAATATGCTTAATTATTCTTCAAATATTGGACCTTTTAATACTAATATAAATAACACTTTGAAGAATTTCTTTGTGCAAAGCCTTTTCCTTATTTTGGATTATTTCTATATTCAGGTGATTAGATATGAAATTATCGTGTCAAGGGCTATAAATATTTTGAAAGCTCTTGATAGAAAATGATAGATATTATTTCCTGATTACTAACCATATTCCAAAGAGTGTTCAACATAATCTACATATGTTTTATCTAATCCTTGTAATAAACCTGAATAAAGGGTTATTATTCCTGTTTGTATAGTGGAAGCAGCTCATGCTCAGTGTGGTACTTGGTAAGTTTGTTTTTCGTTTTTTTGTTTTTTTTTTTTGAGATGGAATCTCACTCTGTCGCCTGGGCTGGAGCGCAGTGGCGTGATCTCGGCTCACTGCACCCTTCACCTCCCGGGTTCAAGTGATTCTCCTGCCTCAGCCTCCTGAGTAGCTGGGATTACAGGCGCCCACCACTATGCCCAGCTAATTTTTTGTATTTTTAGTAGAGGCGGGGCTTCACCATGTTGGCCAGGCTGGTCTTGAACTCCTGACCTTATGGTTCGCCCGCCTCGGCCTCCCAAAGTGCTGGGATTATAGGCGTGAGCCACCGTGCCCAGCCTACTTGGTAAGTTTATGCAGCTTACAGCTGGCAGAGTTGGGATTTGAATTCAAGGAGTTTTGATGACAAAGTATTTTTTGCTGTCACCCATTACACCATTTTATGCCACCTCTGAATGTTGCTGCTTCAGAAGCTAGCTTTAATTAAATTTACTTATATACAGTACCTTGTATTTGCATAGTGCTTTTCAAGTTGGCCAGGCCCTGTAACATACGTTTGATCCTCACAGCCTTTTGAAGGGTTGTTCTCAGTTTGCAGAAAAGGAAATGAGGCTTTGAAAGGCAAAGTGATTGCCTCAAGGGAACACAGCAAGTCACAGAGCCAAGGCTCGTGCTTGATTCCTGTTTCCACTGGTCTGACTAGTGTTAAGGGTTTTTTGTCCTGCTAGGTCGTTCCACCTGACCACAGTACTCTGCCTCTGGAGTATCACGGCAGTTTGAGAAAGCGTAACCTACATATAAAATCGAGGCTATTCCCTTTCTTGTGCTCTACCCAGCTTCCATGTAGAGAAGTAGCATCGGGCCAGGCGCGGTGACTCACGCCTGTAATCCCAACACTTTGAGAGGCGGGTGAATCACTTGAGCCCAGGAGTTTGAGGTTGCAGTGAGCTATGATTATGCCACTGCACTCCAGCCAGGACCACCACTGAGTGAGACCCTGACTCTTAAAAGAAGAAAAAGACCAGGCACAGTGGCTCACACCTGTAATCCCAGCACTTTGAGAGGCTGAGGTGGGTGGATCACTTGAGGTCAGGAGTTCAAGACCAGCCTGGTCAACATGGTGAGACACTGTCTCTACTAAAAATAGAAAAATTAGCTGGGCGTGACGGCACATGCCTGTAATCCCAGTTACTTGGGAGGCTGAGGCAGGAGAATTGCCTGAACCTGGGAGGCAGACAGGTTGCAGTGAGCCAAGATCATGCCACTGCACTCCAGCCTGGGCAACAGAGTGAGACTCCATCTCAAAAAAAAAAGTAACATCAATTTTATATTGTCATTGTTATTTTATTTCTTTTGTGATATGTAGCAGGTAAGAGAGGACTAATAATAGCTATCATTTATTGAGTGCCTGCTACTCTCATTATTTCTTACCAAAACTCTTAAAGCTTTGATTAGTCTCCCTCGTTTTATAAATGAGGAAAGTGAGACTTAACTGCCCCAAGTTACACACTCATGGGTGGCAGAGCCTGAATTGGAACCAGATCTGGCAGATTCCAAAGTTCATGGCCCTTCTGATATGCTACCCTGACTTGGAGAATTGGAATTTATCCACATAACAGAAATTAAACATTGCAATTTCATTCTCCTGAATTTCACTTGACACTTAAAATTTTATGTTAATGGTATTTCAATTAATAATCTATTGCCTTTTTGTTCCCATGGAGCACTTTGGAAACACTGATATATTTTATTTCTTCCCTTGAGACCACTTAGAAATGTATTTATTCAATTTCTGTAAGTGCTAAGAGGCCGACAAAGACAATCCGTGCTTTTTTGGCTTTGTGGTTTGATGCGTAAGCTGTGACAAATAGAAGTTTCTCTAAAGGAAATTGTTCCTTTCAAAAGTACTCATTCTTTATTTTATATGAAAAAAACTTAAAAATACTGAATAGCAAACTAAATATTTCTTTAATTCTTGGTAAAACATCTAGTTAATTTAGCTGTTTAAAAATCAAACAATCGCCAGGCGCGGTGGCTCACGCCTGTAATCCCAGCACTTTGGGAGGCCGAGGCGGGTGAATCACGAGGTCAGGAGATTGAGACCATCCTGGCTAACACGGTGCAACCCCATCTTTACTAAAAATACAAAAAATTAGCAGGGCGTGGTGGCGGGCGCCTGTAGTCCCAGCTCCTCGGGAGGCTGAGGAAGGTGAATGGCGTGAACCCAGGAGGCGGAGCTTGCAGTGAGCCAAGATCACACCACTGCACTACAGCCTGGGCGAGAGAGCGAGACACCATCTCAAAAAAAAAAAAAAAAAAAAAAATCGAACAATCAAGCCATTCACAGCTGCTTGAGAGCCCCCCTCCCGGCTCTCCATCCCCATCTCCTTACTCCCAATTTGAAGTCCTTTACTGTGATGTATATTTCAGTTTGAGACCTTCATGGAAAAATAACAAATGAAAATCTTTCATCTTTGGTGTTCCCTAAAGAATTTTCTCCAAGTTTAGAGGGCCTCTTGCCATTCTCCTTGCTATTGTTTGTCAGAGGGTTCTAGGTTATCATAGCCATCAAGCAGTCTTTACTGCCACCGTAGGGTATATTGAAAATCCCTGTGAACTCGGACCGTCCTCATTTTCCTCCTCAATGAACTGCAGACAGAGAAGATGCTCTTTCAAGTCCATTGTCCCTCTAAGACTATCCGTATGCTCTGTAGCTGTGGGAGGGGTAGGTAGGGGAGGGCATTGATTTTCCTTCTGCCTCTCCTGCTCATTCCGCTAGCTATTGCTCATCAGCATCTTGACATGCTCGGTGACTTTCCTCTTTTTTTCCTTTTTCCTTTTTTTTTTTTTTGGTTTGTATATATATATATATTTTTTTCTCAAGCCATTTTGTTTTGCTTTTGTTTTCCTCCCCAAATATTTTTGAAAATTGCAAACCTACAGAGAAGATGAAAGAATAGTACATAAACACCCGTTTGAAATAATTTGAAAATAAGCTGTAGACATTATGGAATTAACCTCTACGTACTTCAGCATGCATCTACTAAAAGAGGGATATTCTCTTATATAACTACAATACTAGATCACCCTGAAGAAATTTAACATTGATAGTGTAACATTATCTAACATGTAGTCCATATTCAGAATTTCCCAGTTGTCCAAAATTGCCCTTTGTAACTGTTCTTTCCTTCCCTTTAAAATAAGTCTTCTCTGGCCCTCTCATCCCCTCCAGTTCCTCTCGTCTCTCTCCTCCCCTTCAAGCTCGCTCCTTAGGGGTGCATTTGTACCCGCTGTCTCCTACCTCCTCTTTGATCCCAGCCCAGGGAAGATGATCTGACAGGTTCTTGAATGACCTCGAAGTCCAATGGAGCATTTTCAGTGCTGATTTTGCTCACTTCCTGGCAGTCTTTGGCACTCCTGCCCACTCCCTTCTTACTACTCATTGCCCTTGGCTTCAGGGGCAACACATTCTCCTGGTTTTTCTTTTAGGTCTCTGCATGAACTATTTATGTGGACTCTACTTTCTCCTGGCTTTTAAATGTTGGGGCTCCTCTGGGTTCCCCCTTGGCTCTCTGGTTTTGTCACTCTAACACTCTCCTTGGATGCTTTTTCTAGTCCATGGCTTTGACATCAGTGTGTCAAGACTCCAAATCTTTATTTTCAGCCCACATCATATGCTCTAATCCCTGTTTTATTGGGAATCATTTTAAATAAGTACTTTTCTTTGTAAAAGGAGACCATTTTCTTCATCTGAAATCATGATTCCTCTCACTACCAATTCTTAGGTAATAGTCACCGTTTGATATGATAATGTGTTGGCCTGGAGGTTTGTATAGGATTGGTACTACAAACACATTTAATGCCTGTATGAAACAGACAAAACAAAACAAACCCATCCCAACAACCTTTTTATTCTTTACACCAATTAAATACATCTTCATCTTTTTATTTGCTGTGTGATTAATTTACCTTTGCTTTAAAAATTTCAAGTATTTTGAGACTCTGATAGGGGCTATTTAGATATCCATTTTAGAATCGTGAACCTTTAGAAGGCAGAAAGGCCAGGTGTAGTAGCCATGTCTGTAATCCCAGCACTTTGGGAGGCTGAGGCGGGAGGATCACTTGAGGCTAGGAGTTTGAAACCAGCCTGGGCAACATAGCAATACCTCGTCTCTACCAAAGGAAAAAAAAAATAGCTGGACATGGTGGCTCGCACCTGTAGTCCCAGCTACATAGGAGGCTGAGGCAGAGGATCACTTGAGCCCAGGAGGATCACTTGAGCCCAGGAGGTGGAGGCTGCAGTGAACCATGATCGTACCACTGCACTCCAGCCCGGGCAACAGAGCAAGACATTGTCTCAAAAAAGAAAAAACAAAAACACACACACAACACAACACAAAACCCAAAGAGAGCAGAACCACCTCTTTGTTTAAATGATTTTTACTGGCTTCCAGCTTTACTAGGAAATTCACAAAGAAGCCAGCTTTCCAGTTGGGTCATGTTAATTGTTAGGAAATCTTGTTACAGAGAGACCTATTGCAACTAAGTGCAAGAAAGGACAATCCCTCAGCCCCAATTGCCAGTTATTTCCCATATTCAGAACGCTTTTCTTATATGATTATGGCTTTATATTTCATTAGCTTTTAGCAGCTGCAAAAGACAAAAATTTAATGCGGATCGTATTTGACCTTGGATGAACGAACATGGCAATATAACACAGATTAGTAATTAATAACGAGGGAGACATAAAACAGAATTTGCAGTCAAGATATTATTTCCTGAGTGAAGATTAAAGGTTATTATTGAATTATTGAATAGAACACATTTCCTATGAGAGACTATTTTAATAATTTAAAATGATAGGAATTCTTTTATATAGCAAAATTTCTTTTACATACTTAAGAATACAATAGTTTTTAAAAATTAATGTATTCATAATAATTCTTTTGGAAAATTGGCAAAACATAATATGGTAGGAAGGTTAACAGTTACTTGTAAACTATTCTCTTGGTCTGAGTGTTTTATTGAGTTGGCCTATTATTTTGGTATGGTATAAATGAAGCATCACATTTTCCTGAACTAGTGATATAGCCAAGGATTACAACTCATCTTTTTTTTTTTTTTTTTCTTTTTTGACACAGGGTCTCACTCTGTCACCCAGGCTGGAGTGCAGTGGCGCCATCAAGGCTCACTGCAGCCTCAACCTCCTGGGCTCAAGTGATCCTCCCACCTCAACCTCCCAAGTAGCTGGGACTACAGGTGTGTGCCACCATGCCCGGTTAATTGTTATAGTTTTTGTAGAGATGGGGTTTCATCACATTGCCCAGGCTGGTCGTGAACTCCTAGGCTCAAGAGATCTGCCCGCCTCGGCCTCCCAAAGTACTAGGATTACAGTCATGAGCCACTGCACCCAGTCCAAGGATGACAACTCTTAAGGAACCTTTCATGAGATGGCTTTATGTCATCTTCATGTTGTTCCATTGCCCTGTTGAATCAAATAGGGCTTTAAATGGGCCATTTAAAAATCCTAATCCTAATAAATGTAGAAGAAATGAGTTCAAAAATCACTGTTTTGCAACCACCATAGAAATAATTGATTTAAGCAAAAATCATCAATGGATATTTTGGAGAACAGAATGTATACACAGTCTCAAAGCGTGTTCCTGCAAACTGTTTATTAATTGTAAAGAGGCAAACACTTCTACAGTAGAGAAGTTCACATGGACACCACCTTACCCAAGTGATCCAAGTTCGCTCAGTGATAATGAGACAGATGAGCACCACATGCCTTCTGATGTCCTAATGCACTGAGAAAGACATACCACTTATCCTGCCAAAATACACAACCTGAATCTCATCACGAGGAAAAGAGCAGACAGATCCAGATTGAGGGATGTTTTACAATCAACTGGCCTGTACTGTTTGAAAATTTCAGTGTCATTGAAGAGAAAGGCAGAGGAGTTGTTCCAGAATAAAGGAGACTGAAGAAATGACGATGGTATATGGAGAGAGAGAGAGAGAGAGACTAGTTATTAACAATTATACTATCTTTACTTTTTCATACATTTGAAAATATTTCAGCCGGGCGCAGTGGCTCATGCCTGTGATCCCAGCACTTTGGGAAGCTGAGGCGGGCAGATCACCTGAGGGCAGGAGTTCAAGACCAGCCTGGCCAACGTGATGAAACCCCGTCTCTACTAAAAATACAAAAATTAGCTGGGCATGGTGGCGTGTGCCTGTAGTCTCAGCTACTCGGGAAGCTGAAACAGGAGAATTGCTTGAACCTGGGAGGCGGAGGTTGCAGTGAGCCAAGATCGCGCCACTGCACTCCATCCTGGGTGACAGAGTGAGACTCCGTCTCAAAAAAAAAACAAAAATTTCTTTCAAAAGAAAAAACCCTAATCCTGTACATCCTGAGATAAGTTTACCAAGTTTGTAGTGGTGGCAACCTAGGCTTATGTCCTTTGGTAGTACCATTTTTTAGCCCTTTCTTGTTTTTGCCATCTACCAACTTCATTCATTGAAGACTCTCCACCCACTCTGAGCCTCATACTGGGTATCTTCACTGTACATGTGAATAAGCCCCAAATGCTTTGGTGTCTGAGTTCCTTGATCTCCTGAGCCCCAGAAACCCCCTCATCTCCTCAACTTCAGCTGCTCACTCCCATTTACTGGCCCCCATGGTCACCTGGAAAAGCCCCACCTCTGGAATCTTCATGATTATCATCCTATTCTCTGATTGCTTGGTCTTCTTTGAAACCTCTGAGCCTTAGATACTTCACATGTGTCTCTATCTCCCAGCCTCCAGTTTTATATAGATTTTGGGAATACAGGTGCATTTTTATTACATGGATATACTGCGTGGTGGTGAAGTCTGAGCCAGCCCTCTCTTGTCTTCCCTTTCTTCCCCATCCATCTTCCCTCCATCTTTTGTTGGCTGTCACTTGAACCAGTTAACAGATCATACACCTTAGTCATATTTTAGGCAGTTAAAAAAACTAATGTGTGAAATGTTTAGTGTTCCCAAACCAATTGCTAGCAAACTTTGGCTACAATTCCTTGATGGAAAAGCCAGAGATATTAGTAACTTGTATTTTTCTACAGGGATGATTCCGATTGATTGATTTATTTTCAAATAGCCTTTAGAATTTGTCTCCTTTGTCCAGAAGTTTCTGGTTTGAGTGTTCAGTTTTGCACATCATATCGTGCCCTTGGATGGTTATTTTCAGCTTTTCTATGTACAGTGATAGGTGGGCTGCAGCAATGGCACTAAAAACAAGTAGATGGATGAGTTAGAGTATTTGGTAACTGGAAAGAATCTTAGAGATCACACAGTCCAAAGTTCTCATTGTTTACATGAGAAACTGAGGACCTCGGAGTTTCGTTGATTTGCCTGAGGTTACTTAGCTGGCAACTGGGTAAGTCAGGGCCCAAATGGAAGTATCTCAATGACAAAGTCAGAACTTATTTTTATTACCCCATGTGGATGGGGTTGGTGGGTACGAGAGTAAGTACATAGAATGTTGTAGAAATGACCTGTTATTCTCGCTCTTGTCTCACTGGAAGGCCAGAGGTTCCTGAGAATGACACAATTATGATCTCTTTTGTCCCTTAGGGAAAGTGATAGTTGTGTTTCAAATGCCTGACATTGTTTGGAGACTGGACTTCACACTTTACTCTCTTCTTTCAGAAAAGTGTCTCCCAGGGACAAGGCCTCTGTGTTGTGGCCTTGCTCTGCAGGGCTGCCAGAGTTTGTGGCTGAGCGAGCCTCATAAGGTGTCTGCCTTGCTTGCTGCCCAACAAGCAGGCTTTGTGTCTGTCTCATGTTCACTGGGCATGTGCTTTGAGCTGTTTTTCCAGTGAAGTCAGAAGTCTCACTGGGACAGCCGCACATTCTGGCAGATGGCAGATATAGAAAATCTGTAAACAAAAATAACAGTAATGAAGACTGTGGTCCTAGGCCAGAGTTCAGCCATATCCTCTTCTCATCATGCTTTGAACAGCTGAGGTTATAGATGCTTCTCCTCTTCGCTTAAAGCCTTTTGCTATTAGAGGATTCATTTTCTTTCCAGTTCATTCGAATTCATTTTAATCAGCTGTGTCGCACTTGTGCCTGGGTCTCTTCTTGCCTGGAGGCCAGGCCCCTTAAAGGTACATTAAATATTCGCTAATCCTGCTGCTTCCTCAGGATTCCTCTGCCAGAAGAATTTCAAAAGCAGAGAGCCTTTAAATACCTTATCATTCTGAATATGAAATGTCTTGTTTGAAGAACTATCTGTCAAATAAACTCCTATTTAAAAACCAAAACCAAACCAAACATAAAGACTCTACCAGCCAGCACAAAGAGAAATGTAAGACACAAAGTCTTAACTAAACAGTCATTTCATTTGTTCAACAAATATTTATTCCTGCTATGTTCCAGAGACTATTCCAGGCTCAGGAAATACAGCAGCTAACTCAACAGATCAAAATCCCAGCTCTTATGGAGATTACATTCTAGTGGAAAGACACAGACAATGACAAAGAAGTAAATATCACATGGTGATAAGTGCTATGGAGAAAAAATAAGGAAGGAGATAGGCGATGAGGGGAGAGGAGACCATGTAAGAAGGGGTGGTCAGGAAAGGCCTCCCGCAAAGGTGATGTCTGAGCAAAAGCTGCAGGCTCTAACTGCATGCACCTCAGTTGGCCGGGCTCTTCTTGCTCTAGGCTGTTGTGTTCGGAGATGGTAGCCTGTTTGTCCACAGTAATTTGTGAATTTTTTTTTTTTTTGTGACGGAGTCTCGCTCTGTCGCCCAGGCTAGAGTGCAGTGGTGTGATCTCGGCTCACGGCAACCTCCGTCTCCCAGGTTCAAGCAATTGTCCTGCCTCAGCCTCCCAAGTAGCTGGGATTACAGGTGCCCACCACCATGCCCGGCTAATTTTTCTATTTTTAGTAGAGACGAGGTTTTGCCTTGTTGGCCAGGCTGCTCTCAAACTCCTGATCTCAGGTAATCCACCTGCTTCGGCCTCCCAAAGTGCTGGGGTTACAGGCGTGAGCCACCATGTGCAGTCATAATTTGTGAAATTTCTAATGAAATATTATGTATAATTAGGAAGTCTTTGGGACTTAACTGGAATTTGTTAGCCTGGAGAGAGACAATTTTTAAAAAAGTATCTCCCATTTATCGAGTGCTTCCTATATGACAGGCAATATGCTAAGCATTTTATATGAATCAATTAATATATTACTAATACCTATGTCAACAGATTACTAATACAGTATTATGTATTATTACAACACCCCTAGAAGGTGTTCATTCATTCATTCAATCATTCATTCAACAAATATATAATACATTTCCAGGCCTTGCCCCAGGTGCTGCGGATGCAGCAATGAAAAAAATGAAGTTCCTAGCTAATAGGGGAAAATGGACAATAAACCCATACACATATAACTGTAGACAATGTCAGATGCTCAAGAGTGCTACAGAGAACAGTAGAACAGGTAAAGAGATAGGGAATGTGAGCGGGAGAAGGTGTGGGAGGAGATGCTATTCTATATACCATCTGATTTTTTTTTTTTTTGAGACAGAGTCTTGCTCTGTTGCCCAGGCTGGAGTGCAGTGGCATGATCTTGGCTCACTGCAACCTCTGCCTCCCGGGTTCAAGTGATTCTCATGCCTTGTGCCTCAGCC
The DNA here is from genome assembly GCF_000001405.40 of Homo sapiens. Lineage (NCBI taxonomy): Eukaryota > Metazoa > Chordata > Mammalia > Primates > Hominidae > Homo > Homo sapiens. The sequence goes on from NC_000023.11 coordinate 18,723,908, forward strand.
TCCCAAGTAGCTGGGATTACAGGCATGCACCACCACGCCTGGCTAATTTTTTGTATTTTTAGTAGAGACAGGGTTTCGCCATGTTGCCCAGGCTGGTCTCAAACTCCTGAGCTCAGGCAATCCACTTGCCTTGGCCTCCCAAAGTGCTAGGATTAAAGACTTGAGCCATTGCGCCTGGCCCCGTCTCATTTTTTATGGCTGATTCCAAATGCCATGTATATAGCAAAATGAGGATGAGCCCAGGTTCTGAAATTACAGATAACTGGATTTGACTCTGCATTGTCCCTCTGACAAGTGACATGACCCCAGACATGTTGTTTCTGAGCCCCAGTTTCCTTATCTGTAAAATAGGGACAGTCACACTTGAGAGGATTGTTAGGGGGAGGATGAAATCAAATCACGTTGAAGTAGATGATCCACATAAAGCACGAGGCACAATGCCTGGCACAAAGCAATCACTCTGAATTCATTATTTGTCTTGCTCACTAACCCCGTACATGACTATTTAATTTCTTGCAAGATACCATGATAGTGATTGCCACCAGAGAAAAGAATCTATTAAAACAAAACAAAAAACCAGCTTGGCAATAGAGAAACCACCTACTGGCCACAGAAAGTTGGCCAGGTAACTTATTGAATCTATGCTGTTGCTTCTGTCTAGAAACAAAAATAGAAGACCCTTGCTACACATGCTCCTCAATAGCATGCATTTATTTATTCATTCGTTCGTTCATTTATTCTGCATGGAATCAATGTGACCGGGAAGAGAAGCCCTGTTATCAGATGAAGCAGCAGGACCAGAAGTAGATCTAAGCTGTCCAATAAGTTTAGAACTGGATGACGCAGATCTTCAACTCTCTGGGCAGGGTGGGGGGTTATGGGGGCCAGCAACCCCTCGGGTAGGGTCTATCATGCCTGCATTCTACCCTTTGCTATTTTGGAGGTTTCTTCTCCAGGGGAGGGTCCTCAGCTGGCTAGTGCTGTCCTGTGGTGGATGGGGCTTAGGAATTAGGTGAGGTTTTGGAGGTCTGATATTGGTATGCCCAACCTTGCTGGGCTCCTTCCCTCTCCTGGAGAGGTTTCCTTGGGAAATGTATGCCCAAGGGACAACAGCAGGATGTGGATCAAAGTCCACTTTATTAGCTGCTGCACAAGTACCCCAAATCTCAACGTAGAGCTCTAATGACGGCGTGCGTTGGAGCCTGCAGGAAGTTGGAGGCTTGAGGTCTTAGCAGGACCTATTTTTCCCACCCCTCTGAGATGAGCTCATCGGGCAGGGTCTAGTCAGGAGGCAGAAACCACAGAGTGATTTGAACAGAGAGAATTGAATGTAAAGAACTATAGCAACTGCAGGGAAGTTACCACCCTAGAGTTGAGAGAACAAAGGGAAAAGGGTGGAATTATTCCGGTTGAGAAACTTGCAAGGAGGGTCCCACAGAACTGAAGCCCAGACCTCTGAGAAGTGGTGCACTCAGCTGGTGCTGGTATCTCCGGGGCTGCCATGAGACTGGCTTTGCAAGTGCTGGATGAGCTGCAAACTGGATCCGACGACTGTTACCTGGGGTGAAGAGCAGTTGCTAGGTTACACTGTCAGGAACAGGAAGCAGACAGGAAGGAGTGTGTCCCTAGTCCCTCCCTCCAGCCTTGCAGTCTGCCTTTCCCACCCCTATTGGCAGAGCCTCACAGGGGGCAACTGACAAAGCTGAAATGGGGTCTGCAAAGTCCCAGCCTCAGCACCACTGTGCTGACTAGGGAAGGGTGGGGTTAGAGTTGAGACCTGATAGCTTAATAAGTGGCATGTGTGCTCGGGTACAGGCGTATGAGCATAGGCAGAGATGGCTGCTTCCCAAGCTGGGGTGGGGTGGGGCAGTTCCGTTTCCTGACTTTGGAGTAGAAGAGGAAGTAGAAGACAGAGGGGACCATAGGTGTTTATAAACTTCCTATGCCACAGTTTACACCCCTCCCAGTGGAACCCAGTGAACGTATTGTGTGCTATATACAAAACAGCAGCTCCTCCCTTGGAGAGTGGGGTGGGGATGGAAGCTAGGCAGAGATGGGAGGGGGCCTAGCTTGCCTCTTTCTCCGCATCAGGGAGGAGAAGTGGCAGTAGATGTCAGGTGTCCAGCTAGTGCCAGCCACTTAGTAGGCATTCAAGAAATGGTGAATGGCCAGGCGCAGTGGCTCACACCTGTAATCCCAGCATTTTGGGAGGCTGAGGCGGGTGGATCATGAGGTCAGGAGTTCAAGACCAGCCTGGCCAATATGGTGAAACCTTGTCTCTACAGAAAATACAAAAATTAGCTGGGCGTGGTGGTGGGCGCCTGTAGTCCCAGCTACTGGGGAGGCTGAGGCAGAGAATTGCTTGAATCCAGGAGGCGGAGGTTGCAGTGAGCCGAGATCGTGGCTCTGCACTCCAGCCTGGGCTACAGACGAGACTCTGACTCAAATAAATAAATAAATAAATAAATAAATAAATAAATAAATAAATGGCGGCCATTATTATTCAAAGGAAGGAAAGGTACACATAGGTTAGGGAATGAAGTAACTGACTGGAGTGGAAAGAGCCAGAGGACCTGAGTTCATACTAAATAAGTGACTTGGAGCAAGAGACTCGCCTTTCTGAACTCAAAATTTCCTTATGTGTAACATGGAGATGATGATGCTTGTGGGGACCAAATGTCTTGTAATAGACCCTTAACATATGATAGTTATTTTGTTCTATTATTACAGAAATAGTAATAAGCTCAGTTATTTCTTTTTTTTTTTTAATCGAAATGGAGTCTTGCTCTGTCTCCCAGGCTGGAGTGCAGTGGCGGTGATCTTGGCTCACTGCAACCTCCGTCTCCTAGGTTCAAGTGATCCTCCCACCTCAGCCTCCCAAGTAGCTGGGATTACAAGCGTGTACCACCGTGCCCAGCTAATTTTTGTATTTTTAGTAAAGGTGGGGTTTCACCATGTTAGCCAGTCTGGTCTCAAACTCCTGACCTCAAGTGTTCTGCCCACCTCGGCCTCCCAAAGTGTTGGGATTACAGGCGTGAGCCATCGCACTTGGCCAAGCTTGTTTATTTGTTATTGATGTTGCTAATACCAAATAGAAGAGACTTCAGTGATCATTTATTCTACAACATCATTGTGCAGATGAAGAAGCAGAGGCACAGAAAAGATCAATAGCTCTATGGAGGTTAAGAGCTTGGGCTATGGAGTCAGTCAGACCAGGGTTCGAATCCTCACTGTCTATTTCCACTTACCAGCTAAGTGAGCTTTAGTGAGTTCCTCAGTCTCTGTCAGCTTCGCAGTGTTGTGAGGACTGCAGGACTAATCAATGCATGGTCCTTTGTAAGTGCCTAGGAAGTGGCACTGGAAAGGTACCATTGTGCTTGTGAGTATGAGAACCCCTGAGGCCAGAGGGTGATTCATCATGATAGCGACTGTCCCACAGAACAGGCCTTTCAGGTGACCCTAGAGCCTCCATCATGGTATTGTGAGAACACTTCAGATTTCAGCCATGCCACTGCCAATTATTTGCTTTGCAAGGTTGAAGATGTGTGTAGGGAAAATCTTTTTCCCCTAACCATTTTTTTTCTCCACTCTCACACCACAGCAATCATCAACACAGAAGACTTCTGTGACCAAATGTGTGGGGACTTTTCTGCACACACCAAGCAGCAGATACCAGCTGGGTGTCCTCTAATTCAGATTCTGACATTATCTACCCAGAGATAGTGTCAGATCCCACAGGTTGAGGGCTCAGTCCCCAAGACTGCCTACCCACCCCACCCCAACACCAGTTGCAAGTTAAGACCTCCAGAACTTCTGACTGACCAGCTTCAAGTTGGGGGTTCCCATGACCCCCTCTTTGGGTTCCATTATTTTACTAGAGCAGCTCACAAAACTCAGGGAAACACTTCCTTACATTTACTGGTTTGTTATAAAGGGTATTACAAAGGAAACAGATAAAGAGATGCATAGGGCGAGGCAAGGGGGAAGGGGCAGGCCACCCTCCCAGAACCTCCACTGTTTCGCTATCCGGAAGCTCACTGAACCCGGTTCTCTTGGGTTTTTATGAAGGCTTCAAGACAACAGCATTTCTTCCCCTAGGGCATAGAGCCTTAAGCCCATAATGAGAAAGTCAGGGGAAGATTAGAGCCTTGGGGCAGGTGAAAGGAGGACAGGAGGTCAGAGGCTGCCCCTGAGGCCTAACATACCCGACATCACAACAAAAGACTGTATCAGGGCCATGGATGAAAACCTCTCTCTCTCTCTGTCTCTCTCTCTCTCTCGCTCTCTCTCTCTCTCTATATATATATCTTGTATTAGTTTGTTTTCACACTGCTGATAAAGACATAACCGAGACTGGGTAATTTATAAAGAAAAAGAAGTTTAATGGACTTATGGTTCCACATGGCTGGGGAGGCCTCACAATCATGGTGGAAGGGAAAAGGTACGTCTTACATGGTGGCAGACAAGAAAGAATGAGCGCCAAGTGAAAGGGGAAACCCCTTATAAAACTATCAGATCTCATGAGACTTATTCACTACCACCAGAACAGTATGGGGGAAACCGCCCCCATGATCAGTTACCTCCCACCAGGTCCCTCCCACAACACGTGGGAATTTTGGGGGCTACAATTCAAGATGAGATTTGGGTGGGGACACAGCCAAATCATTTGTATATTATAACACCACAACATGTCACTCTATTTCTTCTTCCTGTGGTTTTTCCCTATAAAGCTCATGATACGTGATGTTGGGTCTATTTCCTGGGGTTTTCTGAAACCTGAATAATGGAAAGAGTCCCTGGAACCCAAGAGCCTTGGGGAAGCTAATAAATTAACCTTGCGAGACGACCAGGTCCTGGGATATTCTGTGTACTGCAGCAGTACTAAACCAGAGGATGCTGAGACTGGGGGCTGGACCCCTGCTTTCAGAACTCACATCGTTCCTGTTATAGTCAACTCTTATTTTTTATGCACCAACTGGGAAAAACGATAGCATGAATAAAAGGAGCCAGCTGGTGTTGATTGCTCTTCACTCTAAAACTCGAGGAGGCATAAGAGACTGTATTTTAAATCTCATTACCTCTTACCTGATTTCTTTCTTCAATATGATGAAACTACAAGGTGGCTCAAAGGCTACCTTCCCCAGAAGAGAGACAGTCTGCCTAGATAGTCCACAAACAAGACAATACTTCCAGTTGCCATTTACTTAGCATGTGCTTTTTACCAGGCATTGGGCTAAACTCTTCCCCTTGTAACATCTCATTTCATCCTCATAGAAACTCTGTGAGGGAGGGGGTGTGTTTCTTTATCCACCTGCATTTTATCAATCGAATCTCAGGTGCAGAAGGTGGTGTGAATCATACGTTTCCATCAGCTCATTGAACATTATCATCATTGGTCTGTGCAAGACCCCTTCTTATGTTAATTAGTTTATTCCCTTCTCTTCATGTACCCCACGCTCATTCACTCCCCTATAAATAACCGGTCCATTATGTGTTGTGTGCATCTTTCCCTTTGTATATGTTCTTATGAAATGTGGTTTTGTATCTATATAGTTCTATTGATTAAAGTAGTATTTCATTCTGTCTCTGACTTTTTAATAACCATTCCAATGGAAGTACTATGTTTTTAAGACCTACTGGTTAGGTTGCTATGGGTTTATTTAATCTATTGCTTCCAGTTGTGTTGTGCTACTCCGTGGTGTGCACCCACCAAAGATACAGATTCTCTTTCCTAGTGATAGGCAGCCAGGCCTATTTGTATCAAACTTCCTATTGCCACAAAGAAGCAATTGCATCCCCATATGTCTCCTTGATGGACTGTGTGAGAATTGCCTTTGGGGTACGTAGTGAAGAATGGAATTGCTACTTCATAGGGTATACATAGATTCATAGATTTACTATGCTTAAGCCATGCCAAAGGTAGGTGCTGTTATTATTCCTATTTTACAGATGAGGAAACTGAGGTTTTGAGAGTTTTAATAACTTACCCAAAGTAACATAGACGGTAATTAGCAGAGCTAGGATTCAAGTTCAGGCAGTCTTACTCCAAAACTTCTGTTCCTAATGGCTGTGCCATCATTATTCTCTGAGTGTTTGAGACATGAGGACATTTTATAAAAAACATAAAAGTCAATCTCATTGTTTGGTGTTTTAATATTCTTAGAACCTAGGAATCCAGGTGGACTGCTTTTTTTTTCCACTGAAGCACCTACTTCTCCTAACAGGTGCATAGTAACTGTTTTTCTTTGACTTTCATATTCTGTGGGTCTGCAGCACTGAGAGCTGCGTTGATCATCCAGAACTGGTACCGAGGTTACAAAGCTCGACTGAAGGCCAGACAACACTATGCCCTCACCATCTTCCAGTCCATCGAATATGCTGATGAACAAGGCCAAATGCAGGTCTGTTTTGCAAGCTTTTCTCTTCTTTTGATAAAATGATTCTCTTTACCCCTTGTTATTGAAAGAATGAAAGTTTGGGTCCATTTTAAGCTGAGGAAGCTTGGTGAAAGGCTTTAATAGAGCATGTCATGACATTGTCTTGGAACTAGTTATTGAGAGAGAGTGTGCTTTGGGAAAAGGATGGTGTTTTTCCGTTTTGAAGTTCACATTTTTAAGAGGGCTGCCCAACATCTGGTTAACTAATAAAAATAGTCTTATTCTATTTTGGGGCAGATGCCTTAATAGGAAATAAAGTTGTCATTTTATAAAAGAAAAAAATACTTCAAGGGGTTAAAAAATGGCAGAATTTCCTAGCAACAAACCTCTGCAAGCTCTAGAAGAAAATATACATGGGTGAGGAAGGCCTTTTTTTTTTTTTTCTTCGAGACGGGATTTCACTCTTGTCACCCAGGCTGGAGTGCAATGGCACGGTCTCAGCTCGCTGCAATCTCCGCCTCCTGGGTTCAAGCGATTCTCCTGCCTCAGCCTCCCGAGTAGCTAGGATTATAGGCACCCACCACCACACCCAGCTAATTTTGAAATTTTTAGTAGAGACAGGGTTTCACCATGTTGGCCAGGCTGGTCTCGAACTCCTGACCTCAGGTAATCCATCTGCCTTGGCCTCCCAAAGTTCTGGAATTACAGGCGTGAGCCACCGCACCTGGCCAAGGAAGGCCTTTTTAAAGAATACATAAATCTAGTTTTAATGCTTATTAATTTTAAAAAAGTACTTTTAACAATAAACAGATCTTAGAAAGATCTCCAATATAGTTGCTAATGAAAAAATCAACTTTTAAAACAATATGTAGAGTTTATCTCATTTATGTGAAAGAACATGAAACATACAGCAAAAGTCTGGAAAAAGATACACAGGAAATTGTTTACAGTAGTTAGTTCTGAGGACAGGAATGGTATTGGTGGGTGTGGGTTGGGATGTTAAGAGGGACTTCTCATTTTTATTTGAAATTATTTGTAGTTTTTAGCAATCATATATCTGTGTATCACATTATAATATTTAAAGATAATTAAGAACATTCCAAAAAGAACTAAGTTGCTAGATTTATTTTTGGCAGCTAGAAAAATGATATACTGTGATTCAGTCAGATGCTCCCTTTGTCTAGATTAGGAACCTCAGCATAGGCTGTCTTTCTAAGCACTGTAGAATATAGTGATAAATATACAGGTAGAGTGAATCCCAAATTGGTATGCTTTAGACACATTCCAGCACCAGTACATTATTTTCTATTGATTCTTTATTGAGATGTAATTCACATGCCATACAATTCACCCATTTAAAGTGTGCAATTCAATGGTTTTTAGTATATGTACAGGGTTGTGCAAACATCCCCACAGTCAATTTTAGGACATTTTCATTTCCCGCTTCCTAAACTCCGTACCCATTAGCAGTCATTTCCCCATTTCCTTCCCCCAGTCCCTGGCAACGACTAAGCTATTTTCTATCTCTATGGATTTACCTATTCTGGCCATTTCATATAAATGGAATCATATAATATGTGGTCTTTGATGTCTGGCTTCTTTTTTATTTATTTATTTTTTTGAGACAGAGTCTCGCTCTGTCGCTGGGCTGGAGTGCAGTGGCACGATTTCAGATCACTGCAACCTCCGCCTCCCAGGTTCAACCGATTCTCCTGCCTCAGCCTCCTGAATAGCTGGGACTACAGGCATGTGCCACCACGCCCAGCTAATTTTTGCATTTTCGGTCTCCCAGAGTGCTGGGATTACAGGCGTGAGCCACTGTGCCCGGCCCAGCTTCTTTTACTTAGCATAATGCTTTCAAGGTTCACCCATGTTGTAGCACATATCAGGACTTCATTCCTTTTTAGTTAATATTACTCATTCCGAAGAATATTCCATTGTATGGATGGACCACATTTTGGTCATCTATTCCTCAGGTGATGGATCATTTGGGTTGTTCCACCTTTTGGCTATTATGAATAATGCTGCTGTGAACATTTGTATGCAAGTTTTTGTGTGAACATATGTTTTCAGTTCTCTTGGGTATAGACCTGTGAGTGGAATGTCATGTAGTAACTTTGTGCTTAACTTTTTGAGGAGCTGCTAAACTGTGTTCCAAAGCAGCTCCATCGTTTTACCTTCCCACCAGCAGTGGATGAGGGCTCCAATTTCTTCACATTTTTGCCAATACTTGTTATTATCTCTTTTTGATTATAGCTATCGTAGTGGGTGTGAAGTGATGTCTGATTGTGGTTTCTATTGACTGTTAATGGACAAACCCATCATCAACAGCATTAAAATCATACATTTTGATAACTGTATGGAAAGTCTTCCTTCTCTCAATTCCCAACTCCCAGATCTACTCCCAGATTGATAAAGTGTTTACTTTTCATGAGAGGCAGGGCTTGAAAAAGAAATTATTTGTGCTGTACAAATGCAGGTCTTTGCAGATACCTGGTGGCCATAGAGCCAGTACCCTGATTGTGGCTGGAAAGCTGGTGAAGTTCCACCTTTCCCTTCCTTTCTTTCCAAAATATATTTGATATTTAAGAATATTCCTTAACTCTTAATTTCACCACCAAAAAGAAAAGAGATCATGACCGGGTGCAGTGGCTCACACCTGTAATCCTAGCACTTTGGGAGGCCGAGGCAGGTGGATCACCTGAGGTCAGGAGTTTGAGACCTGCCTGGCCAACATGTTGAAACCCTGTCTCTACTAAAAATACAAAAACATTAGCTGGACATGGTGGCGAGTGCCTGTAATCCCAGCTACTCGGGACACTGAGGCAGGAGAATCGCTTGATCCGGGGAGGCGGAGGTTACAGTGAGCCAAAATTGTGCCATTGCATTCCAGTCTGGGTGACAAGAGTGAAACTCCATCTTAAAAAAAAGAAAAGAAGAGATCATAATGAACAAAATTTGGTAGCTGTCTTACGTTGGATTTCCTAGAAGCAGAGGCTGAGACAGGGATTCTGGTACAAGTGACTTATTGAGGGTGTGTTTTCAGGGAAAGCCTGTAAGGGAGTGAGGAATGCGAGACAGGACAGGGGAGAAGCTAGGCCAAGATGTACTTTTTGAAGTCTGACCTCAGCCTGATCCCATCTGGAGCTGTCAAGTGTGAAATGCACTACAGTTTGTCCCTGGCAGAGGCAAGGGAGGTGGGGGACTGGGCTGTTACACCCTTGCTTCAGCCAGTCGTTGTCTCTGGGCAGCCCCACAGGAGGGGCGTTCATGTGTTACCCTGTGTTGCTCTGGATGCAGGCAGTCCTCTGGAGGCAGGCATAGAAGTGACCCTTAGCACCTGCAGCAGCTGAGATACAAATGCCCCACAAGAGTAAGGGCACTCGGGTGGAACACCAACAGCATTTGTCACAGTAGCTGTTTGGGGTTCACTAATTGATTAATTTTTTTTTATTTTGTCCAGTTATCCACCTTCTTTTCCTTCATGTTGGAAAACTACACACATATACATAAGGAAGAGCTAGGTAAGTAAAAAGCTTAGTCTTTTCAAATGTGTCATTAAATATTGAATTGTCTTCATCAAGAGCGGTAAATTCTGAAGATGGGAGAACACTATGAAATTAAAAAGATGCCTACCTCTTTTGTTTATGTGACACCCAACAACTGGCAACATCAGTTCAAGTGGCCTTTTTCCCTCTCTGGATGGTGTCAACTAAATCAATCATTTAACTTTTTCACTTTTCCAAAAGCTGAATTAGAATTCATTCAATATTCATTTGTTGAATGCCTTTTCTGAACTACAATCTATCGGTACACAACAGTAGCTTAGTAAAGGGAACCTTATTTATTATTATTATTATTATACTTTAAGTTCTAGGGTACATGTGATCAACGTGCAGGTTTGTTACTTATGTATACATGTGCCATGTTGGTGTGCTGCACCCATTAACTCATCATTTACATTAGGTGTACTCCTAATGCTATCCCTCCCCCCTCCCCCAACCCCATAACAGGCCCCAGTGTGTGATGTTCCCCACCCTGTGTCCAAGTGTTCTCATTGTTCAATTCCCACCTATGAGTGAGAACATGCAGTGTTTGGTTTTCTGTCCTTGCGATAGTTTGCTCAGAATGATGGTTTCCAGCTTCATCCATGTCCCTACAAAGGGCATGAACTCATCCTTTTTAATGACTGCATAGTATTCCATGGTGTATATGTGCCACATTTTCTTAATCCAGTCTATCATTGATGGACATTTGGGTTGGTTCCAAGTCTTTGCTATTGTGAATAGTGCCGCAATAAACATACGTGTGCATGTCTCTTTATAGCAGCATGATTTATAATCCTTTGGGTATATACCCAGTAACGGGATGGCTGGGTCAAATGGTATTTCTGGTTCTAGATCCTTGAGGAATCGCCACACTGTCTTCCACAATGGTTGAACTAGTTTACAGTCCCACCAACAGTGTAAAACTGTTCCTATTTCTCCACATCCTCTCCAGCACCTGTTGTTTCCCGACTTTTAATGATCACCATTCTAACTGGTGTGAGATGGTATCTCATTGTGGTTTTGATTTGCATTTCTCTGATGGCCAGTGACGATGAGCATTTTTTCATGTGTCCGTTGGCTGCATAAATGTCTTCTTTTGAGAAGTATCTGTTCATATCCTTTGCCCACTTTTTGATGAGGTTGTTTGATTTTTTCTTGTAAATTTGTTTAAGTTCTTTGTAGATTCTGGATATTAGCCCTTTGTCAGATGGGTAGATTGTAAAAATTTTCTCCCATTCTGTAGGTTGCCTGTTCACTCTCATGATAGTTTTTTTGCTGTGCGGAAGCTCTTTAGTTTAATTAGATCCCATTTGTCAATTTTGGCTTTTGTTGCCATTGCTTTTGGTGTTTTAGTCATGAAGTCCTTGCCCATGCCTGTGTCCTGAATGGTATTGCCTAGGTTTTCTTCTAGGGTTTTTATGGTTTTAGGTCTAACATTTAAGTCTTTAATCCATCTTGAATTAATTTTTGTATAAGGTGTAAGGAAGGGATCCAGTTTCAGCTTTCTCCATATGGCTAGCCAGTTTTCCCAGCACCATTTATTAAATAGGGAACCCTTTCCCCATTTCTTGTGTTTGTCAGGTTTGTCAAATACCAGATGGTTGTAGATGTGTGGTATTATTTCTGAGGACTCTGTTCTGTTCCATTGGTCTATGTCTCTGTTTTGGTACCAGTACCATGCTGTTTTGGTTACTGTAGCCTTGTAGTATAGTTTGAAGTCAGGTAGCGTGATGCCTCCAGCTTTGTTCTTTTGGCTTAGGTTTGTCTTGGCAATGTGGGCTCTTTTTTGGTTCCATAGGAACTTTAAAGTAGTTTTTTCCAATTCTGTGAAGAAAGTCATTGGTAGCTTGATGGGGATGGCATTGAATCTATAAATTACCTTGGGCAGTATGGCCACTTTCACGATATTGATTCTTCCTATTCATGAACACAGAATGTCCTTCCATTTGTTTGTGTCCTCTTTTATTTCCTTGAGCAGTGGTTTGTAGTTCTCCTTGAAGAGGTCCTTCACATCCCTTGTAAGTTGAATTCCTACGTATTTTATTCTCTTTGAAGCAATTGTGAATAGGAGTTCACTCATGATTTGGCTCTCTGTTTGTCTGTTATTGGTGTATGGGAATACTTGTGATTTTTGCACATTGATTTTGTATCCTGAGATTTTGCTGAAGTTGCTTATCAGTTTAAGGAGAGTTTGGGCTGAGACAATGGGGTTTTCTAAATATACAATCATGTCGTCTGCAAACAGGGACAATTTGACTTCCTCTTTTCCTAATTGAATACCCTTTATTTCTTTCTCCTGCCTGATTGCCCTGGCCAGAACTTCCAACACTATGTTGAATAGGAGTGGTGAGAGAGGGCATCCCTGTCTTGTGCCAGTTTTCAAAGGGAATGCTTCCAGTTTTTGTCCATTCAGTATGGTACTGGCTGTGGGTTTGTCATAAATAGCTGTCATTATTTTGAGATACGTCCCATCAATACCTAGTTTATTAAGAGTTTTTAGCATGAAGGGCTGTTGGATTTTGTCAAAGGCCTTTTCTGCATCTATTGAGATAATCGTGTGGTTTTTGTCTTTGGTTCTGTTTATATGCTGGATTACATTTATTGATTTGCATATATTGAACCAGCCTTGTATCCCAGGGATAAAGCTGACTTGATTGTAGTGGATAAGCTTTTTGATGTGCTGCTGGATTCGGTTTGCCAGTATTTTATTGAGGATTTTTGCATCAATGTTCATCAGGGATATTGGTCTAAAATTCTCTTTTTTTGTTGTGTCTCTGCCAGCCTTTGGTATCAGGATGGTGCTGGCCTCATAAAATGAATTAAGGAGGATTCCCTCTTTTTCTATGGATTGGAATAGTTTCAGAAGGAATGGTACCAGCTCCTCTTTGTACCTCTGGTAGAATTCGGCTGTGAATCTGTCTGGTCCTGTACTTTTTTTGGTTGGTAGGCTATTAATTATTGCCTCAATTTCAGAGCCTGTTATTGGTCTATTCAGAGATTCAACTTCTTCCTGGTTTAGTCTTGGGAGGGTGTATGTGTCCAGAAATTTATCCATTTCTTCTAGATTTTCTAGTTTATTTGTGTAGAGGTGTTTATAGTATTCTCTGATGGTAGTTTGTATTTCTGTGGGATCGGTGGTGATATCCCCTTTATCATTTTTTATTACGTCTGTTTGATTCTTCTCTCTTTTCTTCTTTATTAGTCTTGCTAGCAGTCTATCAATTTTGTTGATCTTTTCAAAACAGCTTCTGGATTCATTGATTTTTTGAAGGGTTTTTTGTGTCTCTATTTCCTTCAGTTCTGCTCTGATCTTAGTTATTTCTCGCCTTCTGCTAGCTTTTGAATATGTTTGCTCTTGCTTCTCTAGTTCTTTTAATTGTGATGTTAGGGTGTCAATTTTATATCTTTCCTACTTTCTCTTGTGGGCATTTAGTGCTATAAGTTTCCCTCTACACACTGCTTTAAATGTGTCCCAGAGATTCTGGTATGTTGTCTTTGTTCTCATTGGTTTCAAAGAACATCTTTATTTCTGCCTTCATTTCGTTATGTACCAGTAGTCATTCAGGAGCAGGTTGTTCAGTTTCCATGTAGTTGAGCAGTTTTGAGTGAGTTTCTTAATCCTGAGTTCTAGTTTGATTGCACTGTGGTCTGAGAGACAGTTTGTTATAATTTCTGTTCTTTTACACTTGCTGAGGAGTGCTTTACTTCCAACTATGTGGTCAGTTTTGGAATAAGTGTGATGTGGTGCTGAGAAGAATGTTTATTCTGTTGATTGGGGTGGAGAGTTCTGTAGATGTCTATTAGGTCTGCTTGGTGCAGAGCTGAGTTCAGTTCCTGGGTATCCTTGTTAACTTTCTGTTTTGTTGATCTGTCTAATGTTGACAGTGGGGTGTTAAAGTCTCCCATTATTATTGTGTGGGAGTCTAAGTCTCTTTGTAGGTCACTCAGGACTTGCTTTATGAATCTGGGTGCTCCTGTATTGGGTGCACATATATTTAGGATAGTTAGCTCTTCTTATTGAATTGATCCCTTTACCATTTTGTAATGGCCTTCTTTGTCTCTTTTTATCTTTCTTGGTTTAAAGTCTGTTTTATCAGAGACTAGGATTGCAACCCCTGCTTTTTTTTTGTTTTCCATTTGCTTGGTAGATCTTCCTTCATCCCTTTATTTTGAGCCTATGTGTGTCTCTGCACGTGAGATGGGTCTCCTGAATACAGCACACTGATGGGTCTTGACTCTTTATCCAATTTGCCAGTCTGTGTCTTTTAATTGGAGCATTTAGCTCATTTACACTTAAGGTTAATATTGTTATGTGTGAATTTGATCCTGTCATTATGATGTTAGCTGGTTATTTTTCTCGTTAGTTGATGCAGTTTCTTCCTAGCCACGATGGTCTTTACAATTTGGCATGTTTTTGCAGTGGCTGGTACCAGTTGTTCCTTTCCATGTTTAGTGCTTCCTTCAGGAGCTCTTGTAAGGCAGGCCTGGTGGTGACAAAATCTCTCAGCATTTGCTTGTCTTTAAAGGATTTTGTTTCTCCTTCACTTACGAAGCTTAGTTTGGCTGGATATGAAATTCTGGGTTGAAAATTCTTTTCTTTAAGAATGTTGAATATTGGCTCCCACCCTCTTCTGGCTTGTAGAGTTTCTGCCGAGAGATCCGCTGTTAGTCTGATAGGCTTCCCTTTGTGGGTAACCCGACCTTTCTCTCTGGCTGCCCTTAACATTTTTTCCTTCATTTCCAACTTTGGTGAATCTGACAATTATGTGTCTTGGAGTTGTTCTTCTCGAGGAGTATCTTTGTGGCATTCTCTGTATTTCCTGAATCTGAATGTTGGCCTGCCTTGCTAGATTGGGGAAGTTCTCCTGGATAATATCCTGAAGAGTGTTTTCCAACTTGGTTCCATTCTCCCAGTCACTTTCAGGTACACCAATCAGATGCAGATTTAGTCTTTTCACATAGTCCCATATTTCTTGGAGGCTTTGTTCATTTCTTATTACTCTTTTTTCTCTGAACTTCTCTTCTCGCTTCATTTCATTCATTTGATCTTCAATCACTGATACCCTTTCTTCCACTTGATCAAATCAGCTACTGAAGCTTGTGCATGCGTCATGTAATTCTCGTGCCGTGGTTTTCAGCTCCATCAGGTCATTTAAGGTCTTCTCTACGCTGTTTATTCTAGTTAGCCATTCGTCTAATCTTTTTTCAAGGTTTTTAACTTCTTTGCGATGGGTTCGAACATCCTCCTTTAGCTCGGAGAAGTTTGTTATTACCGATCATCCGAGGCCTACGGCTGTCAACTCATCAAAGTCCTTCTCTGTCCAGCTTTGTTCCATTGCTGGCGAGGAGCTGCGTTCCTTTGGAGGAGAAGAGGCACTCTGAGTTTTAGAATTTTCAGCTTTTCTGCTCTGGTTTCTCCGCATCTTTGTGGTTTTATCTGCCTTTGGTCTTTGATGATGGTGACCTACAAATGGGGTTTTGGTGTGGATGTCCTTTCTGTTTGTTAGTTTTCCTTCTAACAGTCAGGACCCTCAGCTGCAGGTCTGTTGGAATTTGCTGGAGGTCCACTCCAGACCCTGTTTGCCTGAGTATCACCAGCAGAGGCTTCAGAACAGCAAATATTGCAGAACGGCAAATGTTGCTGCCTGATCCTTTCTCTGGAAACTTCGTCTCAGAGGGGTACCTGGCTGTATGAGGTGTCATTCGGCCCCTCCTGGGAGTTGTCTCCCAGTTAGGCTACTCGGGGGTCAGGGACCCACTTGAGGAGGCAGTCTGTCCGTTGTCAGATCTCATACTCTGTGCTGGGAGAACCACTACTCTCTTCAAAGCTGTCAGACAGGGATGTTTAAGTCTGCAGAAGTTTCTGCTGCCTTTTGTTCAGCTATGCCCTGCCCCCAGAGGTGGCGTCTATAGAGGCAGGCAGGCCTCCTTGAGCTGCAATGGGCTCCACCCAGTTCAAGCTTCCCGGCTGCTTTGTTTACCTACTCAAGCCTCAGCAATGGTGGATGCCCCTCCCCCACCCTTGCTGCTGCCTTGCAGTTCAATCTTGGACTGCTGTGCTAGCAGTGAGCGAGGCTCCGTGGGCGTGGGACCCTCCAAGCCAGGTGTGGGATATAATCTCCTAGTGTGCCATTTGCTAAGACCATTGGAAAAGTGCAGTATTAGAGTGGGAGTGTCCTGATTTTCCAGGTACCATCTGTCACGGCTTCCCTTGGCTAGGAAAGGGAATTCCCCGACCCCTTGCCCTTCCTGGGTGAGGCGATGCCCAGCCCTGCTTCTGCTCACACTCCGTGGGCTGCACCCACTGTCCAATAAGCCCGAGTGAGATGAACCCGGTGCCTCAGTTGGAAATACAGAAATCACCTGTCTTCTGCGTCGCTGACGCTGGGAGCTGTAGACTGGAGCTGTTCCTATTCGGCCATCTTGGAACCAAGATCAAGGGAACTTCATTTTTCATCCACAAAACTTTTTTGCTGAGAGATCAAAATATTTTGAGTATTTCATGCAGCAGATCTAGGGGAAAATGGCAAATTAAACACAGTTGGCCCCGTTGTGTCTGTTTTCTGTCCTCTCTCTCTCTCTTTTTTTTTTTTTTGAGACAGAGTCTCGCTCTGTTTCCCAGGCTGCAGTGCAGTGGCACGGTCTCGGCTCACTGCAACCTCTGCCTCCCGGATTCAGGTGATTCTCCTGCCTCAGCCTCCTGAGTGTCTGGGATTACAGGTGCTTGCTACCACACCCAGCTAATTTTTTGTATTTTTAGTAGAGACAGGGTTTGAGAATGTTGACCAGGTTGGTCTTGAACCCCTGACCTCGTGATCTGCCTGCCTCAGTCTCCCAAAGTGCTGGGATTACAGGCATGAGCCACTGCACCCGGCCTCTCTTCTCTTTGATCTGTCTGTCTGTCTACCTATCATCTAGTCATTCTGAAGCAGAGGCAGGCAATGGAGGTGTAGTTCAAAAATGATTTTAAAATTATAATTTTTTACAACCATGTATTTCTCCTGCAAATTAAGATCTGCCTGTTATTATCTCCAAGACAGATGCCAGACTTAAACGCTCATTTTGCTTTAATTTGGGCCAACCATTTTTTTTTTTTTTTTTTTTTTGCTCTCATTAAAATGTGTATGGCATCTAGGAGCATCTTTTAAATAATCTGGTAAATACCCTTCAAAGTGAAGTGGTAAAAGAATGGTGTTTTAATGGGCATGATTTAAGCTAAGTGCATATGTATGAAACTAATTAAAGCATTTAATGATCTGTAGAAGCCTTCTGAATGGTGAAATAGCCAAACCTAAGGAATGGGGAGTGGGTGGAAGTGGGTACTTTGCCATTTTTTCTTTTAGATAACTGCAATTCGAAGACAGTTGTTTATGCTTCATATTCCTTGGCAAAAATGTTTTTGAGAGGAAATATGATAATGATAAAATGAAACAGCACTTTCTGCTAATGACCTAATACTTCAACCCAGGCTCACTTCATCAGAATCACTTACGGAGTTTCAGAGCCACAGGTGGCTGGGTTCCAGCCCGGAGATGTCTACTCAGACTGTGTTGTCATTGTTGTTGTTTTAATCTGCATTTTAAAAAATTCCGTAGGTGATTTTAAAATATAAGAAAAATATTTTTATTAAAGAAGGGGACAGTGGTTTAATCTTCTTATAGAAGCTTTTTTGGAAGTATACATTACAGGAAGGTATACAAATTATATGACTCAGTACATTTTCTCAAAGTAAACACACCCATGTAACTGGCACCTGGAACAAGAAATAAAACATGATCAGGGCCACATAAGTTTCCCATCCTGCCTTCTTGTACTGCTACCCAACCCCCACACAATCACATAACTACTTTCTTGACTTCTACACCCTAGATTAGTCTTTGAACTTCTTTATATAGATGGAAGCATGTGGTATATACCCATTTGAGTCTGGCTGCTGCTTCTTTTTTTTTTTTTTTTTTTTTTTTAACGTTTTGTTTTGTTGTCGTTGTTGAGACAGAGTCTTGCTCTGTCACCCAGGCTGAATTGCAGTGGCGCAATCTCACCTCACTGCAACCTCCACCTTCCTGGTTCAAGCAATTCTCATGCCTCCCGAGTAGCTGGGATTACAGGCATTCACCAGTAAACCTGGCTAATTTTTGTATTCTTAGTGGAGATGGGGTTTCGCCTTGTTGGCCAGGCTGGTCTCGAACTCCTGGCCTCGGGTGATTTGCCTGCCTCGGCCTTCCAAAGTGCTGGGATTACACACATGAGCCACTGTGCCCAGTCCTGAGTCTGGCTTCTTTTGATCATCATTACATTTGTAAGAATCATCCTTGTAATTTGGTCATTTTTATTGCTGAATAATATTCCATTTTACTAATATACCATAATTGATCCATTCGATTGTGTATGGGCATTTGAGTTGTTTTCAGATTGGTGATTTAAATGGTGCTGCTATGTACATTCTTGTACATGTCCCTTTTGGTAAAATATGTATGCATTTATTTGGCTATATATTCATTTTTGGTTATCTATTGCTACCTAATAAACTACCCCCACATTTAGTGACTTAAAAACAACAGCCATGTTATTGCATGTAATTCTGTGGGTCAGGCATTTGAACAGGGCTTGCTGGGAACAACTTACCTCTGTTCCATGTGTTATCAGTTGAGCTCACTCATCTAGCTGGACTGGGCAGGAAAGATCAAATGGTTTTAATCACATGTCTGGGATTTTGGTATTAGGTATTAACTTGGTTACCTCTCGGCCAGGTGCAGTAACTCATGCCTGTAATCTCAGCACTTTGGGAGGCTGAGGTGGATGGATCACTTGAGATCAGGAGTTCAAGACCAGCCTGGCCAACCCCATCTCTAGTAAAAATACAAAAATTAGCTGGGTGTGTTGGTGCACGCCTGTAATCCCATCTACTCAGGAGACTGAGGCACAAGAATCGCTTGAACCTGGGAGGCGGAGGTTGCAGTGAGCCAAAATCGTGCTACTGCACTCCAGCCTGGGTGACATAGTGAGACTCCATCTCAGAAAAAAAAAAAAAAATTTGGTTACCTCTCTTTTTCTCACGCAGCCTTTCTGTCCATTAGGCTATTCTGGACTTCTTTACATGATGGCTGGGTCCAAGAGGGCAAAGGCAGAAGCTGCCAGGCCTCTTAAGGCCTATGTGCTAGAACTCTGGGAAATCAGTTCTGCCATACTCTATCGGTTAAAACAAGTCACAAGGCCAGACGTGAATTCAGAGCAGTTAAAGAGATATCCATCTCTTCCTCAGAGGAGTGGCAGTATTACAGTATAAAGGGATGTGGACATAGGGAGGCATGATTCCTTGGGGAGCCATTATCATAAAAATGTACCACAAGCCAGGGATAGAAGTTTGGGGTTATAGCGCTTATATCTGTTCAGCTTTATTAGATACTGGCAGACATTTTTACAGGATGGTTGTAACAAGCTATACTCTCACCAGTTCAGTTGCTCCATATCCTCACCAACACTTGCAATAGTACATTCATTTCATTTTAGTCATTCTGGTGAATATCTAGTGGTATCGTATTTCAGGTTTAATTTGCATTTCCCTTTGAGCAGTCAAGTTGCTCACTTTTTTTCTTTTCTTTTTTCTCTTTTTCTTTTTTTTTTTTTTTTTTTTTGAGACAGAGTCTTACTCTGTTCCCCAGGCTGGAGTGCAGTAGCGTAATCTCGGCTCACTGCAACCTCTGCCTCCCGGGTTCAAGCCATTCTCCTGCCTCAGCTTCCTGAGTAGCTGGGACTACAGGCATGTGCCACCACGCCTGGCTAATTTTTGCATTTTTAGTAGAAATGGGTTTCGCCACATTGGCCAGGCTGGTCTCAAACTCCTGACCTCAGGTGATCCGCCCACCTCGGCCTCCCAAAGTGCTGGGATTACAGGCATGAGCCACCGCTCCCGACCAAGTTGCTCACCTTTTTGTATGTTTATTGGTCATGTGGACATCTCATGTGGTGAAGTTCCTGTTCAGGTTTTTTTGTCCATTTTTCTATTGGGTTATTTGTCTTTTTCTTATGAATTTGGAAGAGTTTTCTAACTCTTCTTATTTTATTTTATTTTTTTAGATAGAGTCTCACTCTGTCGCCCAGGCTGGAGTGCAGTGGCATGACCTCGGCTCCCTGCAACCTCCCCGCTGCCCAGGTTCAAGTGATTCTCGTGCCTCAGGCTCCCGAGTAGCTGGGATTACAGGCATGCACCACCATGCCTGGCTAATTTTGTATTTTTAGTAGATACGGGGTTTCTTCCATGCTGGTCAGGCTGGTCTCAAACTCCCGACCTCAGGTGATCCACCCGCCTCGGCCTCCCAAAGTGCTGGGATTACAGGCGTGAGCCATTGCGCCCGGCCTAAATAGGATATTTTTAGGAACCAGAAGGTTATTTAACATTTCCAGATATCGGGGCCACCAGATTAATGGTCTTAACTCTGGGGCATGGAGTATCTTGAGACACGTTGGGTACTCTGAAGATAAGAGGTGACCCTGGAAGCAGTCATACTTGTCCTTGTAATCCTACCACCTCTTGATGATCAATTATAACAGTTGATCTCCCTGTGCTACTACTTTAAGAGCTCAAAACCAGTGCATAGGACTCCATGGGGTGTAGAGACTCCACAGAAACATTCCCAGTCCACTTTTCACACATCAGCCTCCTCCCACAGGCAGAAAGCCGAAGCTGCCATACATAGCCATAGGTTTAAACAGAGACTGGCGGAAGCGGGGAGTGGGATGGAGTGTGTGGAAGTGTTGTTTTCACTTTTCTTTCTGCTTCTCAGATCAGCCAAAATGTCCTATCGGACCAGGTATTTTATATTTTTTGTTGCTATGGTGAATAGAACATTTTCCCCATTATATCTTCCATTGGTTATCGGTAGTGTTTAGTAAAGCTTTTGAATTATGTCAATTTATCTTATATTGTGCTACTATTAAGTAATAATAATATTTTTATTGTTGATATTTGTTACATGTTTACCATGTGCCATGTATTTAAGTGCTTTAAATACATCATTTCATTTAGTCTTCATGACAAACCAGTGAGATTAGTAGTATTATCATCCCCTTTTTGTAGATATGGAATCTGAGGCTTAGAAGGCAATCTCCCAAGGTTATTCATCTCATTGGTGGAGAAGCTGTGATTCAAACCAGTGTGATTAATGTCTATATTTTATACATATAAAAAATATAAAATATATATTTATTATAGTATTTATATAATATATATTCCATATAATTATATATTTATATGGAATATATATTATATATTATATAATTATATTATATATATTATATAATTATATTATATATATTATATATTATAATATAATTATATATTATATTATATTCCATATAATTATATAGAATATATATTATATATATATATATTTATTTTCGAGACAGGGTCTCACTCTGTCACCCAGACTAGAGCACAGTAACATGATCATGGCTCACTGCAGCCTCGACCTCCTGGGCTCAGATGATCCTCCTACCTCAGGCTCCCGAGTAGCTGGGACTAGAGGCACGCACCACCATGCCCAGCTAATTTTTTTGCATTTTTTGTAGGGGTTTTGCCATGTTGCCCAGGCTTGTCTCGAACTCCTGGACTCAAGCAATTCTCCATGCCCAGCCTCTGTATTACATTTAATTCTCCTATCAATTCTGGGAGTTTTTCAATTGATTTTCTTGGGTGTAGGTATTTAATCACATTGGCCACAAGTAACTTTATTTTTATATCTTTCTATACAATAATTACTGCTCTTATTTCAGCTTCATGTCTTATTGCATTGGCCAAAGATAGTGGATCAGTGTTAGAATGAAACAGTGAAAGTGGGCATCCTTGTTTTGTTGATGATTTAATGGAAAAACCATTATTGATTATTTAAATTTATAAAGCGATGTTAAGGAAGTATCATTCCATTCCTAGTTTCTGAGTTTTTAAAAAATCAGGAACAGATGTTAAATTTTATGAAATGTCATTTTGGCATCTATTGAATTTATTATATGGACACCAATGGTTCTGATCCAGATTCATAACTGAGAAACAAAAATAACTATAAATGTAGTTCAATTGTTGCTTTTCTTTTTCCAGCAATATCTGGAGCTTGTTTTCAAAGTGACATGTGGGTGGTAGAGGCAGAAATTGTTGTATAAAAATTTATGGGCTTTAAATTTTTCCCTGTCCAGATTTTGAGTCTGTACTGGGTAAAAGAAAAGATTGTGTGTAGGGGGTATTTTTGAGGTATTTTCTTTAGAACAACTTGTAAAGGTATCATTTGCCTATAATTCTTAATTAGTTTAGATTCATGTTGACAAAATTGTAAACCAAATAGGTAAGGATTAATTCTGTGTTGCACAAATCTTTATATATTGTTCATTAAATTATTGTTATTAGTTATAATAGTTCTAGCCCACAAGAACAGTATATACATAAGAAATGTTAAAGCCTTTGATTGTTTTCATACATGACACATTAGCTACTGGAAGAGAATTTATGTTATTCTTTTTTATGTTGCTAAAAACCAGCAGAAGGATTATGATTTGACGTTGACTAATACTTCATATTGAGTAGTTTTAACTAAGAATCGGTTTAGGGAACTGGTCCTTTTTCATATCTTTGTCACTGAACTTTTAGGCAATGATGGTCATCAGATCTATGGAAGGGACGGTAGACCAAGCTTCTCTTTTTTTTAAAGAATGAAAACAATATTTTAATTTTG
The DNA here is from genome assembly GCF_000001405.40 of Homo sapiens. Classification (NCBI taxonomy): domain Eukaryota; kingdom Metazoa; phylum Chordata; class Mammalia; order Primates; family Hominidae; genus Homo; species Homo sapiens. The sequence goes on from NC_000023.11 coordinate 18,746,555, forward strand.
TTCTTAAGTAACAAGACTGAGTCTTCATAACTGGAAGGGATGGAACTGATTTGCTGTGTCAGTTAGCCGATGGGAAAGGGAGAGATGACAGCATGGGTGGAGGCAGTGATTGGGAAAATAAAATGATTTTTGCTTTATTGCTCACAGAGTTGGGGTTACTAAATAAATCGGTTATAAGTATATAAATAATACTGTAGGTATCGTGTAGCATAGTTACATTTTAATATGCAGTAAAAGTGTAATGGTTAAGAGTTTGAGCTCAAAGCCAGATTCTCTGGGATCAAGTTCCATCTCTGCTACTTACATGCTGTACCCCATTTTCCTTGTATATAAAATGGAGATACCAACAATATTTATCTCATAGGGTGGTTTCGGTCATTACATGAATACACATGTGTAAGGTGCTTAGAACAGTGCCTGGCACATCAGTAACTGGGAGCTCCCATCCTTGTCATTATCACCATGATGCCTTGGAAAAGGTGTGGCCTGGGGTTCAACTGGGCAGGGGTTGCTGAGTTTTGAAGGATGATAAATTGTCCAAAGAAGAGAAAGCAAGGGTAGTCCAGGGAGAGGGAAGAGTGGGAACAATAAAGACAGAGTGCTGGGCTGGGAGAGGAAAGCATCGCCAGTGTGGGGGAGATGCAAGGTCCCGGGGTGACATCTTAGATCGGAGGAGTGTCTAACTATGTTTAATTGTGTTACAGAGTCTGAAGAGAGGATCATGCTGGAGATACAGGCAAGGGAGGAAGTGACTATGAAGTTGCCAGGCCTCTGAGGATTTGGAAGGGAGAAAGGGTGTGGGGAACAGCTCCATGGGTGGTTCCATATGCCTGTCTGCATCCATAGCTGCATCCTCAACTTCATTTCCTCTTTCCTTCCAGCATCTGACTTTCTAAATCAGGCATGCTTTAAGCTATGCTGCCTTTCTTTCTTTCTTTTTGAGACAGGGTCTTGCTGTGTTGCCTAGGCTGGAGTGCAGTGGCACAATCACACCTCACTGCAGCCTTGACCTCCTGGGCTCATCCTCCTGCCTCAGCCTCCTGAGTAGCTGGGATTATAGGCGCACGCCACTATGCCCAGCTAGTTTTTTTGTATTTTTTGTAGAGACGAGGTTTCACCATGTTGCCCAGGCTGTTTCACTGCCTTTCTCATGAACACTGCAATCATATCATAAATTCCTCCCCCATCTAAAAAACAGAATCCCCTAGTTTTTACCATGCGTTCCATATTCACTTTATTTTTTAGAGTCTATAACAGAAAATAACCTTTATAATTCTGTTAGATGATATAGTGAAAGTACTGCGGGTTTTTGTGGGTTTTTGTTTTTGCTGTTATTTGTTTTTTCTAAGAGTTGCTTGGTATTTCAGTGTGTACAGTCAGGAAAAGGAAAGTTTTCATTTGAAGCAAGATTTATATCCAAGAACGACTACCAAATTGAAAAGGGTGGCATGGGCATTGAAGACAGTGAAGTATTTAGGCTTTACTGCCTACGTAATGAATCTGAGATAAAGTTGTCAAGATGCTCTCCCTTTCTAGTCTCTAAATATAAATTGAAATAATTAAGTTATTCTTAAATCTCAAACCAAACCCAAATGAGAAAAATAACCACTCCCGGACCACATTAAAGACAGACATTATTACTCCTAAATTCAGCTTCTTATAAAACATCATCAACCACCACCAGAAAACACTGTGGTACACAAGAATTTAGAAAATATTTTTTTAAATTGCCAAATAGTATGACTTTAGAAAACATTTTTCACGTTTAGTTCTTAACTGTAATCTCTCAGCATAACTGGATCATGAAAAAAATGTATTCTGTCTATATCTTGACCACTCTGAATATTTTAAAAGATAGAAACTGTTTGCAGAGAACTTCTGAAGAATGGCCTTTGTAACAATTCGGTGTTAATGAGTTGAAGAGTATGTCATTGTCCTCTGGGTCATTATCCGCAAGAATATTGTGTATTAAACAACCACCATACCTCAGTGGCATGTAATCAATATTTCTTTTTGCTAACAAGTCTACAGATTAGCTGAACACTTCTGCTGATCTTGGCAGGTTTGATTAGGCAGTTTTTTTGGGTCTTGGCTGGAGTTCACTCATGTGTCCAGAACAAACACTGGTGGCTGCTGGCTGGGGGCTGATCGAGGACAACCTTGGCTAGGATGACTCAGCTCAGCTCTACATGGTCTTGGGTCTTTCTGAAGCCTAGCCTAGGCTTTGTGGTAGTGGCATTGTTCCTAAAGAGTGCATGAAAGCATACAAGGCCTCCAGAGAGACCTGAGCTTGGAACTGGTACATAGCACTTCCATCACATTCTTTAGGCCAGTACAAGTCATGAGCCCAGCCTGGTTTGAAGGGATGGGGAAACACACTCTTGACGGGAGTAGCTGCAAAAGTACATTACAAAGAGCATGGATAGAAGGTGGGATAGAGAATTGGGATCACTTTTGCAATCCATCTACCATGTTTCCTTTCGTCTTTCTCTGTCTGAATTGTCTTGATTTCTGTACTGGGGCTGACTGTTTCATGGGCAATCTAGCAGGCAGGGACCCTGGGTCTCAGCACCCACTAAAATGGACAATGCAGGCACTCCGTTATGTAGAACTGTCTCTCCGAGACTGAGAGGTTCTTTGGGTATTTCTGCCTGTGATTTGTCCTTTAACTTTATCTGCTTTGTTACCAAGAAAGAATGAAAATCATGTCAGAAAGTTTATTTTTAAGTAAAGAGAAAAACAAATCCGTTACAGCTAAATAGAATCCTCTGAAGTGTTTAACAGGGGAAAAATTGAATGTTGCAGTTAAATTTTCTGTAGGTTCTGAATAGCAGCAGATGTTTGAACCAAATATAATGTATTGTTCTGTTTTCAGCCCTATTTGTAAAAGTCTGAGATGTAAGAGTGGGCAAAAAACTTAGAGCTAGAGCTTCGATCATCCAAATACCTTGATTGGCTAGTTTTCCCTGTGCTTCTCCCTCCCCTTCCCACTAGCCATGGACCCACTGCTGTGGTAAAACATCTGCCCAGGAAGGGATGGTGGTGACCCATGTGAATGTTCTGGTCTCAGGGTCAGTCATTCCTCGTGGTTATATGTGGGCTGTGTTGATATGCAGAACATTTAGCACAGTGCCTTACATGGGCTAGGTATTCAAGAAGATATTTATTAAATTTAAGTATTGAAATGTTGATTCCCACCCCCACCCCCACCCCCCCGTTCTGTCCTTCCTTTTCCAGAATTAAGAAATCAGTCTCTTGAAAGCGAACAGGACATGAGGGATAGATGGGATTATGTGGACTCGATAGATGTCCCAGACTCCTATAATGGTCCTCGGCTACAATTTCCTCTCACTTGTACGGATATTGATTTACTTCTTGAGGCCTTCAAGGAACAACAGGTAAGTGGAAGCAGATGCTGCCTTGATTCTTGTACATAACAGATGCCCAATAACTGTTGAAAGAATGGATGAACATACCACAGCAGAGATGCATTTCTTTAGAAAACAGTTCACATTAAGTGAGAGCTCCCCTCTGTTACTCATTTAATAGAAGTCTCCTCAGGTGCACAGCAAGCTCCTCTCTGTAGGCTAACAGCATTTCATTTGCCATTTTCTGAGATATCATTCACATACCATAAAAGTCACCATTTTACAGTGTACGACTCAGTGACTTTTTCACGCATTCACAGGATTGTGCAACCATCACCAATATCTCATTCCAGAACATTTTCATCACTCCCAATAGAAAGGCCATTCCTGTTATCATTGCCTCCTCCCCACCCCTGGCAACCACTGTTCTATTTTCTGTCTCTATGGATTTGCCTATTCTAGATATTTCATGTAAATGAAATCATCAAATATATGGCCTTTTGTGTTTGGCTTCTTTCTCTTAGTGTTTTAAAGGTTCGTTCATGTCATATCATATATCATTACTTGATTTCTTTTTATGGCTGATAATATTCCATTGTATACCACATTTTGTTTATCCATTCATCAGTGAATGGACATTTGGATCATTTCCACCTTTTGGCTATTGTGAACAGTGCTGCTATGAATATTCATTCACAGATTTTCATATAAACATGTGTTCTCAGTTCTCTTGGGCTTATACTTAAGAATATTTCACTGGGTCATATGGTAGCTCTATGCTGGATCATGTGGTAACTCTATATTTAAATTTTCCAGTAATTACTAAACTGCTTCCCACAGTAGTGGCACCATTTTGCATTTCTACCAGCAATCTATCTTCCCATGTAGGTTCCAATTTCTTCATGTTTTTGCCAACACTTGTTATTTTGTTTTTTTTTTTATTTTTATTATAGCCATCCTAGTGTGTGTGACGTGGCATTTCATTGTGGTTTTGTTTTGCATTTCCCTAATGACTAATGATGTTGAGCATCTTTTTATGTATTTATTGGCCATTTGTATACCTTCTTTGCAGAAATCTGTGCAGATTCTTTGCCCACTTAAAATCAGGCTTTTTATTATTGAGTTATAAGAGTTCTTTCTGGATATAAATTCCGTATCAGATATATGATTTGCAAATATTTTCTCCCGTTCTGTAGGTTGTTTTTTCATTTTCTTGATAATGTACTTTGATGCATAAAAGCGTTACATTTTGATAAAGTCCAGTTTATCCATGTTTTTTCTTGGTTGCTTGTGCTTTTGGTGTCTTGGTTGCTTGTGCTTTTGGTGTCATATCTAAGAATCCATTGTCAAATCTAAGGTCATGAAGACTTGCCTTTGTGTTTTCTTCTAAGAGTTTTATAGTTTTAGCCTTTACACTTATGTCTGTGAATGATTTTGAGTTAGTTTCTATATATGGTATGAAGTCAAAATTAATTTTTTGCATATGGATATGCATTGTCCCAGCACCATCTGTTGAAGAGACTGTTCTTTCCCCATTGAGTGGTCTTTGCACCCTTGTCAAAAATCAATAGGCCAGGCCGGGCACAGTGGCTCATGCTTGTAATCCCAACATTTTGGGAGGCCGAGGCGGGTGCATCACCTGAGGTCAGGAGTTCAAGAGTAGCCTGGCCAACATGATGAAACCCTGTCTCTACTAAAAATACAAAAATTAGCCAGGCATGGTGGCTCATGCCTGTAATCCCAGCTACTCAGGTGGCTGAGGCTGAAGAATTGCTTGAACCCAAAAGGTGGAGGTTGCAGTGAGCCGAGATCGTGCCACTGCACCCTAGCCTGGGCGAGAAAGCGAGACTCCATCTCAAAAAAACAAACAAATAAAAATCTATAGGCCATAGATATCTGGGTTTGTTATTGGACTCTCAGTTCTATTCTATTGGTCTATGTGTCTGTGCCAGTACCACACTGTCTTGATTGCTGTAGCTTTGTAGTAAGTTTTGAAATAGGGAAGTGTGAGTCCTTCAACTTTGTTCTTTTGCAGTGTTGAAATTGTTCTTCATTATTGTTTTGGCTATTTGGGGTCCCTTGCAATGAATTTGAAGATCAAATTTTCCATTTCTGCAAAAAAGCCTATTGGGATTTTGATAGGGATTGCGTTGAATTGCTATATCACTTTGGGTAATAATTGCCATCCTCACAATACAAGTCTTTCAACCCATGGTGTCTTTCCATTTATTTATGTCTTTAATTTCTTTCAGCAATGTTTTGTAGCTTTTAGTGGACAAGTCTTTCATCACCTTGGTTAAATTTATTCTTAAACAATTTATTCTTTTGGTTGATATTATAAAAGGAATTGTTTTCTTAATTCCTTTTTTGATTGCTCATTACTTGTGTGTTGATCTTATACTCTGCAGCTTTGATGAATATACTTGTTAGCTCTAGTAGTTTGTGTGTGTGTGTGTGTGTATGTGTGCGTGTGTGGTGTATTCTTTTGAATATTCTATATACCAGATCATGGTATCTGTGAATATAGTTTTATTTCCTTCTTTCTGATTTGGGTGCCTTTTGTTTCTTTTTCTTGCTCAATTGCTCTGGCTAGAACTTCCACCACAATATTGAATAGCAGTGTGAAAGTAGGCATGTTTATCTTGTTCCTCATCGTAGGGGGAAAGCTTTCAATCTTTCACTACTGAGTTTAATGTTAGTTGTAGGTTTTTCATAAAAGTCTTTTATCATGTTGAGGAAATTTCCTTCAATTCTTAGTTTTCTGAGTGGTTTTATCAGGAAAAGTTGTCGGGTTTTGTCAAATGCTTTTTTTTTTTTTTACATCAGTTGAGATGATTGTGCGTTTTTTACCCTTCGTTCTATTAATGTGGTGTGATATATTGAATAATTTTCTTATGTTGAACCAACTTTGTATTTCTGGGATAAATCCCTCTTGGCCATGGTATATAATCCCTTTAAAATGCTGTTGTATTTGGTTTGCTGGTATTATGTTGAGAATTTTTGCATCTATTTCATAAGGGATATTGGTCTGTAATTTTCTTTTCTTGTAGTGTCTTTGCCTGGCTTTGGTATCAGGGTAATACTGATCTCATAGAGTGAGTTAGGAATTGCTTCCTTTTATTCTGTTTTTTGGAAGAGTTTAAGAAGGATTGTGTTAATTCTAATTTAAATGTTTAGTAGAGTTCACCATTGAAGCCATTTGGCCTTGGACTTTTCTTTGTTAGGAGGTTTTTGATGACTGATCCAATCTCTTGTTCTAGATCTGTTCAGATTTTTTATTTCTTCTTGAGTCTGTTTTGGTAATTTGTGGAGTTTCTAAGAATTTGTTCATCTCATCTAAGTAATCTAATTTGTTGGTGTACAATTGTTCATAGTATTCTCTCATAACCCTTTTTTATTTCTTTAAGGTTGATGGTAATGTCCCCACTTTAGTTTCTGATTTTAGTTATTTTCATTTTCTCTTTTTTTCTTAGTCAGTCTTGCTTAAAGGTTTGTTAATTTTGTTGATCTTTTCAAAGAACCAACTTTTGGTTTTGTTGATTCTCTCTATTGTTTTTCTATTCTTTATTTCATTTATCTCCACTCTAATTCGTATTTTCTTTGTCAAAATATTAAGTTAGTTTATTGATTTGAGATCCTTCTTTTTTAATGTGTGCATTTACAGCTACAAATTTCTCTCTGAACACTGCTTTTGCTGTATCCCATAAGTTTTGATATGTTGTGTTTTCATTTTTATTCTTCTCAAAGTATTTTCTAATTTCCTTTGTGATCTTTTTATTACCCATTGGTTTTTTAAGAGTATGTTGTGTAATTTCTACATATTTATGAATTTTCTAGTTTTGCTTTTGTTATTGATGTCTAGTTTCATTCCATTGTGGTCAAAGAAGATACTTTGCATGATTTCAGTCTTTTTAAATTCGATGCGGTTTATTCTGTGGCCTAACATCTGGTCTATCCTGGAGAATGTTCCATGTGTCCTTGAGAACAATGTATAGTCTGCTTTTGTTGGGGAAAGTGTTTAGTAGATATCTATTAGGTCTAGTTGTGTGTGGTCTCTGAAATCTCTGTTCCTTTAGCTTGTGTTAAGTTAGTGTTTTGACAGAGACTTCCTTGAACACCAGGAGCGATTTAAAAAAAAAAAAAAAGGAAGGGAAAAAAACCAACAACAAATATTTGCAGATTGGCTCTCTGTTGGAGCACTCCTTCAACTCCTTGGGCCATTTACAAATGTTAGTCTTTACTTCCCGCTTGTGCTGAACCATTGTTCAGTTTCCTTTTTCTTGATTCACTGTTTGGTTGCTATAAACTTTGAGTATTTTCCAGAGTTCTGACAAAGTTGATTCTGACAGGGTTTGTTTGTTTGTTTGTTTTTGCTTGATTTGTCAATGTTTTTGTGGCGGAATGGGACCTTAGAGTTGCCTACATGACCGTTTTCTCTGACATCACCCCAGTACCCTCATTCTCAGGTTAGGACCCTAAAGGGCATACCTAGGAGTAAGAGTGAACTGGAAGACTGGCTTTTCAATGATCAGAGAACAGCTTGGAATGAATCATGTAATTCCTGAGATTGAACTGAGATCATCTTAGATAGCTAAGGCTCCTAACCACCTGCCAACAGCAAATTTAAGTCTTCTCTGGAAGACAATAGGCCTGAGATTGTTTGTTCAGTTTTTCTTTCTTCCTTTCTTTTTTAAAGGCAGGGTCACACTCTGTCACCCATGCTGGAGTGTGGTGGCACTATCATAGCTCACTGAAGCCTTGACCTCCTGGGCTCAAGCAATCCTCCCCCCTCAGCCTCTCAAGTAGCTGGGACTGTAGGCACATGCCATCATGCCCAGTTAATTTTTTATTAGCTTTTGGTAGAGACAAGTTTTCACTGTGTTGCCCAGGCTGGTCTCGAACTCCTGGCCTCAAGTGATCCTCCCACTTCGGCTTCCCAAAGTGCTGGGATTATAGGCATGAGCCACTGCACCTGGCCTCAGTTTTTCATATGCAATTTCCAGAACTCAATACAAATATAACCAAGCACAGGAGGTTATAAGACACATGAAGAAAACTGAGGCAAACAACAATGGAAACAGACCTGTAGGGTATTTGGTTAGTGGCATTATCAGACTCTGAGTTTAAAATAAATATGCTTAATATAAGTTCAAGGAGATAAATCAATCCAAGGAGCCATAATAGAGAAGATTGATAATTCTGACTTTATAAAAATGAAAAGACTGTTATTAAGGGAAGAATAAAAGGTTCAACACAGTGTACAGAGTAAAAAAAAAAGGATCATGTATATTTTGATTTTTTTAATTGAGAAAAAATTCATCTAATGTAAAAGTGATCATTTAAATCATTTTAAAGTGTATGAGGCCGGGTGCAGTGGCTCACGCCTGTAATCCCAGCACTTTGGGAGGCCGAGGCAGGCAAATCACTTGAGGTCAGGCGTTCAAGACCAGCCTGGTCAACATGGTGAAACCCCGTCTCTACTAAAAATACAAAAATCAGCTGGGCATGGTGGCACGTGCCTGTAGTCCCCGCTACTCGGGAGGCTGAGGCACGATAATCACTTGAACCCAGGAGGCAGAGGTTACAGTGAGCCGAGATCGTGCCACCGCACTCCAGCCTGGGCGACAGAGTGAGACTCCATCCCCCCCAGCCCCCAAAAAAAGAGTGTATGGTTCAACAGTTTTTAGTATATTAAAAATGTTGTGCAACCATCACCACTATGTAATTCCAGAACATTTTCATCACCCCCAAACAAAACCCTTTACCCATTAGCAGTCACTCCCAGTTGCTCCCTCCCCCAGCCCCTGGCAATACTAATTTACCTTCTTTCTCTATGGATTTGTCTAATATGAACACTTCCTGTAAGTGGAATCGTACAATATATGTGGCCTTTTGTGCCTGGCGTCTGTTGCTTGGCATGTTTCCAGAGTCCATCCGTGGTAGCATGGATCAGTACTTCCTTCCTATTTTTAGCTGAGTAATGTTACTTTGTATGGATATAGCACATTGTATTTAAGGGATTATATGTTTATACATGCATTTTTGTATTCATCTGTGGTTATATTGATTTTTGTATGCTTGCAAACACATAGAATATTTCTGGGAAAGATACGATACTTTTAACAGTGGCTGTTTCTAGGGGTAGGGATTAGGGGAATAAGATCTAGGGGAGACGGAAAATGACTTTTCATTATTTTACCCATTTCTACTATTTAAAATTTTATTTCAACTAAAAAAATGACGTGTTTCTCCATTTTAATACTACTTTTTTTTTTGAGATAGAGTCTCGCTCTGTTGCCCAGGCTGGAGTGCAATGGCGCAATCTTGGCTCACTGCAACCTCCGCCTCCCGGGTTCAAGTGATTCTCCTGCCTCAGCCTCCTGAGTAGCTGGGACTACAGGCGCGCCCCACCATGCCTGGCTAATTTTTATATTTTTAACAGAGATGGGGTTTCACCATGTTAGCCAGGCTGGTCTCGAACTTCTGACCTCAAGTGATCTGCCCACCTCGGCCTTCCAAAGTGCTAGGATTACAGGTGTGAGCCACTGTGCCCGGCCCTAAAACTACTTTTTTAAAAAGAAATATTCTTTAAAGGTAGTATTTTCCTCTAACTTAAAAGAATGTGACTATTTTATTCAAGTGGTTATTTAACCTGAATATATTTATAAATGGAGAAACTGCCATCTGAGTTAATCATCTTGAGCATTTAATATTGCAGTTGTAAATATAATTCTAATGCTATGGAAAGATAGCCTTATAGGCAAGGACTAGTATGACCAAAATGATTTTAGTCAATCCAAAGACCCAGAGAAATTATTTTCATAATAATTTTCTGTTGTTGCAATATATTCTCAGTGAATATTTGTTAATTTAGCTTTTATAAAAAAGAAAACTTCCCCTTTAGACAACAGTTACTCTGATAAGTACTACCAATGGACCAGAAAAACTACAATGATAAGCTAAGGTAACACTGAAGCCAGTGTTGGGAATCAATAGATTACATGTGGCTGGGGGTGGTGGCTCACACCTATAATCCCAACACTTTGGGAGGCTGAGGCAGGAGGATCATTTGAGACCAGGAGTTCGAGACCAGCCTGGGCAACCTAATGAGACCCTATCTCTTCCCCACCACAAAAAAGGAAAGAGCTTGAAAATCCAGTGTGAATTTTTCACTTACAGCACATTTCAATTCAGATTAGCTCCATTTCACATGCTCAGTAGCTCCATGTGGCTAGTGGCTGCCATATTGGACAGCATAGGTCCAATATGGCAATAGGTCTAAATAGTTTTGACCTATTAAAATATGTTAAATTTGTGTGGTAGTCACATCTCTGCTGTATTATATTTTGGAGTATGTATTTATAATTTTTTTTCATTCTCCCTCTCCTTTTTCTTTTTCTCTTTTATTATTACAATTGGCTTTTTGTCTGCACGTTTCCCTAGGGCAAGGGCGTGCCTCCCTTCACTTCTCTTGGGCTCTAAGGACCTGGGATGATGATTCATTTTCTCAGTTACACACGTCGACTGAGGGCTTATTATATGCCAGACACTGGGCTAGAATGATCTATTTCAGAATAATTGAAAGGTTATCCTGAAATACAGCGACCTGAAACGTGCGTGCTTGCTCCACCTTTACAGTTTTCTATACAGTCATGTCTTTCTTCCTTGTTCATTACATCTATTTCCTCTGCTTCCCGCTCACAGATACTTCATGCCCATTATGTCTTAGAGGTGCTATTTGAAACCAAGAAAGTCCTGAAGCAAATGCCGAATTTCACTCACATACAAACTTCTCCCTCCAAAGAGGTAACAATCTGTGGTAAGTTTCAGAGCAGAGTTGTCCAATTAATATTTAGGAGCCTCTTGGTCCTACATCGTTTGCCTAACTTGAAAACTGTGTAAATTGGACTGTGTTAAGGGAAAAATGTTAATATAGAATTATCTATCATGATAATACTGTTCCCCATCTTGTCTTTGTTTTGCATACCAGCTGGCAGGAATTAATTATGTGAGAAATTAAAGAGCTCATAGCTTTTTATAAAGGCAGACAGCATTTTAATATGGAAAAACCACCCATGGGTGGAATAAGCATTCTTTGCCCTCCGTCTAGCTCTCATTATCTTTGTTCCACGTTGCTTTTTCTAGGTGGGCCTCTGCATGCCACTTGTGCTGGGAAGAGAAAAGCCCGTGGCGGGGTGAAGATTAAATTCTTCTCTGCCCTTGGCTGCTGTTTTAGATTTTTCCAACTGGTCTGTGCAGCTTTTAGAAGAGTGGGAATGTCCCAGAAATCTGTTTCTTGTTCTTTTAAATAACAAGATTTGAGATTTTGCTATCATATAGGCCAGCCTGGCAGGATATTGCTTCAAGAAACAGTACACATTGAAATTCCTCACAGTTGGTGCTCAGCATGCTTGCAACCGTTTGACAGTGGGGTGCGTGGAAGGAACAGCAATTCCCTTAACTTCTAATTAAGCCTTTAGGTTACAAAACAGTGATTGTTATTTTCCAAATCAGTTTTTAGCCTGCATTTCTCTTATTCTGGCAGGTAGAAGTGAATTTGACAATCTAATTAAACTATTTGCATTTCTAGCGTCTGATAGTGGTGGCAGGGACTTGATGTAGCAGTGCCTACCTCATCACATGCCCTGACTCAGGTTTTTGAAGAGTCTCTAATGGTTCATTTCCAGCCTCATCAGGCATCACGTCTCTGACTGGCAGATGATTCATCTCAGCAGTGGGGGTCTTTTATTCAAGGCCTCACCTGGCCTTTTCATGGAAAATAGAGACTTCGGGTCATGAGGCTCAGAAAGCCATGCCACCCTGTGAAGTCTGTGAGGCCAGGGCTAGGTGTGCTCTTAGGATATATAGAATAGCCCAAACTGAGAATGGGATCCGCTCCCCTGTGTTTCACTGGGAGCCACTACAGACTCATCCTTGCTAAAAGGATCTGGAAGAAGACACACGTTAATTACAGGGCAGGGCAGTCCTAGAATCCCACAGTGTGAGAACTGAAGGGTTCTCTAGTCTATTCCTTGCTCTTATGGGTGAAATTGAAGCTCAGAGAGAAAAGTGGCAGGATCAGAATTAAAATCAGGTCTTCTGTATCCCAGGTTAGAGGCAGCCCCACATCTGCCATCCTGACTCGCATTAGGTACCTGGTGGTTCATTGTCCATCGTGAGACAAAGATTAGGGCGTGACTTAACTGGACATCTCCATTGGTTAAAGATTTCCACATCTTGGCACTTATTTCTAGACTTTTTCACGTGGCACCATTGGTAGGGGGAAAAGACAAGGCCAGTGGGTTTTCTTAACATGGGAATATTATTATTTTCTATTTTTAACAGCTCATTGAACTTCAAAAATTTCATGATTATTTATAATAAAATTTAAAATTGGGGCCATAACTTCAAAACCATCTTCCGTTTAAGACGGTGTTAGGAAAGGGGGAGAGATTGTGATGAAAATTTGCTATTATTTTAATTGTGAGATGCATTTTTTTACATGTACATCTAAATATGCCCCGTAGTTTTCAGCATGCATGAAATATAAGAGGATTTTTAGTCTACAGTTATATTATAAATGATAACCAATTCTGCACTCATGTTTTTGTTGGCAGTGGAAATATCTTTCTGTCCTTCTTCCCATGGTACGAGTTTTTCTTTCGCTGTCCAACTAGAAGTTAAAAATATTAAACTAAGTAAAGAGTCCTCCCATCTTTATGTCCTTAGATTTAGAGTGAGACCATATGAAAGCAATGAGATTTAAGCACACAATGATACTAATATGCTAATAATATTATAGTAGTATTTTATAAATAAGTGCTGGTGATATAGAATTTCTATTTTATTATTTCCAGTATATTTGGAGTCTTCTATTGCATGTATTTGGTTAATCTTGGTTGTGGGATTTTAAGCAAACTGAGGGAAAAGTATTCGTAAATTAAATTGTATAGTAATTAAGTTGGATACAAAGAATAAAAATTTATGAGCAGAACTTATGAAAGATATTTTACCTAGAAATAGTTATCCAAATGGGGCTTTTGGATATTCACATAGTCACTCATTATTATTGCTATTTTTTGAGACAGAGTCTCGCTCTGTCACCCAGGCTGGAGTGCAGTGGAGTGATCTCAGCTCACTGCAACCTCTGCCTCCCGGGGCTCCAGCGATTCTCCTGCCTCAGCCTCCTGAGTAGCTGGGATTACAGGTGCACGCCACGACACCTGGCTAATTTTTGTATTTTTAGTAGAGACAGGGTCTTACCATGTTGGCCAGGCTGGCCTTGAACTCCTGGCCTCAAGTGATCCACCTGCCTCGGCCTCCCAAAGTGCTGAGATTACAGGCATGAGCCACCGTGCCTGGCCTTATTTTTTAATTAATGGCTTCAGATACTCATGATCTCCCCTAGTTGGCTTTCATTTTTTTTCTATGTCTCATCAAAGAATGTCAACTACCTACTCACAAAGTTTAAATTTCAGATGCTGCTACTGGAGTATATTAAAAACACGGCTTTAAAAAGCTATATACTTAGCCAAGAAATGTATTTACTGAGTGCCTCTTATCCACTGGGTCCTATGGTAGGCACTTGGGGATTCAATGCTGACTACAATAGATACTGTTGCTGCTCTCCTAGGGATTACAGTGTGGGTGTACAGAATAATCGCTAAGAGCCTGAGGGGTTTTTTGTTTTTCGTTTTATTTTTGAGACAGGGTCTCACTTTGTCACCCAGGCTGGAGTGTGGTGGCATGATCACAGCTCACTGCAGCCTCGACTTCCCAGGGTCAAGCAATCTTCCCACCTCAGTCAGCCTCCTGAGTAGCTAGGATCACAGGTGCGCACCACCAAACCTGGCAATTTTTTTTTTTTTTTTTTTTGAGATGGAGTCTTGCTCTGTCACCCAGGCTGGAGTGCAGTGGTGCAATCTCAGCTCACTGCAACCTCCACCTCCCGGGTTCAAGCGATTCTTATGCTTCAGCCCCCACAAGTAGCTGGGATTACAGGCGTGTGCCACCATGCACAGCTAATTTTTGTATTTTTAGTAGAGACGGGGTTTCGCCGTGTTGACCAGGCTGGTCTTGAACTCCTGGGCCCAAATGATCCATCTGCCTTGGCCTCCCAAAGTGCTGGGGTAACAGGTGTGAGCCATCACACCCAGCCAAGCTTGAGTTTTGAAGTGAGTTAAAGTTGGGTTTGAATTCTTGCTCTGATACTTGATGGCTGGGTATCTTTGCATAACTTACTTAACTACTGTGAGCCTCATTTGTAAGATGAGAATGATGAAGATAAAACCCATCTCATAGAGTGGTTGTAAGGACTGAACTAGATAATTCATGTAAAACCCTTAGCACAGTGCTTGGCCCAGAGTGATCGAAGCCCTGTGCAAATGACTGGACTGAAAAGGTAATTGAAGCACTAGATGCTGTCCCCACTATAGGAGAGGAAGAGAAGAGTGCTGTGGAGACAAATTGCCTGTCAAATTAACATCGTCATAGGATAAAAACCCAATGCCCTGAGAACACTTGGAGTGGATCAGCAGTATTTCACTTTTAAAAATGGGCATTGCATCTTGTTCTCTACTGAATACTGATTTTTCATTTGCACTGCAGGTGATTTGCATGGGAAACTGGATGATCTTTTTTTGATCTTCTACAAGGTAAATGATGATTTTGCTAAATATTAACATTTTTCTTGGGGGAGGGCAGTCTTAGGGCAGATAACAATATTAGTTTTACTAGAGATATGTACTAATACAGATATAATGTTACTGTTTTTAACCAGGAGGCTCAAAGATTTGTAGAGCCATATCTTTTTTTTTTTTAACACACATCTCATAAATTTTTAAAAAATTGTACTTTGGGTCTTCATTCTACATTATTGTTGTCTGTGTATCCATTAGGATTTGTACCGGATTGTATTTATTGTCTTTATCGCATCATAAATGTCTAGATGGTACAGGATGGGGAGGGATGCAGTCTGTTTTATTTTAATTTTGTTCAGGGATGAGCATGTCACATACCAGTCTTCTCTTCCAGTGCACACTAATTATGCATGAGTGGAGTTGCTTATGATAAGGAATAAGTTCCAGCATGCTCTCTTTTCTCCCCTGATTCGCCATCCATGGGCTCAGTTGTTCTTCCAATGCTGTGCCTCCTCTTCATTTATTGCATTTGGCTTGTGAGAGCCAGCACAGAGGGCACAAGACTGCTTGGCCAGCATGGATTTTCTCTGCATCTCTTTGATTGGATTTTTTTCTGTCTCTGGGCCAAGAGTTACAGCCTGAATGTTTGCTTCAGGGATGGCTGACTGCATATGGAAAACTGATCTTGAGATCCCTGCCTTCACAGCGGTTACCCCTTTACACTGGTCTTCTGAATGTCTCTTTTTGATTAATGCATTTATTGTTCATCTACTCCTGTGACCCCCACAACTAGCATGTCAAATAATTGGGCGTAGCGTAGGTATCTCAGATGGGTGGAAAGAAAATATATTCTGATTATTATTGTTACCAGAAAGGGGTCCCGATCCAGACCCCAAGAAAGGATTCTTGGATCTCGCACAAGAAAGAATTCAGGGTGAGTCCATAGACTAAAGTGAAAGCAAGTTTATTAAGAAAGTAAAAGAATAAAAGAATGGCTACTCCATAGACAGAGCATCCCCAAGGGCTGCTGGTTGCCCATTTTTATGGTTATTTCTTGATGATATGCTAAACAAGGGGTGGACTATTCATGCCTCCCCTTTTTAGACCACATAGGGTAACTTCCTGAGGTTGCCATGGCATTTGTAAGCTGTCATGATGCTGATGGGAGTATAGCCGTGAGAATGACCAGAGGTCACTCTTGTTGCCATCTCGGTTTTGGTGGGTTTTAGCTGGCTTCTTTACTGCAACTGTTTTATTAGGTTGGTGCAAAAGTAATTGCGGTTTCTGCGTGCTCTGGTTCAAACACCTCTAACATTATTGTTCCTGGACCAAACTGAGGGTTGGGCTGCTATTTCTCATGGCCCAATAACGAGATACAGATGAACTGGGAAGGAAGAGAGTTTTTATTTCTGTAAGTGGCTCCAGGGAGAAGGCCTGGAAATTATCACCAGACCAACTCAAAATTAGAAAGTTTTCCAGAGCTTATATACCTTCTAAGCTATATGTCTACGTGTAAGTGTGCACTCATCTAAAGACGTAAGTGATTAACTTCTTTTCATCTATAACTAAGGTCTGAGTCCTGAAGACCTTCCTCTGGAGCCTCAGTAAATTTACTTAATCTAAATCGGTCCAGGTGCTGGGGTGATTACCCTTATCTTGTCTCCTGCTAAATCATGGAGGTTTGCAGAGTTCCTTCAGACCCCCAATCAACTTGTTTGTGGAGGCCTGGGGAGTTTCTTCACATCCCCAGTAAAACTTGTTTAATCCTAAATAGGTCCTGTTAAGAATTCCTTCGTTATCTTGCCATGCTTTAACGCCCAGGAAAGGCCTAGACAAAACTCTTGGTGGGCTTTTGTTACATTCCAGCCTTTGTATAGGGCACTGGCTCTTTGAGCTTTTAATATTTAACTGAACCACTCAGTCAGTACTGAGACAGTTGTTATGGAGGCCTGCGTTAGTGAGACCTGGCCTGCCACATTTTGATGACCAATCAGTTCCACTCTTTGAGGCTGTGAGAGCTTGAGTAAGCCATACAACCTCCATGAACTGCAATTTTTTTTTTCAGCTGCAATATTATCTTGAGCTTCCACCCCATAAGAGGTTGTATTCTGGATAAAATAAGTATCCAAAAGCATTTTTAAAATAATAAATTATAATAGAAACACAAGGTTTTCACTTCATGCATTAGATTAGCAGCTTGGAAGGGAAGAGGACAGGCCAAACCAGGAGTGGGTAGAGCCAGCACCTAGGAAGAGGTTCCGTTGAGACTTCAGCAGGCCCAAGCCAGGACGTAGAGTGTGACTGTCAGAGAGTGTCAGGAGGTGTCCCAAGTAGCAGATTGGTGTAGGAAGTCCAGGCGAAGGTTTGCTGGCAGGGAGCCGAGGGGGCTGGTGAAAGAGCAATTCTGGACATCAGCCACAGAATCTAAGCTGGGTAGGGAAGGAAGAGAAGCCAGGATGGGCCAGTCAACTGGGAGAAGTAGGAGGGTAGTAGGACTGGAATGCTGACCGACTGTGTCAGGGAGCAGGCTGACTGCAGTGAGGGCCTTAGGAGGTAGGATGGTGGGAAGTGCAGGGGGAGCAGTCCCAGGGCAAGGGATGCCCTGGGGTGGAGCCTAGAACATGGGCAGCCCAAGCCATCGAAAGAGAGTATTGGCGATGAGGTGGGCAAGGACCTGGAAAGCAGGTGTGTTCAACAGTGGGGGGCACCACGTGGACCCAGATGAGGAGCAGGGGAAGGAAGTTTAGTCAGAGGTCATGGGCCTGAAAGGAGGGTGGTGGGGTGTTTCTCTGTGAGCAGCCCTGGGGGCAAGCAGAGCCTCCCCTGCTCCTGGGCCTGAGGTGGGTGTCCTGGGGATGGGTGGGTCCTTTCCTTCAGAAGGGCTGCAGGAGTCAGGAGTGCTGCTGTGCTCTGGAGGAAGCCCAGGCCTATGGAGGAGAGAAGCCTTTCTGAATAAGTTGAAGGTGGAAGGGGCTTCATTGACCATGAAATGGAGATTCTACTGGCCCCACTGGAGTGCCATGGGAAAGGTGGAAGGATGGACAGGGGATGGGATTTATTTAATTTGGGACGTAGCTCCACACCAAATGTTCAGAAGTGCGGTCCGGCTATTGTTGACAATTACAATGTGAGGAAGGAGGAGGGGGCAGGGCATGTGGAGAACAACAACAAACCTGGTCATTCTTTATCTAGAGTCTTGAGAAATATATAAAAGGGCAAATAGTTGAGTAAATTAAATCGGGAACGTAGTCACTAAATTCCAAGGCATTTAGAAAAGAAAATTTCTTTATTTCGTATGAAAGTGCGATAAGGGATAGGACTCTGGAGTAGACAGATGAGAAAAGAGAATTCTAACATATTTCTTTAATTCTGTCTGCAAAACTATATGGAACATATAAAACTGGAAGGTGCTAATGTAAAGATTGAACAGGAGGAGGTGGGTGGTAAGAAGTACTATAAAAGGAACTAAAGGTGAAAATATAGCATTCAAATGCAAGCAAGATATATTTGGAGAGCTAACCAATGACAGTGCTAAGGAAATGGAGATTGCTAGCCCAGTGATGAAAGACTAGGGCACTATTATATTTAGGATGGATTTGGGTAGAGAGGTGAGAGGGATGTCTGGAAAACAGAAGTGTGCAAGAGCCATGGATTAGAATTCTGGCAGGCGTGAGTGAGAAGAAGGTAAAATGCATCTTGGACATGGAGTGAACCACATACACCAGAATCTCGAAACTGCCTGGTTTAAGTGGGGAAACCGAGGGAAGAGCCATTGATGACAGCAAGTTTCCACTTTAAGAAACTGAAAAGAGATCTAGTGTACAACACGAGGACTATAGGTAATAAAATTGTACCATATATGGGATTCATGCCAAATGAGTAGATTTTAGCTGCTATTGCCACAAAAAAACAAAAATTGGATAACTATGTCAGATGATGGATACTTTAATTTGCTTCACTATAGTAACCTTTTTACTATATGTATGTATTCTGTAACATCATGATATATTATACCTTGAATGTACATGGTAAAATTTATTTTTTAAAAAAGAAGAAAATAGCAACAATGATAAAGCAATGGGGAAAATAGCTGATCAATAATATCATTAGTATTTTCAACAGCGGTACAGCAGAAAACCCGGAAACTATATTATTATTTTAAAGGAATTTATAATAAGTGAATAAATACATTACTTTCATTTATCTAGAAAAAGGAAAAAGGCCGGGCACAGTGGCTCATGCCTGCAATCCTAGCACTTCAGGAGGCTGAGGTGGACGGATCACTTGAGGTCAGGAGTTCGAGACCAGCCTGGTCAACATGATGAAACCCCTGTCTCTAATAAAAATACAAAAATTAGCCAGATGTGGTGGTGCGTGCCTGTAGTCCCAGCTACTCAGGAGGCCGAGGCAGGAGAATCGCTTGAACCCGGGAGGTGGAGGTTGCAATGAGCCAAGATCGCACCATTGCACTTCAGCCTGGGGGACAAGAGCAAAACTCTGTCTCAAAAAAAAAAAAAAAAAAAGAAAAAAGAAAAAAGAAAAAAAGAAGCTGGAAAGGTAGTGTACTTAATGGTGTCTCAGACGGGAGAATGACACGTAGAGCTTGGGGGTGATGGTGCTTGGTCGCTTAGCTTATAGCAAAAGAATGTCCTAAGTTAAAAGCAGGGAAATGAAAGGCTGGGACACAGAGATATCTGAGGAAGCCCCGACCATCTGATGATCTCTGATTTACCAAAGTCAGGATTTTGCCCTTTTCTGTCTTATTTATTTTTGTCTGCAGTTTAACTGGAGAATGATGATAGTTTGCATGGATGTACTGTGGCCTAAAAGCATGAATACAGGCTGTTCTGGAAACAGTGTTTCTATATAAATATAAATGACAGTGATACCCCACCTATCCCAATGTCAAACTTCAGCCTACTTTACTTACCTTCACTTACCACTCATATGTCCCAAACCCAGAATTAAGTAAAAAGGGTCTCTGAACGCTTGAAATTGTTGACACAAATCCAATGAACCCTACTCACAGGACAGGCCTTAGGCCTCTTACTCAAAGACCCATGAACCAGTATCAGTAAAACCTTCTCTCACGCAAGGTTCACATGAGTTTGCCTGTCTGGCTACCCACCCCACAGCAGATTAGGGAGTGGGAGGTGAAGATGGAAAAGTCAGACATAATGACAGCAATGAAAATTAAAACGTTCTGGCTGGGCACGGTGGCTCACGCCTGTAATCCCAGCACTTTGAGAGGCTGAGGCGGGTGGATCACCTGAGGTCAAGAGTTCGAGACCAGCCCAACCAACATGGTGGAACCCCATTCTCTACTAAATACAAAAAAAAATTAGCTTCGCATGGTGGTGCATGCCTGTAATCCCAGCTACCTGGGAGGCTGAGGCAGGAGAGTTACTTGAACCCGAGAGGCAGAGGTTGCAGTGAGCCAAGATTGTGCCATTGCACTGCACCCTGGGCGACAAGAGCAAAACTCTGTCTCAGAAAAAAAAAGAAAAGAAAAGAAAATTAAAAGACAGAACTATAAAAATGAGATAAAAACTGAAATACTAATACTCAGCGATCTGGAGCTGTGGAGTGTAGGGAAGAGAGTTCTTGCCTTGTCAGAAGTGCCTGAGGGGATGTTTAGACTGATGAGCCTGCAAGGCCAAGAGAGTTTCAAGTTATAAGGTGTATACTCTTAAGAAGTAAAGGGGACCAGGCGCGTGGCTCATGCCTCTAATCCCAGCACTTTGGGAGGCCGAGGCAGGTGGATCATGAGGTCAGGAGTTCAAGAGCAGCCTGGCCAATATGGTGAAACCCTGTCCCTACTAAAAATACAAAAATTAGCTGGGCGTGGTGGCACACACCCGTAGTCCCAGCTACTCAGGAGGCTGAGGCAGAAGAATTGCTTGAACCCGGGATGCAGAGGTTGCAGTGAGCCGAGATCGTGCCACTGCACTCCAGCCTGGGCAACAGAGCGAGACTCCATCTGAAAAAAATAAGAAGAAGTAAAGGGAGCAAATGGCACATTTTAAAAACTTCCAGCCAAAATGGTTAAAGTAATTTTTAAAGGCATTTTAGCTTTCAAAGGAATAAGCTTCAGTGATCTGGAAAATCCATTTAAGCAATGCTTATAGTATGAATGAGGATATTGGGTCTTAGGAATAGGAGGATGAGAGAGCATGAAGAAAGAGAAAGCTTAGTTAGGAGAAGAGCACTGGGCCATAAAAATAGATAAGGAAGAAAGGAAGAAGCACATCTCAAAGGAAGAGAGTGGTGAGGGGGTTGGGGGGTGATGGATTTCTCTTGGTAGCATCACACACGAAGGTTGCCTGCTCAGATTACAGGAGGTGCATAACTATGACCTAAGCAATCACTTGATTGCTTCGGGAAATGGTAGAATTTCTGTGATGGTCTTTGTTTCTCACTGTAATGCTTTGTACTAATCAATTTGTCAACAACTGATTGAATCCCAATTATATGTCATACCTGACTCTGGTTCACTGATAGAAGCTACAATTGAGTCACATCAGTGTAACCACAGGCTCCTAATCTTTTGTTTAGAAGTAGTTAGTGGCCGTGCTTTCACTTACTTTTATTTTATTATTGTTTTTAAGAGCAATAGATCTTGAATTGTGGGGAATAGTTTGGCAAACTACATCCTGTTGGAGATTTTTGGAGCTATAAGTGACCAAAGTTTATGTTATACTATGACTAACTGATTCTCTCCATCACTCACAAGAGTAAGTAGGAAAACCTCAGGCTTTGAATTAAGACAAAATTTTAATTCATCTCAATTGGTGGTTTGCTAGACACTTTCTTCCTCATCAGTTCTTTTATACAGCATAGCATGAATAGGCTCCAAGGCTGGGGCTGGCCCAAAGCCAACTAAGGGCACAGCCTGAGAGACTGTTCTAATGTAGGGTCACTGAGAGGCCTCACCATATTACTCTTTTCATCCAAGTGGTTGGTTTGGTTCAAGACTTCTATCATTATAACTCACCATATGCAAAAGTGAATCTGTCTACTAATGCATTCATTCAGTAAACTTTTATCTGGTCCCTGTAATGTTCAAGGTATCATATAAACACTAAAGGACCATACAAAGTTGATTTAACATATATTTATGAAACACCTATTATGAATGAGGCACTCTACTAAGGGTTGGCAATACAGTATGACTAAAACACAGTTGTTGGCCCCAAAGACATCACAGTTTAGTGGGGAAGGTTGGCTGATAAAAAGACAAGATAGTTCAGGGTTGGACATGTTATGATTGGGATCAGCATGGAGTCCTAAAAGAACCCACTGGCAGAGCACCTAACCTTATGGAAGACTTCCTGGAAGAGAAGACATTTCTGACGATCTCTTCAAAGAATTTTAGTAATTTAGTAAGTGCCTAAATCATGAAGGGAAGTTTTGGAGGATCATGAAAGATTTTATTCTCAGACACTTTTTGTGGTGCCCTACAATAAATGATGGGATTTGTAGCAATTATTGTTCTTCATTGATTGTTTTGAGATTTTGGTTTCTTTAATATTTGGTTGTCCTTAAAAATTGTATCAGCTAGCACCTTAATACTAAGGGAAACATTTTCAGCTCAGAATCGCATCTGGGTTTGAAAAGGACTCTTCCCCACTGGGTACCATACTCTTAACAACAGACCTTTGCTAAAAGGGCATCTCAACTTTACATGGCTTCAAATATAATCTTATCATCAAGTGAAGTAATTTACATATCATTAGTTAGGTCATATTTTTAGATTTTATTTTCTGAAAAGATTAATTTTAATCAGCCCTGTTGCTTAATTAGAGTGACCAGTTTGAAATACTTCTTTCAGAGCCTCAGCTTTAGTAAAATTACAAGACATTTTTCCCTCATTGAATAGAAAGCTAGAAATTTTAGATCAATATCACCAAATTAGTTTGTTAAATTGATGCCATGAGTGGTGACCTCCTATCGCTGAAAAAGAGATGCATGTGAACAGAGAGATGCTAATGAACTCTTAACCCTGTGGGTACCATCCTGATGCTATCCAGTGGAAGCCCTACTGCCTTGTTTTCCTTTTTTTTCTCTCTTCCCCACCATCCTCCACCCACTACACCCATAATTTTCCAGCTGTCAAGGTAGTCAAACATTTTCTTTATTTTCTATCACTGAAATGCTTCACACTGCCACAGTGGCCAATTTTATTTTCCTTTTGAGGTGAAGGTAGTATGTTACAATCAGAACAGACCTCTGAAATAGGGTTTGCAGAAGAAGAAAATTAACGTGG
Source organism: Homo sapiens (assembly GCF_000001405.40). Classification (NCBI taxonomy): domain Eukaryota; kingdom Metazoa; phylum Chordata; class Mammalia; order Primates; family Hominidae; genus Homo; species Homo sapiens. The sequence continues at coordinate 18,769,828 of NC_000023.11, forward strand.
AGTTGACCAGAGCTTATTGTTTGATGTGCCTTCAGGAAATGTCCAAATTCACTGGGATAATTTCCAGATGTCTGTTGTAAAATGCTTCCATAGGAAATAGGCGAGACTGTGGGAAACATCTGGTTTTTGTCTCTGTTTAAGTTAATTAATTATGGTCTGCTATTTTTCCCCCTACAGGTCATCTGAGTGCAGTTCAGAGTTGTAGCTACTCTGGACTTTCTGTATCTGTCAACTTAATCACCATGTCATAGACGGTTTGTTGCATATTAGCTGCAGAATGAGCCAGAGGGTTTCGTTTACTGGAACTGGGTGAAGCATGTTTTATGGCATGAGGTTTTGCTTCTTTGAAGGAAACCTGGAGAAATGTCAGTAGCCGGAATCCTAAATATCCTAGACACTCACACCCCAGTAGACTAGTTCCTCATCATCCTGTGTGCTTTTTAGTTCCCTTATTACTCTAAGACTAAAGTGGATTCAAACCCAAACTATATAAAGTAATACGACTAATCCTGGAACAACAGGGCAGTTCTTACACATCCAAATGAGTCTTGCCCTCTTTGATGCGGTTGTCTTGAGGGGCTTAACACTGAAAGGAGTTCAGTATACATTCAGGACTCCTTTTAGAATCACTTTCAGAGATAGTGACATACTCTCTTGAATGAGCTTTATTATCACAAGTCTTAATCTCTTGAAGACATGTGAGATTCTTGAAGAAAATCTTGAAGATTTTCTGAAAAGGTTAAGGCTTATTGAGTGTCAAGTGTGTTGCATAAGGTGGATGGATTAGTTGACCATTACTATTTGGGGCTTAAAATGAGGTTTAACTGAAGACATTCATTACTCTTTGCTCATAGTAGAGGTGAAATAAGACATCACAGAGGTAGCAAAGAATTTACCCACAACAAATTCTGGTTTAATTCGAGATAAGAAGTTTTAATACAAGAAAATCTGTCATCGCAATAGAAAGTGTGTTTACCATTCAAACATAATAAATATAATTTTAGACTATTGGATGCTTTCCTCAAATTTTGAAATTAAGGTTATACTGGTTTCATAAAATGAGTTGGAGAGATTTTCATCTTTTTCTCTTACTTATAATAATTTGAATCCCTGGGTTGCAAACTCAAACTTGGCTATACACTGCAGTCACCCAGGTGATTCTAATGTGCAGTCAAGGTTGGGCACCATGGGTTTAAGTCACATTAAAACTATTTGCTCATGAAAATTAAAATAGAGTTCTGCTAGAAAGCCACATGGGGCCAGTGCACTGTTCATGTTTTCCTCTTCTTTTGAATCAGTTTTGCTAGGAAATGGATGATTTTCAAGGAAATCATAAAATTGGTTCAAAGAAAGAACCAATAAAATTTGGGTTTATATAAACCCAAATTATCCTTTTTATTTCTTTTCTATTTCCTTAGTTTCAGCTCTTCTCCTTATTTGATGGGTTTTATTGTTTTTCTAATTTCCTAAGATGAATGCCATCTTTCGTGAACATCTTTAATAATGAAGGCATTTAAGGCTACACATCTTTTCTGATTTTAGTGTTAACTAGGCCTTCTATTGCACTTGTAATTTTGCTTTTAATTTTCTCTTTGATATAATACTTATTAAGATGATAATTTTTAATTTCCAAGAATCTTAATTCAAGGAGCCAGACTTTTTTTCTAATCACATTTTTATGAGACTGTATCCTGTGACATTTTTCTTATTTTGAATTTCTTAAGAGTTCTTTGAAGTCAAGTACGAGACTGATTCTCATAAAAGTTCCGTGGACATATAAAAAATTAATTACAGTGTTGAGCCTTGAGCAATGCTGGGGTTAGGGGTACCAATTCCCCATACAGTTGAAAATCCACATATAATTTTGACTCCCCCAAAACTTAACAACTAATAGCCTACTGTTGACTGGAAGCCTTAGCAATAACATAAACAGTTGATGAGCACATATTTTGTATGTTATATAATTATAAGCTAGAGAAAAAAATATATTATTAAGAAAATCTTAGGCCAGGTGTAGTAGCTCATGCCTGTAATCCTAGCACCTTGGGAGGTTGAGGTGGGTGGATCACTTGAGGCCAGGAGATCGAGACCAGCCTGGCCAACATGGCGAAACCCCGTTTCTACTAAAAGTACAAAAATTAGCCAGGCCTGGTGGCACAGGCCTGTAATCCCAGCTACACTACAGAGGCTGAGGCAGGGATTCGCTTGAGAATCTACAGATAATCTACAGAGAATCGCTTGAGCCTGGGAGGCAGAGGTTGCAGTGAGCCGAGATTGCATCACTGCACTCCAATGTAGGCGACAGGGCAAGACTCTCTCTCTCAAATATATATATTAAAGAAGAGAAAATATATTTACTACTCAACTCATTAAGTGGAAGTGGATCATCACCAAGGTTTTTATCTTCATGTTGAGTAGGCTGAGGAGGAGGAAGAGGCGGGATTGGTCTTGCTGTCTAGGGGTGGCAGAGGGAGAAGAGCCACATATAAGTGGACCCATGCAGTTCAAAGCTGTGTTGTTTAAGGGTCAGCTGTATTCTCTTATTTGTAATACACAAAGTTCTTCATATATTAAATCAAGTTTATTGGTTGTATATTCAATTTTCCCATATTTTTTCTATTATATATGTTAATCATTTTTTTTGTTGCGTCTCTGCCAGGGTTTGGTATCAGGATGATGCTGGCCTCATAAAATGAGTTAGGGAGGATTCCCTCTTTTTCTATTGATTGGAATAGTTTCAGAAGGAATGGTACCAGCTCCTCTTTGTACCTCTGGTAGAATTTGGCTGTGAATGTTGCTGTGCAACAAATTACCTCAATACTTAATGACTTAACACTATAAACATTTAGTATCTCACAGTTTCTGTGGGTCAGAAATTTGGGTCAAGCTTAGCTGGATGGATTCTGGCTCAGGATCTCTCATGAGGTAGCAGTCAAACTATTGGCCAGGGCTGCAGTCATCTGAAAAGTTGATTGGGGCTGAGGGACCCATTTCCAAGATGGTTCATTCATGTGGCTGTAGACACAGCATTTCAATTCCTCACTGACTGTTGGCAGAACAGCCACATGGGCTTCTCCACAAGGCTGCCTGATTCTTCTTGTGACAGAGCAGCTGGCTTTCCCCAAAGTGAGTGATCCAAGAAAGAAAGCATGCAGGAAGCTGCAGTGTCTTTTATGACTTAGTCTCCAAAGTTGTACATCATCACTTTTGCTTTTTTTTCTCTTCATGAGAAGCAAGTCAGTAAGTCTTGCTTCTGCTCAAGGGGAGGCAAATTAGGCTTCACCTTGTAAACAGAGTGCCAAAGAATTTATGGACATTATTTTAAAGCAGTAATTCAATCTGAATAACACACTGTGTATTTTTAAACAATTTCTTCTTGCATTTAGTAGTTAAATGTATGAAGCAAAAATGTGTTCTTTTATTGACTATAAGTTCATGAGTTGTATTTTTTTCATAAAGTGCCTTTTATTATGACATAATGTTGCTTTGTGATCCTGTTTAGTACTTTAATCTTAAACTCTACTTTGCCCGGTATTAATATTTCCATTCTTGCTTTCTTTTTGTTGCATCTACCTCATATTCAACCTTCTCTTACCTTCTTTTTAATGTATATTTCTCATGAACACTATATATCTGGGTTTTGTATTTTAACACAGCCTGGTAATCTTGGTATTTTAATGAGAGAATTTAATCCATTCACACTTAGTATAACAACAGATATATTTGAAATTTTTTCTTCTACTTTGCTATTTCACTTTGTTTCACCCTTTTCCTTTTCTTTTTGCTGTTTTGGTAAAGTTTTATTTTTTATTGTTTTATTTGGAATTTTTACTCTGCTTTTCCATTCACTAGTGGTTACCTTCCCACTTCTGACATTTCTGGTAAATAATGTATATGTGTGTATTTCTCAAATAGCTATAACTTTATTCTTCCACTGCAGTCCTCTCTCTCTCTCTCAATAAGATAACTGTTTACACACTCCATGTCTCCCATTCAGTTAAGATTTCTAGAGCATTTTATTTTTCTCTTCTCACCTCCCCTGTAAATCCTAGCTATTGCTCATACCATAGTTTTAGTTCCTGACCATTATTAGGTTTTCCTTCCTAGCATGTCTCTTCTACTTCTGGAATCTTTGCTTAATACTTAAATGCAAGTTTCATATTGTCATATTGATTTATATATAATTATATATTTCATGATTCATTGTTCACATCTGTATTCTCTCCTCTTGATCTTTCCCTGACTTGAGGACTTTTATTTTTTATTTTTATTTTTTTTTGAGACGGAGTTTCACTCTTGTTGCCCAGGCTGGAGTGCAATGGCATGATCTTGGCTTACTGCAACCTCCACCTCCCGGGTTCAAGCGATTCTCCTGCCTCAGCCTCCTAAGTAGCTGGGATTACAGGCATGCGCCACCACACCTGGCTAATTTTGTATTTTTAGTAGAAACAGGGTTTCTCCATGTTGGTCAGGCTGGTCTCGAACTCCCAACCTCAGGTGATCCGCCCACCTCGGCCTCCCAAAGTGCTGGGATTATAGGTGTGGGCCACGGCGCCCGGCCAGGGACTTTTAAATGTTAGTATGGTTATTTAGTTACAGTGTTTTGTTGAGTGTTTTCCTCAGTGGGGCATGTGGATGCTATCTTCTCTGAATGCAGGCTCCTCGAATACAGGGACTTTGTATTGTTTACTTCTGTGTTCCTAGCACCTAAAACTGTGCCTGGTACATAACAAGCAATTGATACATGTTTGCTGTTTTTGTGATGTTAAATACTACACATTTGCATGTCTGTCTTTCACCCTGAGCATTTATGTTGTTGGTGATAGTTGATCTCTTTACACATCTGCAAGTACTTTTCTATCACCCTGAGAACTTAATGTCTTGGCCACTGTAGAAATCTTGGTTCAAAGTCCTTTTTCCTCTTTAATTTGTAAATTTTATTCTACCGTCTCCTACCTCCCACTACTATAGATGAGAAGTCTGATGCTAGGCTGATTCTTTTCCTTTTGTAACTTGTTCTTTCTCTCTGGCCTCGTCTAATCTTTTTACCAGGTGGTAGGGATTTTGTCCCCATCAATTGTGTGTAGAAGTCGTGTTTCAAGCTTCAAATTGAAGTCTTTTTTTTAACCATAGAAAATGTTCTCTCATATTTTTGTAATTATTGCCTCTTCATCTGTTCCTTTTTCCTGATTTTGAAATGCTTATTATTGGCATATTAAGTCTCTTGGCTTTGAATGCTAGTCTCTTATTTATTCTTCCTGATTTTCATCATTTTGATTTTACTCAAAATGATGAGAGTAAGAGATTTTTCATCTGCTTGCTCTTTCAGGCCAATAATGTATTTTCCCAACCATTCTTTCTTCTAGTTACCTTTAACCCATTGCTTTTTTTTTTTTTTTTTTTTTTTTGAGACAGAGTCTCACTGTGTTGCCCAGGCTGGAGTGCCCTGGCACAATCTCAGCTCACTGCAACCTCTGCCTCCCAGGTTCAAGTGATTCTCCTGCCTCAGCTTCACCCTCCCGAGTAGCTGGGATTACAGGTGCGTGCCACCACGCCTGGCTAATTTTTTGTACTTTCAGTAGAGATGGGGTTTCACCATGTTGGCCAGGCTGGTCTTGAACTCCTGACCTCAAGTGATCCACCCACCTCAGCCTCCTGAAGTGTTGGGATTACAGGCATGAGCCACTGTGCCCGGCCAACCCATTGATATTTTAAGTTTGAATAGTATATTCTTAATGCCAAGAATTAATAAGTTTTTGTTCTTTCTTGTATGTTCTTCTTATTACTTTAAAAACAAACTAGTTCTCTGTTTCCTCCAGCAGTCCTGTTTTATTGGGGACCATCTGCTTTAGTAGATCTGATTGGTCTGTCTCTCTCTAGTTGCCGGATCCTCTTAGGTACTAGCTTATTTCCATTTTCTATTTTCTGCTTAAGCTAGGTTAAGCCTTTCCATAGTTGGAGGCACAACAGTTTCTACTCCTGCATCGAGTGTGAAAAAGAAGTCTCTGTGTTTCTAGGTACCCCTAAATGCAAGTGATCTGTTCTTTTCGTTTCAAGGATGTGGAAGACATCTTCCTACACTTTTTCTAGTAGGATCCAACATTTCAGCTCCCCCTGCCTCCAAACCAAGATCACACACATGCTGAGGCAGAGCCACCCCCTTAATCAAGTGTCCACCATCCCCTCAGGCCTAGTTCTTCCATGTTTTCACCCCAGGGCTCCCTGCCGCTGCTCCTCTAGCCCCCTTCAGACCTGGACATCCCAACAGAGTCTATAGCCTTCAACAGTCCTCAGGTTCCTCTAGCTTACTCACCCTAGACAGCTGAAGGCTGGTGGAAGAGTAACAGAGATCAGAGATGCAGAATCCTTCCCCCTTTCTTTGTGGTTGGTTGGTTGGTTGGTTGGTTGGTTGGTTGGTTTGTTTTAGACAGGGTCTCACTGTGTCACCCAGGCTGGAATACAGCAGTGTGATCTCAGCTCCACTGAGCCTCGACCTCCCAGGCCTCAGACAATCCTCCCACCTCAGCCTCCTGAGTAGCTGGGACTACAGGTGTGCACCATCACACCTGGCTGATTTTTTTGTACTTTTTGTAGAGAAGGGGTTTCGCCATGTTTCCAAATCTGATCTTGAACTCCTGGGCTCAAGCGATCCGTCCACCTCGGCTTCCCAAAGTGTTAGGATTACTGTTGTGAGCCATCGTGCCCAGACTTCTTTACGTTTTGATGAACGATAGCCTGTATTTTTGCAACTGGTTTACACTAAGCCCAGTGTGAATAAGCTTATATGAATTAATACATAAGAAAATATTGGGGCCATGCACAGTGGCTCATGCCTGTAATCACAACACTTTGGGAGGCTGAGGTAGGCGGATCACCTGAGGTTGGGAGTTCAAGACCAGCCTGACCAACATGATGAAACCACATCTCTACTTAAAATACAAAATTAGCCAGGCGTGGTGGCAGGTGCCTGTAATCCCAGCTACTCGGGAGGCTGAAGCAGGAGGATCACTTGAACCTGGGAGGCGGAGGTTGCGGTGAGCTGAGATCGCGCCATTGCACTCCAGCCTGGGCAACAAGAGCGAAACTCCATCTCAAAAAAAGAAAAAGAAAATATTGGAATCTTAGAATTAGAAATAACATGGTCATAATAAAATGAGTCTCTTAATTTGTATGTTGCTTTACCATTTTAATGCAATTTTATATACATGGTCTCATTTGAGTTCCAAAATAGCCGTGTGTGGTAAGTATGGAAGATATCATCCTCACTTGACAGATGAGAAAACTACAGCTCATAAAGGTTACATAACTTGCCCAAGGACACATGGGTAATGAATGGACCTGGACCAGAGAATTCACCTTCTTATCACACTATGCCATTGCTTGTTTATTTGTTTGTTTGAAATTGCCTTCAGAACATGTTACATTGTATAAATGTTTTCTAGAATCCCTAAATTATATGCTGTAACCTGTATTAAATTTTTTCAATTATTTCTATTATACTGATATGAGCAATTTAAAATGTATATACATAATAAGATACTGAGTTTAATAAGATTTTTAAATGTAGTCAGAAATCTAACAAAAGAGGAATTTGAAAATCATTTGAAAAAGATTAATATTTCTAGAATATGTGTATTATTTCCTGAAGGTAGCCATTTTGTTTTTCTTTTCTTTTCTTTTTTCTTTTCTTTTCTTTTTTTTTCCTCTTTTGAGACGGAGTCTTGCTGTGTCGCCCAGGCTGGAGTGCAGTGGTGCGATCTCCGCTCACTGCCAGCTCCGGCTCCCGGACTCACTCCATTCTCCTGCCTCAGCCTCCCGAGTAGCTGGGACTGCAGGCGCCTGCCATCACGCCCGGAGAATTTTTTTTTTTGTATATTTAGTGGAGACGGGGTTTCACCGTGTGTTAGCCAGGATGGTCTTTTCTTTCTTTTTTTTTTAGACATAGTCTTTCTCTGTTGCCCAGGCTGGAGTGCAGTGGTGCAATCCTGGTTCATTGCAACCTCTGCCTCCCGGGTTCAAGCAATTCTCCTGCCTCATCACCTGAGTAGCTGGGATTATAGGCGCACACCACCACGCCTGGCTAATTTTTGTATTTTTAGTAGAGATGGGGTTTCGTCACGTTGGCCAGGCTAGTCTCAAACTCCTGAACTCAAGTGATCTGCCCGCCTCATCCTCCCAAGGTGCTGGGATTAAAGGTATGAACCACCATGCCTGGCGAAGGTAACCTTTTTGAAGGAGGACATGCATTTTTATATATGAGTAGTTAAATTTGTCTCTGTGTAATATATTTTTAAAACATTTGAATTTGTCTTATTATGCAGTAGAAGCCATGCAGTAGGGAAATAGCCATCTCCCTATCAAACATGACATCGAGAAAATGTAGGCATGTTACATGTGTTTGTTTTGTCTTAGAGTTTTATAGTATAGTACTAAATGAATTAATAGCTATTTTAAAGACCAGGCCTTTGTTCTGATCTCTGCTGCTTTTCATGCTAACACTGTGTTTAAAAGTATTTTTTCATACTCAAGAGTGATATTAAAAATACTTAAAAACTGATATGGCCCGGTCAGTGATCACTGAGAATATACCCGGGCTCTGCACACCTGGTGTAGTTGCTCGCTGGCAGTACATCCGAGCTGCTCAGTCACATCACATAGCACTCTTCACTTGCCTGAGTACTTTCATTTCCATTCTCCCAGGTGATCTGGGGAGGGATGTAGTGCCATCCCCATTTTGCAAATTGGGGGAATCACAGCCCCAAGGAGCTGACCATAGGGCCCCTTAGAATAAAGGATTTCTGGCTCGTAGTTTGGTGGTCTTCCTTGGGTAGAAGTTTCCCTCTTTTCAGAAGAGAAGGAAGAGGTCAGAATAGCCATGTTTGATAGGACAAATATCAGCTCCTTTCAGAGGAAACTCATAGTAGGTGGTGGGTAGAATTAGCACCGTCCCATCCTCCCTGGAATCTTCCATTCCCAAGCAGATTTGTCACTTTCAGGGCCTTTGCAGGAGATGCCTGCCGTGGAAGAGTAAAACTGGCTCAAGCGAGAGAGCAGATTTTTCCCGGTGGAAGAACCTGACTCAGCCTCTTTTTTCCATATTAACAGGGATGTTATGTACACGGCCTGACTTTAAAAGTATATTCTTTTAATTCCTTGTTTTTTCCCTTCTCCTCCTTCCACAGAATGGTCTCCCCTCAGAGAGGAACCCGTATGTTTTTAATGGTGACTTTGTAGATCGAGGAAAGAATTCCATAGAGATCCTAATGATCCTGTGTGTGAGTTTTCTTGTCTACCCCAATGACCTGCACTTGAACAGAGGGAACCACGAAGATTTTATGATGAATCTGAGGTAACCCAGGCCTTTAGATTTTCTCTTTTAAAAGTTTCGCACTCTGGAAAATGCTGCCATATTTAATTCCTAATAGAGATAGAAGTGAGTGTATTGGAAGAGGGATGAGGGGGATCTCAAGGAGGACTTCAATTCTTACCCCTTTCACCACCCCCATTATTCTGCTGAGTATCAGTTGCCCTGAAACTCCCTTCCTATCTTTTCTTCCAGTTCTGTCCGTTCTTCTCCCTTCTATTATGTTCTTTCTCTTGCTCCCATGCCCGACCTTCACAGGCTAAATTGTGTGTTGGGTAGGTGTGTGAGGCCAGGTTTGGAGGTGTGGCAGGTTCTTCGAACAGATTTGGATGCAGTCGTTCTGTTGCTACTCTTGGCTTGCCTCAGATGTTGTCTCAGAAACTAGTTCCATGTTTTTCACCGATGCGTGTATTGTTTTATGACATGATAATTGCTTCTGGCATTGTTGCTCATAAACATATTTACGAACACAGCATTTCAACTATCTAACTCACCAGAAACTTGAGGAATAAAGATTGGTTAGATGGTTTAAGAATCTTTGCTGGAAGGCACAGTAGGTGACAAATGTTCCCTTTTCCCTTCTTTTTTTCTTCTTCTTTTAAAAAATCTCTTGTTTTATGAAAAACAGAAATCAGTTTGCTCTAGGACAGTGGAAGATATGGCATGTCTCATGCTTTTGGTCCTGGGCTTTTGGGTGCCTTGATCAAAGCTCAGCAACTGATTAGTTTTGTCTTTGGGGCAGTTTTGGCGCCTGGCTTGAGTACAGAGTTTCAATTCTAATTCTCAAGGTATGGAAGCAAATGCTAAAACTATGAAGGAAAAAAATCCCAGGACTATTATCAGAGGCCCATTATATATAATATAGCTTGATACTTTTATTTAGGCATGCTGTTTATCCTTATTGCCTATCGTATTTATCTAGTGTCTATAATGGTTAATGAAGGAGACGTGGCCCCTGCCCTCATAGAGCTTACATCTAGCAGGGAAGATGCGTGTTGAGCAGGTTTTTCAAGTGTGATGAGTTTGTAAAGGGGGAATCCAACCTTGTCTGAGGGATGATGGAAGGTTCCCCCATAGAAATATGGCTTTAGCCTGAGAGCTGAAGAATGAATTAGGCAATCAAGAAAGAGCCATAGAGGGGGATGGGAAACAGTGTTCCACAGTGAGGGGACAACTTATGCAGAGCTCAGGACAAGACTGTTTAGATGTGAAAGAAGTTCAGGAGGACAGGAGCATAGACTGAGGGACAGGGTGGTGCCTGATAGGGCTGGAGACATAAGAAATGATTGGATGGTTCAAAGGAATTTGGACGGACTTCCAAGAACAACACAATGTCACCGAATAATGTCATAAAATTTGTGTTTTAAAATGCAGTAGGAGGAGAGAGTTGGAGAGGGGCAAGAGTGAATACACGCTCGTCAATTAGGAAGTAGTTGAAGGTTAAAGGGATAGATAATGGGTTCTCATTTAGACTAGGGTAGTGGTGATAGAGATGCAAAGAAATAGATTCAAGAGGAGTTTAGGCAATGATGATTTAAGGCTCAGTAACTGGATATGGGAGAGCTGAAAGAGGAGGGAATCGGCCGGGCATGGTAGCTCGCGCCTGTAATCCCAGCACTTTGGGAGGCTGAGGCGGGTGGATCATGAGGTCAGGAGATTGAGACCATCCTGGCTAACACAGTGAAACCCCGTCTCTACTAAAAAATACAAAAAAATTAGCCGGGCATAGTGGCGGGCGCCTGTAGTCCCAGCTACTCGGGAGGCTGAGGCAGGAGAATGGCGTGAACCCGGGAGGCAGAGCTTGCAGTGAGCTGAGATAGCGCCACTGCACTCCAGCCTGGGCGACAGCGCAAGACTCTGTCTCAAAAACAAAAAAAAAGGGTGGGGGGAGGGAATCAAGGATGACCTCCAGATTCCCAGCTTGAGTTTGGGGGTACAGCGGCATCATTCACGATATTGGGAATGTGGAAAGAGGAGAGAGGTTGGGATGAGGGGGAATGATGAATTCAGTTTTGGGTAAGCTGATTTGAGGTACTATTGAGTAGGCAGTTGAGTGTACATACATGTCCAGAGATCAGAAATGAAGTGTGGCCTGGAACATCATCCTGTGGTATTAACACTAGATAAAAACTGAAAGCCCGGGCAGGGATGAGATTCCCAAAGGAGAAAGTGAGGGGAGAAGAGAGCCTAGGATGTAATCTGAAGGAACTACCACATTTAAGGTGAGGTAGAGGAGAGCTTGCAAAAGAGGCTCAGAAGAGCCAGGAGGAAAACCAAGAGAGTTTATGGTCACAGAATCCAAGGAAAGAAAAGTTTTCTAGAAGGATGGTAGAGTCAGCTGTATTTAGTGTTTCAGAGAGGGCGAGGAAGGTGAGGACTGCAAGGCATCTGTTGGATTAAATAGTATGGACACCTTTGGTGAGTACAGGATGGAATTCATCTCAGAAAACAGAACGTTACACTGTAGAAGCCTGATGTGACATGATTTCCATGGAAAGCCAGAGTGAGTGTATTGCATTTCATCTTCACAGTGTTGGATATTAAGGGCATGTACTGTTATCCTAAAGCAAGGAAAGGTAACAGAAATATTGTCATCATTGAATCTCCCTTCACTACTGCTATTCAGGCATTAAGGTTCCTGACACTTTCTATTAAAACCCTCAATACCATTATGGGACCTGTATCAGAGAGAGCATAACAAGCCAACTTGTTACCTGCTAGGTAACAAGTTGTTCAGTCTTTTCTTTGTTCAGTCTTTTCTTTTTTCCAATCATTTACTGTATAGGATGTCTGAGAAATTCTATCTAAATGAAAAGTCTTCTCTCACACAGCTTCCCCCAGCTACCACAGCATGCTTCTCTGCATACTTGTAGCGTTTACAAAACCTGTGCCTACCACATATTTCTTAAGTTGTCTTATAATTGTTTCATAGAAATCTATCTTCTTTCCCCAGCTATACTATAAGCTCCTTGAGGGTAGGGATGATGTCGTTGGTTGCTTTTATGCTTTCCAATCATGCCTAGCAAGGACTCAGGTAAGTAACACTTCCAACTGAACTCTGGTTTCTTGAGTTCTTGTGATAGATACTGAGATGCCAAGGGCTTCCCTTTTTGCATGACTCATGGAAGTAGGCGTTATCAACAATCAAATCATTTAAATCCCATTTTTTTTTAGGTATGGCTTCACGAAAGAAATTTTGCATAAATATAAGGTAAGACATGCTTTTTTTTTTTTTTTTAGTATTCACTTTGCTGTTTCTATAGAGAAATTTAAAAAGAGCCAAGAAAGACCAGATTGATGCTTTAGGAAAGGTAATAGGCCAACTAGTCAGAATGCATGCCAATAAAATACAAGCACAGCAGGAAGCCCTGGCCACAGTAGAGTCTTATATTTTCTTTCTGGATTAAACCACACTTTTTCATTGTGAGTTTTGTGTAAGTTTTAGCATAGATACATATTTCATTGCTTCAAAGGTACCAAGGATTTGTTTTACTTAGGTGTGGTAAAATATGCAGACACAGAAATGACTGTCATGAAGGAAGAGATTTTTATTTACAATTCTCTAGAAAATGGAGGCACTGCAAGCCACTCTGGGAGACCGCGTGGGGAAGCACCAGAGTTGGTCAGAAGGCAGAGGGAGGCTGAGCACGGTGGCTCACACCTGTAATCCCAGCACTTTGGGAGGCTGAGGCCGGTGGATCACTTGAGGTCAGGAGTTCGAGACCAGCCTGACCAACGTGGTGAAACCCTGTCTCTACTAAAAATATAAAAATTAGCTGGGCGTGGTGGCATGCTCCTGTAATCCCAGCTACTCGGGAGGCTGAGGCAGGAGAATACTTGAACCCAGGAGGCGGAGGTTGCAGTGAGCCGAGGTCGTGCCACTGCACTCCAGCCTGGGCAACAGAGTGAGACTCCATCTCAAAAAAAAAAAAAAAAAAGAAGGCAGAGGGAGGGTGGAGGGAAGCATCTGAGTGTAATCTGGTTTAGGACTGACCAATTTGAGTAATTTCAGACTGCTCTGGGCCACAGAGGTTGTCCCTAGTTGTCTGGTAACTGGCCCCGGGATGAGGAGTGTGAGAGCTCCATAAAGAAGGTAGCTGGGGTGTGGGCTCTCGGTTGCTTGGTTTGCATATGAAGGGCGAGTCATTGACTATCTAGGAATTAGCTAGCCCCGGGAGGGACAGTCTCTCCTCCAGAGTCAGCAAGGCCCCAAGATGTCATAGTATCAAAAATACAGAATAAAGGGCCAGGCATAGTGGCTCACATCTGTAATCCTAGCACTTTGGGAGGCCAAGGTGGGCGGATCACCTGAGGTCAGGAGTTCGAGACCAGCCTGGCCAACATGGAGAAACCCCGTCTCTACTGAAAATACAAAAATTAGCCAGTCGTGGTGGCACACGCCTTTAGTCCCAGCTACTTGGGAGGCTGAGGCAGGAGAATCGCTTGAACCTGGGAGGCAGAGGTTGCAGTGAGCCAAGGTGGCGCCACTGCACTCCAATGCGCAACAGAGCGAGACTCCATCTCAAAAAAAAAACAAAAACAAAAACAGAATAAAAAGACATGATGAATACATGCTAATTGGTTAGTGACTCCTTGCTGACTTCCTTTGAGTGGCCTGAAAATCATTACTTTTTGTCCATACTTGGGGACTATTCAATAAACTGAACCTGTCAGAAAAACAAAACTTACTCAAGCTCTTACTTACAGCTACATGGAAAAAGAATCTTACAAATCTTGGAAGAATTCTATGCCTGGCTCCCAATCGGTACAATCGTTGACAATGAAATCCTGGTCATCCATGGTGGGATATCAGAGACCACAGACTTGAATTTACTCCACCGTGTAGAGAGGAACAAGGTAAGAAGTAATGTTGGCATGAATCTTCTCTCAGGGATTTAGAAGGGAATACATACCTCTTCATTTATTATTTTGAATTGATTTGTGTTTTAGTGGTTGTAACTCTAAAAAGATTATAGATTTTATTAGAGTATATAAAAGTATAAATTTTAAGAAAAATCTATGACTGCATGATAAAGAACTAAGTGGGTAACTTCTATATATGGAAAAAAATTTTAAATTCATGTTGAGGGTGGAAAAATGAGGAAATGTTGGCATTTTATGTAGTTTCTAAAAGTGAAAAATCCTGATTTTTAAAATTAAAACCTCAATTCATTCATTTATATTGTGGTAAAATATACATAACATAAAACTTGCCACTGTAACCATTTTTAAGTGTATAGTTCAGAGGTATTAAGTATATTCACATTGTTGTGCAACCATCACCATCACTACCATCTATTTACAGAATTTTCCATCATCCCAGACCGAAACTCTGGACCCATTAAACACTAACTCCCCATTCTCCCCTGTCCCAGCCCCTGGCAACCACCAACCACCATTCTACCTTCTGTCTACGAATTTCACCACTCTAGGTACCTTATATAAGTGGAGTCACTTATATAAGTGCAGTTTATTTCTGAATTGATACGATTTCCCACATAATACACATCAAATAACTTAGGATACTTTTTTTGGAAATATTTTTTTGAAATGTTTAAATAATCATGTTAAATACAAGCAGAGCAGGAGCTAGTATGGAACCTCTGAGACAAGTGGCTATGTGGTGACTGTGAAGATCTCACGCCTAGTGAAGGGTTCCTTGGACGGGTCTTGCAGGGTCATTGGAGTTGTCTTCCTCCTCTACTCAAGCCAAGAGGAAGCCCTCAGGCTAGAGGTGTAGGGGCGCCACATGGGTTGAAGACCAGTAACAGCAGTGGAGCCAGATGATGCTATATGGTCCTAGTGGGAAACCTGAACTGTTACCCCTCAGGACTGATCATCAACTTCCAACCAACCTGGACAGGTGGGGTCTAGAGCTGGAATTTAATCTGATAGAGACAGAAATGTGACCCCAGTGGCACCTTGACTTCTTGGACCCTTTATACACATGTGAATGAGAATGTCGTTGCTGGTATCCTCCCATCTTTTTAATTAAAGTTTAATAAGTCTGACCTCCAGACCAGATGAGATCCCCTTTTGTATACTGTCAAGCCCTTTGTACATATCTTTCATCACAGTTACCGAATTTAAGTAAGAAATTGTGGTACTGTTTGTTTACTATCTTCCTCTGTTTTTCTAGTCCATTGATAAAACCCCAGCACCTGGGATGTAGTAAGTACTTAATAGTCACTGACTATCTCTTGAGGGATTTAAGATCAAAGCAGGGTAAACCTAAGACAAAACTGAATAGAAAGTTTTTTACAGCCCTCTCCTGATTCTGTGGTGATTTTACATACCACCCTTCCCCACCTCACCAACTGATGATGATGCTTCCTGGCTTACACCTGTTGTCCTATTGTAATTATTAATAGCACCTCCTTTTACTCTAAAAAAAAAAAATCCCAGTTGCAGCCAGGCATGGTAGCTCACCCCTGTAATTCCAGCACTTTGGGAGGTTGAGGTGGGCAGATCACTTGGGACCAGGAGTTTGAGACCAGTCTGGTCAACATAGCAAGATGTCATCTCTACAAAAAAGAAAAAATTAGCCAGGTGTGGTGGTGCACACCTGTGGTCCCAGCTACTTGGGAGGCTGAAGCATGAGGATTGCTGGAACCCAGGAGTTTGAGATTGCAGTGAGCTATGATCGCACCACTGCACTCCAGCCTGCATGACAGAGAGAGACCTTGTCTCAAACACAACAAAACCCAGTTGCAATAAAACTTAAGCCCACTCTAAGTTTAAGGTACCTTTCTCATTATATCAGTGAGTAATCAAGCCAATAAGACATTTTGATCAAGATATAATAGTCATTATTAACATAATGAGTGGATTAGATTCTAACCAAGAGCACAAGGGAACATGATGTCTTTGTCAGTCAAATATTGGTGAACACAGGGCATGAATGCCACATTCCATCACCACCTGCCCTATGACTACAGTGCTAATCAGTCATGGCAGCCTCTTCCAATTGACCAGATTGAACACTTTTGCTTTCCTGAGGTTAGCCTGAGCAGCCAGCTCTATCGAGGGCTTTTTGAGATATTGAGAAGATGCCTCTGGGATGTCCCTCACTAGCTCTGTGGAGATCCCAAGTTGAGGGCCACCTTAACATAGTAAAGACTGTGAGGCTCTAAGATTAGACAGACAGAACTAGGTTAACATCCTGCCTCTGCCCCTTCCTGGGTGACTGGGCAACATACTGAGGTTTTCTAATCCTTGGTTTCCACACGTATAAACTGAAGATAAAAATACCTACCATATTGGATTTTTGGGAGGATTAAATGTAATTACCTATATGAAGAAAATGGTGGCCAGGCGCAGTGGCTCACGCCTGTAATCCTAGCACTTTTGGGAGGCTGAGGTGGGCGGATCACTTGAGGGTAGGAATTCAAGACCAGCCTGGCCAAAAAGGTGAAACCCTGTCCTTACTAAAATACAAAAAAATAGCTGGGCATGGTGGTGCACACCTGTAATCCCAGCTACTTGGGAGGCTGAGGCAGGAGGATCACTTGAACCCAGGAGGCAGAGGCTGCAGTGAGCCAAGATCAAGCCACTGCACTCCAGCCTGGGTGACAGTGAAACACTATCTCAAAAAAAAAAAAAAAAAAAAGAAAAGAAAAGAAAATGGCATATACTACTAAACATATAGCTTTCTCCTCCAGTTCTCTCTTCTTTTTTCCTTATACTTGGTTCTGAGGTTTGTGTTTCAGTCACCAATACAGACCCTGGGGAGAGTTTGTGGGCCAGCCATTTTCTCAGGATACCTAAAGTTTCACCCCCTTCAGGGATAACTGTTCTACCTGCTCTTTAGACTGGCTTTAAAGATAGAAATTCAACTTGTATATTGTTTGTGTCTTCTACCCTTCCTTGAGTGAGGTTGAACTGGTAACACATACTTGTTGTATTAAATATCATTGAACTGTAGTGAAAATGATAGGTTCAACCATTTGGAACTCTATCAGATGAGACATAAAAGTAGATTGTTCCAGTCCAGTTTTATAATCCCCACTTTCCCATCCCATAGGACCCTCCAACCCTCTGTGGCAGGAGGGACCATACTTCCTGGTTTACACCTGCGGTCGTAATGGTATCATTGTTAACAGGGGTTGGGAAGGGTTGGGGGAATTTGATGACAACCTCTATTCTAGGTTCATTTAAGGTATTTTGTAAGGTGGGCAGGTTGAGGGGGGTCAATGCAGAGGGATTAAAGAATGAAGGAAGATTTTCTAAAACTAAGATTCTGGTTTATTATTTGTCAAACTCCCCAGCAAGGCATTTGCAGAAAGATGGCTACTAGACTCCCTGGGGGAAAATGGTCGTGTAGTGCCTTAGGGAGAGCTGGGGCAAAGTATCCTGATCCCAAATGGCCTTGAAAACTTCAGAGCCACACATACTTAAGAGACCATGTGGCCTTGCTCAATGAGCTCATCAGAAATGAGTTGTGTACAGCTGGGCACGGTGGCTCATGCCTATAGTCCCAGTACATTGGGAGGCCGAAGTGAGACGATCACTTGAGACCAGAAGTTCGAGACCAGCCTGGGTAACATAGCAAGACCCCATCTTTACAAAAAAAAAAAAAAAGAAAGAAAGAAAAAGGGAAAAAGAAGTGAGTTGTGTGGACCCAAGTCCAGAGGGTCCTCCCAGAATATTCTGCTCTGCCCCTAATGGGAACATTTGCTGGCAGGAGACAGGGCAGGTAGGCTGTGAACTAGCTAGCAATAGCTGAGCTTGAATTTCTACCTAGCTCAATGAGACAGGACCTCAGAATAAGATTCAATTTCATTTTTGAAAAATAAAGGTAAGATTTCCTACACACTCTAGTTTGTAAAAGAAACTAAGTGCTTGGCCGGGTGCAGTGGCTCACGCCTGTAATCCGAGCACTTTGGGAGGCCAAGGCGGGCGGATCACGAGGTCAGGAGATCAAGACCATCCTGGCTAACACGGTGACACCCCGTCTCTTCTAAAAAATAGAAAAAATTAGCCGGGCGTGGTGGCGGGCGCCTGTAGTCAGTGCTGAGGCAGGAGAATGGCGTGAACCCGGGAGGCGGAGCTTGCAGTGAGCCGAGATCGCGCCACTGCACTCCAGCCTGGGGGACAGAGCAAGACTCTGTCTCAAAAAAAAAAAAAAAAAAAAAAAGGAAACTTAAGTGCCTACCACAGAGAATTTGTCTATCACTGAACCACGGCCACCAGTATAACAGAAGTATTGTTTAATATTGTTTTGTTTAAAGACATGGTGCTACAAAGAAACAAGTATAAAATTACAGTCTCTGCTTGTGTAAGGGAACAAGAGGGATTCTAGTAATTGATGCCCTATCAGAAAGACGTTTTGTTTTCCAAAGAAACGCAGCAGTTTTGTTGCCAAGATTAGAGAACATCGTCAATGGCTGGCAGAGTCAGGCTGAGAACCACAATGCATTTAGGTTGGAAGGGCTTCTGAAGTTTTCAACCTATGTCCCCTTTAAGAACTTTCTTGGACACAGATGTACCTTTTCTCTTTTCTTCTGGAAAGCATAACAAAATGCACAGCAGCCACTCTATTAAGAGGTGTTTCTGAACTCCTGAAGATCCTATGGCTAGATAAAGGCTCAATAAGGAGACTCGTTGCCCCTACCTTGGTATCTTCCATTTTCTGTGTGGATGCCACAGAATGTGTTTAACACCTATAGAGAAACTCCAGTGAAACACAGAAACTCTTTCTTTATAGGCAATGTCTGTAATTGGAAAATGTACCAACAATGTAACAGACCCACTTTACAGACATCAGTGGATGAGTGAGATATAGGAGGTGGACGAGATGCAAAAAGTGACCGTGTGTTTTTCATTGGGTTGTGGCACCACAACATAGAAAGAATCCCACCTGGGACTGAAGTCTCTGTATGTGGCAGAATAAGCAGAGGGTTGGACTAAAGCATGAATTTGTTTTATAGATGAAATCTGTGCTGATACCACCAACGGAAACAAACAGAGACCATGACACTGACTCGAAGCACAATAAAGTAGGTGTGACTTTTAATGCACATGGAAGAATCAAAACAAATGGATCTCCTACTGAACACTTAACAGAGCATGAATGGGAACAGGTAGGTAATCAGGGTGTTCACTGCAGTGGCAACAATGACACTAGCGTGCATGTTGTCCCTTACAATATATAGATAAAAAGTGACTTTACCTTTACGAGGAGACCACATGATTCTCTTGGAATTCATCACTATATTTTTAACAGCTTTATTGAGATATAATTCACATACCATGTAACTCACCCATTTAAAGTGTATAATTCAATGGTTTTTGGTATATTCACAGTGTTGTACAACTAGCACCACAATCTAATTTTAGAACGTTTTCATCATCTGAAAAAGAAACTACATACCTATTAGCATCATTCCCCATTCCCTTCTGTAGCCACCCTGTGCCACCTAACAGCCTTAGGCAACCATCAATCTACTATCTGTCTTTACAGATTTGCCTATTCTGAACATGTTGTAGAAATGGACACATATGTGATGTTTTGTGTCTGGCTTCTTTCACTCAGCACAATGTTCTGGAGGCTCATCCATGTTGTAGCATGTATCAGTACTGAACATCTATTTGTTGCTGAATAATATTCCATTATATGGATATACACATTGTATTTATTCATTCATAAGCTGATGGACGTTTGGGTTGTTTCCACTTTTTGGCTACTATGAATAATCCTTCTATGAGCCATCACATACAAGTTTTTCTGTGCATGTATGTTTTTATTTCTCTTAAGTGTGTACCTAGGAGTGGAACTGCTGAGTCATAAACTAATTCTAAAAAAGTTTAACATTTTAAGAAAGTCCCAAACTGTTTTCCCAAGTGGCTGCACCATTTTACATTTCCAGTAGCAATGGATGAACGTTCCAATTTCTCCACATCCTCTCTAACACTTGTTATTGTCTATCATTTTGATTATAGCCATCCCAGAGGGCATGAGATGGAATCTCATTGTGGTTTTGATTTGCATTTCCCTAATGACTAATGATGTCAAGCATCTTTTCATGTGTTTATTGGATATTTGTAGATCTTCTTTGGAGAATTGTCTATTCAGATCCTTTGCCCATCTTAAAAACTGAGTTATTTATCTTTTTATTATTGCATTGTAGGAGGTTTTTTGAATATATTCTAAATACAAATCCTTTATCAGGTATATTATTTGCAAATACCCTCTCCCATTCTGTGGGTTGTCTTTTCCCCTTTCTTGATGGTGTCCTTTGCAGTACAGCAGTTTTTAATTTTGGTGATGCCCAGTCAAAATGATATATTTTTTCTCTTTGGTTGCTCGTGTTTTTGGTGTTGTATCTAAGCTATTGCCTAATCCAAAGTCATAAAGATCTATTACTTTGTTTTCTTCTAAGAGTTTTATACATTTAGCTCTTAAATTTAGGTGTCTGATCCATTTTGAGTTAATTTTTGTGTGTGGTGGGAGGTGAGATTCCAAATTCTTTCTGTTTTATGTGGATATTTAGTTATCCCAGCACCAATTTTTTTTTTCTT
Organism: Homo sapiens; assembly: GCF_000001405.40. Taxonomy (NCBI): domain Eukaryota; kingdom Metazoa; phylum Chordata; class Mammalia; order Primates; family Hominidae; genus Homo; species Homo sapiens. Next base: position 18,790,712 of record NC_000023.11, read on the forward strand.
TTTTTTGAGACAGAGTCTCGCTCTGTTACCCAGGCTGGAGTGCAGTGACACGATCTCGGCTCACTGCAACCTTTGCCTCCTGAGTAGTAGCTTGGATTACAGGCATGCATTACCACGCCTGGCTAATTTTTGTATTTTTAGTAGAGATGAGATTTCACCATGTTGACCAGGCTGGTCTCAAACTCCTGACCTTAGGTGATCTGCCCGCCTCGGCCTCCCAAACTGCTGGGATTACAGGTGTGAGCCACTGTGCCCGGCCACCAGCACCATTTCTTAAAAAGACTATACTTTCCTTGTTAAATTTTCTTGACACCCTTATCAAAAAATCAGTTAACCATAATAAAAGGGTTTATTTCTAGACTCTTAATTATATTTCACAATCTCTATGTTTATCCTTATGTCAGTACTGTACAATTTTGATTACTGTAGCTTTGTGGGAAGTTTTAACATTGGGAAGTGTGAGTTCTCCAACTTTCTTCTTCTTTTTCCAGATCGTTTTGGCTATTCTGGGCCCCTTGAATTTCCATATGAATTTTAGGATTGATTTGTCAATATCTACCAAAAAGCAGCTGGGATATTGGTAGGGTTGCCTTGAATCTGTAGGTCAATTTGGGTACTATGGCTGTCTTGAGATGTCTTTCCATTTATTTAGATCTTTAATTTCAACAATGTTTTTTACCTTTCAGTATACACGTCTTGCTCTTGTTTTGTTAAATTTATTCCTAGGTGTTTTTGATGCTATTGTAAATAGAATTGTTTTCTTAATTACATTTTGGATTGTTCATTGCTAGTGTATAGAAATACAACTGACTTTTATATACTGACATTGTGTTGTGAACTTTGATAAACGTATTAGTTCTAATGGTTTTTAGTGGATTTCTTGAGATTTTCCACCTACAAGATTATGTTATCTGTGAATAATTTTACTTCTTCCTTTCCAATCTGTCTGCCTTTTCTTTTCCTTTTTTTTCTTTTTGCTTAATTGCCTTGTCTAGAACCTCCAGTACACTGTTGAATAAAAGTGAAGAGAGTAGATGTCTTTGTCTTGTTCATGATACTGGGGAAAGCATTCAGTCTTTCATCAAGTATGATATTAGCTGTGTATTTGTTTGTAGTGGCCTTTTATTACATTGAGGAAGTTTCTTTCTATGCTTAGTTTATTGAGTGTTTTTATTGTGAAAGAGTGTTGGATTTTGTCAAATGCTTTTTCTGAATACATTGAAATGATGTGTTCTTTCCCTTTATTCTATTAATACAGTATATTATATTGATTGATTTCAGAGATGTTAAACCAACCTGACATTCCTGGGATAAATCCCACTTGGTCATGATGTATAATCCACCTTCTATGTTGCTGGTTTCCATTTGGTAATATTTTTTGAGGATTTTTGCATCTATATTCATAAGAGCTATTGGTCTATGGTTTTCTTATGTTGTGATATCTTTGTCTGGTTTTGGTATAAGTTTGGCCTCATAAGAGGAATTGGAAAGTATTGTCTCCTCTTCTGTGTTTTAGAAAAGTCTGTGAAGGATTGATTTTAATTCTTCAAATGTTTGATAGAATCCATCAGTGAAGCCATCAGGGCCTGGGCTTTTCTTTGCAGGAAGTTTTAAAATTACTAATTTCAATATTTTTCCTTGCTATAGTTGTATTCAAGTTTTTTGTTTCTTCCTGAGTAGTTTGTGTCTTGGTAGTTGTGTCTTTCTTGGAATTTGTTTCATTTCCTGAAACAAATTTATTTCATGAAATTCATTTCATCTAATATATCTAATTTGTTGACCTAAAGTTGTTTGTAGTACTTCTTTATTTTTTTTTCTCCTGAAAGTTTGGTAGTAATATTTCCTTTTTTTTGTTGGTCAGTCTCACTAAGGTTTGTCAATGTTATTGATCTTTTTGAAGAACCAACTTTTAGTTTTATTGATTTTTCTCTATTGTTGTCTATTCTCTATTTCATTTATTTCTGCACTAATTGTTAACAGTGGAGGGTGTCCAGGTTCTTGGCGTCTTGAACAATGAATTGGACAAAACGCACAAACAAAGCAAGGAAGGAATGAAGGGTTTTACTGAAATGAAAGTACACTCCACAGTGTGGGAGTGGCCCCGAGCATACGGGCTGAAAGGCCCTGTTATAGAATTTCTGGGAGTTTCAATACCCCCAGAGGATTCCATTGGTTACTTGGGGTACACCCTATGTAAATGCAGAGTTTGAAGTAAAGTTACAAAGTCATTTACAGCATAAGCCCAATGGAGAGGATATTTCCTGTCATAGCTGAAGTGTGAACTGGCCTTATGTTCCCTGCCTCCAGACCTTATTTTCCTGCCTCATAATCTTTATCATTTCCTTCCTTCTGCTTGTTTTGGGTTTAGTTTGCTCTTCTTTTTTTCAGTTTCCTTAGAAGGTAATATCATTGACTTGAGATCTTTTTTATTTTTTAACAAAGATACAAATTTCCCTTTAAGTACTGCTTTAGCTCCATCCCTTAAGTTTGCTATGTTATTAAACAATTGCTGCTGCCTTAAAAAAAATAGTTTTGCTATGTTGTGCTTTTGTTTTCAATAGTATTGTCTAAATATCCTTGTGATTTCTTTAACTTATCTGTTATTTGGTAGTGTGTTGTTTAATTTCTACATATTTATGAATTCCCCATATTTCTTTCGCTTATTGATTTAAAATTTAATTTGATTGTGGTCAGCGAACACATGCTTTGCCTGATTTAAATTCCTTTAAAACTTTTTTTCTTTTTTTGGTAAATCCTTTTAAAATTTGTTGAGGCTTTTTTTGTGGCCTAGCATATGGTTTATCCCGGAGAATGCTCCATGTGCACTTCAGAAGACTATATATTTCACTCTTATTGGGTGGAGTGTTTTATATATGTCTCTTTGAACATATTTATAATAGTTGCTTTGAAATCTTTGTCTGCTAAGTCGACGTCTAGTCCCTTCAAAAGCAGTTTTTATTGCCTGCTTCCCCCCTCCGCTCCCCCCACCCCCCGCCCGTGTATGAGTCATACTTTTTTCTTTGCATGTCCTGTAATCTTACATTGTAGTAACCCTAGGTAGTTATTCCCATGCCCCTCTGGGGCTTGTTGTTATTTGCTTTTTTGTTTATTTGTTGAGTGACTTGTCTGGACTAGTTTAGTGAAGTCTATTCCCCTTCAGTGTGCAGCCTCTGATGTCACTCTTCACAGAGTGCTGCCTTGGGCATGCATACAGTTTCTCCCACCACCAGGGCTGGTGTGGATTTAATTGGGCTCTCTTTGACTGTCTCTTTCCCTGATCTCTCCTTTAAGCTTCGGACCCATCTGCCTCTATTTGAAGCAGTCCCAGCTGTTAGCCTTCACTAATTGCTAGCCGATTGCTCTATTGTTTTTAACAATAACAATGCCCTGGCCCACAGAGTGCTCTACAGTCTGATCCGATTAAAGTTGGACCCCTTTGCAGGGGCAGGGCTTTAACCATGTTTGAGGCTTACTCCAACCTCCACAAAGGCTCTTTTCTCATCTGTGTCTTTCCCCGATTCAGTCTGTTAAATTTCTTCTAGCTGGGGTACTGTTACTACTAGTATCTCGGCACTACCATCCTCCTCGTAAATGCTTATTCCCAACAATCTCCATTGTTTTCAACAGTGCCTTTAGGCATGAACTTCCTTACACTCTGTGCCAAATAAGGCCAGTCCCTTAGGAAGAGTGGCAGTGCTCTGTTCTTGACCTGCCTCACCCCCTGGGCCAAACCACTGTGCCATCGCACTGCAGCTGGGAGCAGGGACAGTGACCCACTTCTCCTCCAGTGACAGCCCCATTCCACAAGTGGGGTAGTAGGCAGGGATGATAGCTCCTGGTCTTCTTGGCTTGCCCTTCTTGGCATAGCACCTCCTCCTTATGATTGAGCAAGCATGGGGGCAGTTGGGGTCTAGCACCTGCAGGCTGCCATGCCTAGGATAGGGCTTCTGCCCAATGAGCGGGAGAAGTGACCCCAGTCCTCTCTGCTGTGCTTGCCTGGAATCCAGCTTCTGTAACGCAGAGCTGAGGGGAATGAGGGATGCCCATCAGCTTGCTCCTTCTGGGGCAAAACCATAGCCCTCTACTGGGAGCTGGGGGAAGAAGGAGCCCCGTCTTGGATGCATCCACTTGAAGTAGAGCATCCTTCATGCTGATCAGTGAAGGGGGTTAGAGTAGATCATGGCTCAAATGCCACAGACTCTCTCTGTTGGTATCAAAATTTAGTAAGTTTTCTTAAATGTTTCTCCATATGCTGTATGCCATTAGGACAATTTCCAGTGGCTTTAACTATTTTAATTTTTTTTTAAGTGATTTTCCGCTGGGCGTGGTGGCTCACGCCTGTAATCCCAGCACTTTGGGAGGCTGAGGTGGGCGGATTGCTTGAGCCCAGGAGTTGGAGACCAGCCTTGGCAACTTGGCGAAACCCCATATCTATAAAAAGTACAAAAATTAGCTGGGCGTGGTGGTGCATGCCTGTAGTACCAGCTACTTGGGAGGCTGAAGCAGGAGCATGGCTTGAACCTGGGAGGCGGAGGCTGCAGTGAGCTGAGATCGTGCCACTGCACTCCAGCCTGGGCGACAGAGTGGGACCCTGTCTTAAAGAAAAAGATGTTCACCAGTTAAATGGTTGTTTCACTGGGGAGAGGGTCTGCCAAGCCCCTAACACTGCCATTCCTGTCACTATGTTGTCATTTTGAGAACTGTACTGAGTATGTCTATAAACATGGATGTAAAGGCAATAAGCCATGTACTCATCTTTGTGACAGCGTGCATATCCAGAGCTGCCTGTCTGGAGTCTCTGGCAGCTTCTGGCATGGAGTAAGATCTATAAATATTCCTCTCATTCATTCATCCATTCAACAAGAATGTATTGATCACTCCTGAGTACTCTTGCTCATTTGTCTTGGTGAAATTTAGCGTTTTTCTAAATTTCCAGTCCTACATTTTAACTGCTTTCTTGTCAGTTTTTACCCTATATGGCAGGGATGAGTTCTTAAGAACAACAGCTATGTGCATTATCTCATTAAATCCTTAAAGCAACCTGATGACGTAGATAATATTATTCCTATTTCCCGAAAGAGGACACTGAAGCTCACATAAGTTGAATAATTTGCTAAATGATGGGTCTGGTTTTGATTCCAAATTTGTTGGACTCTACGCTTCTCATTTTTGACTGCTAGGTCATACCATGTCTCTCACTGTAGGAAAAGATGTTACAGGACACTGGGTTTTGTTTGTTTGGTTGGTTGGTTTCCTTTTTTTGAGATGGAGTCTCACTCTGTCACCCAGGCTGGAGTGCAGTGGCGCAATCTCAGCTCATTGCAACCTCCACCTCCTGGGTTTAGGCAATTCTCCTGTCTCAGCCTCTGGAGTAGCTGGGATTACAGGCATGTGCCACCACGCCCAGCTAATTTTTGTGTTTTTAGTAGAGACTGAGTTTCACCATATTGGTCAGGCTGGTCTCAAACTCCTGACTTCAGATGATCCACCTGCCTTGGCATCCCAAAGTGCTGGGATTACAGGCATGAGCCACTGTGCCCGGCCCCAGAACTCTGGTTTTCAACTTCTTACATGGGAATGTTATGACCTCTTAGAAAGGACTTTTGAAGACTTTTCTTCAGGTTTCCTGTTCTGAAAGAAATGAAATAAAATTATTGGATATGGACTAACGCTTAATGATAAAAGTGTTCTTCCTGTAGATAGAATCATAACCATAATAAGTAGCTTTCGTTTTCAGATATAAACACACATACATGCATTTGCAATGTCACAAGTACACATAGACACGTGCCCACATGATGTTGGTTACATCTGTAGCTGGGAAACATAATTAAACAATTACCAAACAGTGTTAAATTTCTTACTTCCCTTCAGTAATTGTTAAAGAAACCTCTTTTTCTTGATTTGGGACCCTTATACCTTGATTGCTGAAAATGTTGACTAAAATGTGATTTCTGGTGTAAAATATACCCTAATCAATGAGGAGAGAGAGAAGTGGGGAGACAGACTGAGGGAGAAATGGAATTCATCATTGGCTGTGAGTCCAAAATATTTAAAAATCAAGTAAGCATGAGAGGCATCTCATAGCAAGTAGGAAAGGATGCCTCCTTAAACCTTGACATCCAAATCCCAAAGACTGAAGGTTAGAACAAGCTCTTCTAGGATTATGGTGAATAAAGAAGATAATGTTAAAGAAATTGGAGCTGCACACAAAGAAAATTGTGGCCTCTGGAAGCCTAGAAGAGTTAGAAGAGCCTTAAGAAGTGGGAGGGAGGAGACTGGGGCTCATTATTCCATAACAGAGCCTCCCACTCCCCAAACAATAGAGATACAGCATCTTGCAGACCCCACACACATGATCAGAGCTGACATTGGGTAAAATGGGCCAGAACCTCATTTCTGATGTTTAATCATTTTAGTTGTGCCCCTAATTTTCTTTCCTCAGTTCCTGGTACATAGTGGATAAACACACACATAAGTTATGCTAGAGCCGAAATTTCCAGATAAAAACAGAGCTGACAATTACTTTATTTCTTAATATCTATGAGCTATTTTGTATAAAGATCATATACTCTTTATTTTGTCTTGTAGTCATGGAAATTCATAATTCTTGGCAGAGTGCTATAGTTTAAATTTTCCCTTATGTTCACTGAGATGTGGGGATATATTTAATCGGAGTTAAGTCACTATACAGAGATGAATATGATACTCTTTAAGACAGACTTACAAAGAGACAGAGGCCAGAAAGGTTTCAAAAATAATTTTAATTATTTATAGTCTGAATGACTCCCCTCTCTTTATTCATTCATTTAACAGGTATTTATTGAGCACCTACTATGTGTCAGACACTGTTCTAGACTTCTGGGAAATGTCAATGACCAAATAAAGATCCGTTACCTTGCAGAGCTTACATTTTAGGGGGAGGAGTTAGATGACAAACAATACAGTAATGAGTAAATGATATGATATCTTAAGTGATATGTTCTTTTTTATTATTATTATTATTTTTAGACGGAGTCTCGTTCTGTCGCCCAGGCTGGAGTGCAGTGGCGCAATCTCGGCTCACTGCAAGCTCCGCCTCCCGGGCTCACACCATTCTCCTGCCTCAGCCTCCTAAGTAGCTGGGACTACAGGCACCTGCCACCACGCCCAGCTAATATTTTTGTATTTTTAGTAGAGACGGGGTTTCACCATGTTAGCCAGGATGTCTCGACCTCATGATCCGCCCTGCCTCGGCCTCCCAAAGTGCTGGGATTACAAGCGTGAGCCACTGCGCCCAGTCTTAAGTGATAAGTTCTATGGGAACAATAAAAACTAGAGCAGAGTTAAGGAGAACAGGAAAACTGGACTTGGGGACAAAATTGCAATTTTTTTTTTTTGTTTGTTTGAGACAGAGTCTCACTCCTGTAGTCCAGGTGGGAATGCAGTAGTGCAACTACGGCTCATTGCAAACCTGACCACCTGGGCTCAAGTGATTCTCTCACCTCATTTTTTTATTTTTTATAGAGATGATGTCTCACTATATTGCCCAGACTGGTCTTGAACTCCTGGGCTCAAGCGATCCTTCCTCCTCTGCCTCAGAAAGTGCTGGGATTACAAGCATGAGCCACGGCGCCTGGCCAAAATTGCAATTTTAAATAACGTAGTCAGCAGCATTGAGGAGGCTCCCAAGAGGGAAATGACTTGATTGAGGTGTCTTGGCTGGTCAGGAATGATAGAGTAGGATTTGATCCTGAGGTTGACTTGAATGTCCATGCTCTTTTTCTGAAGGGATAGATGAGAGTGACAGGCATTCTCAGGAAGGACGTGACCTACTTTAGTCAGCCCTTATTCAATGAGGCCTGAAGGGTGGACAGGGAGCAGGAGGAAGGCATTTAAAGAAATCTAGGTACCTGGCTGGAAGGTTTGGGCTGAGCACGGCTTTTTTTTTGAGATGGAGTCTTGCTCTGTCGCCCAGGCTGGAGTGCAATGGTGCGATCTCGGCTCAATGCAGCCTCTGCCTCCCAGGGTGAGGCAATTCTCCTGCATCAGCCTCCAAAGTAGCTGGGATTACAGGCATCTGCCACCACGTCCGGCTAATTTTTGTAGTTTTAGTAGAGGCAGGGTTTCACCATGTTGGCCATGGTAGTCTCGAACTCCTGACCTCGTTCATGATCCACCCATCTCGGCCTCCCAAAGTGCTGGAATTACAGGGGTGAGCCACCATGTCCGGCCTGAGCATAGCTTTTAAAATGACATGGTCTAGGCCAGGCGTGGCGGCTCACGCCTGTGATCCCAGCACTTTGGGAGGCCGAGGCAGGCGGATCACAAGGTCAGGAGTTCCAGACCAGCCTGACCATCGTGGTGAAACCCCGTCTCTACTAAAAATACAAAAATTAGCCGGGCGTGGTGGCGCATGCCTGTAATCCCTGCTACTCGGGAGACTGAGGCAGAATTGCTTGAACCTGGGAGGCGGGGGTTGCAGTGAGCCGAGATCACACCACTGCACTCCAGCCTGGGCGACAGAGCAAGACCCCGTCTCAAAAAAAAAAAAAAATGACATGGTCTAGCTGGGCGTGGTGGCACGTACCCGTAATCTCAGCTAGTCGGGAGACTGAGGCAGGAGAATTGCTCGAACCCAGGAGGCGGAGGTTGCAGTGAGCTGAGATCACGCCATTGCACTCCAGCCTGGGCGACGAAAGCAAAACTCTGTCTCAAAAAATAAATGAATTAATGAATTAATTAAAAATGACATGGTCAAAAGCTGGAAGGGAGGATGTATAACTAAGGGAAAATATGAAAGAATAGTGAATCTATAGTATTAATGTTTTAGAAGAGAAGCATTTAGATATACCTTTCAGAGCTATTAACTCTCCCTCGAAGCACACTTTTGGAGTCTGGATTACTTAGAGCTGCAGACATGCGCAAGGTCCTTCTTGAAGGATTTATTTTAGATTGAGGAGATTTAAAAGGCTGACACACAAATAGATTTTTGTTGACCAGGTCATATAAAAGCTGTAATTCAGTAAAACGTTCCCATTTTTTTTGTTTGAAATTTTTCAGGAAAGAATGTTGTAAAGAATTAATTAGTCTTTCATGCAGTGATCACCCCAAGGATCCTGCATTTCAGAGGATAATGTGTTGTTGAGATGAAAGAGATGGTTTCTACTGAGGAATTTGTTTCACCAACAAATGGGCTTTTATGCAATTTTTTTGTGAGTTCTGCAATTAATCTTACGTTACCACTACGATCTGGGTAAACCTAGTCAAGTAAATGATTTCTAGACAGAAAAAAGAAATGCAGAACTCAGGGAATGGATTCTGAAGGACAAGCTCAGTTCTTAAAAACTGTTACCCCTTATGACTTAGAATCAAAGAAAAATGAGTGTCAGATATATCTTCCTCATTCCTTTGATGATGACTAAGTCCTGAATATGTTAAGTGATTTGCCCAAGGTGACTTAGGTAATTACTTGAAGTGCTAACTCCTTGGCCAGTGCTTATTCTAGTTCAACAGAGTCCCATCATATGTGCATTGAATTTATGTAAATTTCAATTATTGTATATGGCAAAAAAGGAGAAAAATACTGGAAAATTTTATTTTCATATACTTTATCACATATATAAAATAATATATCCATATTTATATAATATATATAAAACATTCACATATCCATATTATTGTATAGAGTTGTATGCATACATTCATGTACAGTCAACCCTCCGTATGCACGGGTTCTGCATTGTGGACTCAACCAATAACAGATTGAAAATATTTGGAAAAAAAGAAAACAATATAACAATACAATCTAATATAAATTTTAAAATATGGCATAACAACTATTTACATAGCACTTACATTGTATTAGGTATTATAAGTAATCTGGAGATGATTTATAGTACAGATACTCTTTGATTTATGATGAGTTTATCTGGACTTAATTCTATCATGTCAAGGAGCTCATTGAATGCTTGTTGCTTTTGCACCATTGTGAAGTTGAAAATCGTTAAGTCAGGGACCATTTGTAGACAGGAGGATGGGTGTGGATTATATGCAAATACTACGCCATTTTATACGAGGGACTTGAGCATCCACAGATTTTAGTATCCTGGATGTAGGAGGTGGTCCTGGAACCAATCCACCTTGGATACTGAGGGGCAACTATATATGTTAAGGGTAACTTAAGAGGTTTCCCAGGGGTAATTTTGGCTATAAATGATTTGCATCCCATGTAGAAATTGGAAGCTTAATCCCCTCCTAACAAAGCCCAACTCCTTGATTTCCATCTTTCCTCCATCATTATATTACAGGTCGAATTATGTCCCTAAACATGACATCATGGTGTAAGAGCCAGATTTGACTCAGTTGAAAATGCAAGTGTTATTTTTGTCATAAACACCAGCAAAGTAAAGGGGTTCCATTATATTTATTCATAGAGTAGGGCGGTGCTGATGTTGGAATTCAGTGGGGAGAAAGGAGCCCCCTTGGCTGACTCTTCTTTGGGTGGTTTTAACTGTCACTTCAATCATCAAAAACTCTGCAGGTATCTGATGTGGGCCTGGTACAGGGTTTCTCTTTTCTCTAGTTCTGACCAGGTACTTATTCCAGGGTAGCTCTCCTGCCAGTTCTGCTCTTTTCACCTCACTGTCTTTTTCCTCACTTATTTTCTAGCTCCTCTTCCATACCAAACTTATAAACGGGTGTACAATCATGTTTAGCAATTCCTGGTCCTCTTCTCCAGACCTGATTTGGAGCCACTAGAATAACTGCATAACTTCACATGCCTGCTTTTTCATGCACTCAAAAGAAACATGTGGAAAATATAGACTGTTAGAATCAGTCTGTTAGAATCTGAGATACTTTACAGGTCAACTGGTCCAAATGCCTGATTCTAAAGATCTCAAAAGTGAGACCCAGGGAGGATTTTCAAGGTTATGTAGCTTTAATGGCAGAGAGAGTTTTTCTCACCGCTTTAAGCTGTTATAGAAGTTTCAATAAAGAAACATTACAGGCCGGGTGCAGTGGCTCACACCTGTAATCCCAACACCTTGGGAGGCCGAGGTGGGTCGATCACCTGAGGTCAGGGGTTCGAGATCAGCCTGGCCAACACGGTAAAACCCTGTCTCTACCAAAAATACCAAAAATTAGCCAGGTGTTGTGGCGGGCCCTTGTAATCCCAGCTACTCAGGAGGCTGAGGCAGGAGAACCACTTGAACCCAGGAGGCGGAGTTTGCAGTGAGCCGAGATCATGCCACTGTACTCCAGCCTGGGTGACAGAGCGAGACTCCATCACAAAAAAAAAAAAAAGAAAAGAAAAGAAACATTACAGATAGATGAGAGCCACAAAGACGGAGCCTCCAATCTTTATGAAAAATATTATTTTGTTTTATTTTGAGATGGTGTCTTGCTCTGTTGCCGAGGCCACAGTGCAGTGGCATGAACATGGCTCACTGCAGCCTCAACCTCCTGGGCTCAGGGATCTTCTCACTTCAGCCTCCCAAGTAGCTGGGAACACATTCCGGCACCACCACACCTGGCTAGTTTTTATTTTTTAAGTTTTTGTAGAGATGGGGTTTTGCCATGTTTACCCAGGCTGCTCTTGAATTCCTGGACCCAAGCATTCCTCCTGACTCAGCCTCCCAAAGTGCTGGGATTACAGGCATAAGCCACTGTGCCTGGCAGAAAAATGATTTTAAAAATTTGGATCTTTAGTCCTGGACATCATGTAACCTGCATTTGCCTCTCCTGCGCCCCAAAGGAAATGTTATAATAATACAACACTTGTGGATTTAGAACACATTATGGAAACCAGTCATTTACTAAATGTATTGCGGAAACTGAGAATGTACTTACCATCGAGGGGGGAAAAGTGAAGGAGATGCTTTAGGAGACACCCTCAGATAAACAGGTTTCCACATTTGTGTTGGGAAACAGCAAGGGCTTCCTCAGGCTATGTGCTCAACAGGACAAAAACCTGGCCCAGAGCCACAGCAGGAGACCTACTTTATGTCTTTGAACATATTAAGACACACCTAATGTGTGGGCATTGTGGGGAGCTAATTTCTTCCCTGAATGTGACAATGAAGTTCTTTTAAGAGAAAAGAACCTTGTAGATTCAACAATTGTCAAACAATTGTGATGGAATTTTTAAAGCCAAAAAAACAAAAAAAAAATGGCAAGGCCTGATTCTTGGTTATTGTTATTGCTGTATTGGTTATTCATGGAGGAGATGAATATGAAACAATATTCTTTTTTCTTTTTCTTTTTTGCGGAGACCAGCTCAGTAGGGGAGACCCTAACCCAGCAGCGCTAGAGGAATTAAAGACACACACAGAAATATAGAGGTGTGAAGTGGGAAATCAGGGGTCTCACAACCTTCAGAGCTGAGAGCCCCAAACACAGATTTACCCACGTATTTATTAACAGCAAGCCAGTCATTAGCATTGTTTCTATAGATATTAAATTAACTAAAAGTATCCCTTATGGGAAACGAAGGGATGGGCCAAATTAAAGGAATAGGTTGGGCTTGTTAACTGCAGCAGGAGCATGTCCCTAAGGCACAGATCGCTCATGCTGTTGTTTGTGGCTTAAGAATGCCTTTCAGCGGTTTTCCGCCCTGGGCAGGCCAGGTGTTCCTTGCCTTCATTCCCGTAAACCCACAACCTTCCAGCGTGGGCGTTATGGCCATCATGAACATGTCACAGTGCTGCAGAGATTTTGTTTATGGCTAGTTTTGGGGCCAGTTTATGGCCAGATTTTAGGGGGGCCTGCTCCCAACAATTTTGAGACAGGGTCTCTGTCTGTCACCCAGGCTGGAGTGCAGTGGAGTGATCATGGCTCACTGCAGCCTCAACCTCTCAGGCTCAAGTGATCCTCCCATCTCAGCCTCCCTAGTAGCTGAGACTATAGGCATGCACCACCATGCCTGGCTAATTTTTGTATTTTTTGCAGAGTTGAGGTCTCACCATGTTGCCCAGGCTGGGCTTGAACTCCTGGCCTCAAGCACTCCTCCCACCTCAGCCACCCAAAGTGCTGGGATCACAGGCATGAGCCACCACGCCAGGCCTGAAACAATTTTCAAGGAAGAATGAGAAGTGGTCTTTGGGATACCTTGGGTTAATATTTCTGACAAATAAGTTGGAATCTAGAAAGATATACTCTCACTTGTAAGTTACAGCGAAATCTGGTTTGTTGTTCCAAGATTATTGATATTCTGTGGAGTGATCCCAGAGGCAAAAATGGCTGTTTTCCAAATACGTGCCGAGGAGGGGGCTGCTATTTTGGACCAGATGTTACTTCCAAGATTCTTAATAAATACCAGTTGAAGATGCTCATCAGGTCTCATGAATGTAAGCCCGAAGGGTATGAAATCTGTCATGATGGGAAGGTAAGCTAAAATTGTTGGTGACATTCCCATAAACATCCTTCCCCTAAGCACAGTCTTTTCTTCACAGAGCATGTCTG